>NC_000002.12:43220655-43523685 GCF_000001405.40 Homo sapiens
TGCAACTCAGTCTTAGAGTCAACAGTCCGGGATGGGAATTTTGGTTTGTCATTACTTGCAATCTTTACTTCTATTTCCTTAATTTACAAGAAAACTTTTCTAAGGGTGATCAAGCAACGGTAGAGGTTTTTTTGCTGTTAATTTCCAGGCGCTGCAGGAAGACAATGACAGTACCCTCCACTGATCTGGGGCAAGAGGAAATTTCTGAATGATCCCCCCGTAGCTTTCCACGCTCCACTGGGTCTGCGATACAAAACTTCAGATCCTAACAGTTGGGCTTTTCAAACAAACCAGTTTTTAAAAATGAATGTGGCTTACCCCCAACATTCCAGCTGATCAAAAGTACTTGTTTAGAAAAATAAGTTTAGGAATGAAGTGGAAACAAGGCCTTTGAAATGCAGCTTAACCTAAATAGCACATTTTAGACTTTTCCTCCCCACTGCACATTCTTTATGGTGTAGGGGCCAGGGAGCCTGCAGTCTTCACCCCTCCTGAGCCCTCCTTGGCCTCGGGCTTCCTCTCCCCTGCTGCTGAGGCCTTCAGTCAGGGGCTGGCATCTGGGAGAACCTTGAAACTGTTTCCCATCCCCTTTGGCAGCAAGCAACAAGCACCAAAACGCTCCAGTTAACACCAGTGCAATCATCGTTAACGTGAAACAGCTGCCCGAGGCCTGGCGTATCCACCAGACCGCCCCCTCCCCTCCATGCTCAGCTGTGAGTCACCAGAGACCCCGGCTAAGGCAGGGCCCGGGAGGGAGCGGGGATGCGAGGATTGTTGATGGAGCCCAGCTGTTGTATATGAGAAAGCAAACTATTGCTAAATCTCTTACCTACCTTGGAAAAAGTGTCTGAACTGTGTGCATGAGGGACGGCGGTGGAGGAGAAGAAACATGAATTGATTTATGAACCCGATTTAAGTTCCTAAAGTGATTGTTTTAAAGTTAGAAACAGCCAGAGTCACTATAGTAAGATTTTGTTCAACCGTTTGCGAAATCAGCAGGCAAATCAATGTCTTTTTTTCCTTCCTTTTTCTAGAGACCTGGGTTGAATTTGCTTTCTGGTCACTTACAGTCCTCTAAAGCACAGACAAGAAATCTTTTTTGCATAAATAACTTGTATGTGTTCATTCCCAGAGGAAGTTGTCCGCATAAGCAAACATCACCCAGATATAAGTTTAACCTCTTTAATCTTCCCCTCCACCCTGTCCACAAGGACATACCAAGCTTTCCAAAATCCAGGCAGAACTCCAGTTCTCCGACCCAGAAAAAGCCTGGCCTCACTCTCCACCTCCAGCTCAGCACTCAGGCCTGGCAGGCCACCGGCTGCAGAAAGATCCTCCTCCCCTTCCCCACCCAAGCAGTTGTGTTTCCCAGCAAAAAATCGGACCCTCAGCTGCTACCGCAGCCACATGATCCACTCAGTGACTCACAGGCAGGCCACACCCCTTCAGGCCTCCCGGCCAGGCTCTGCTCCCAGCCAGCTAACTCTGGGATGCATCTTATTACCAAAGGGAACAACTAGCTAACTAATGCCCTTGACAGTCCAAATAATTACTTTCTTTCATTAGAAGAACTTGCTTATAAAATATATACGGGCTGAGAGGACGCAGGCTCTTCTGAACTCTGGCTCTGCCAGCTCTCCAAGTCCTCCCCCACCATGCCAAGACCTGGGGAATGGCAGACATGGTTAGCTGGGAAGCTAGAAAGCTAAGACATTCCTGTTTAAAAAGAAAGCTCTTACATGTTAATACCTTTTTTTCCCAAAAATTTTATTGGGGGAAAACTACAAAACATTTACAGTACAATGTTTACAGTCACAATTTGTAGTGAGCTGATTCCCCAAAATATATTACAACTCAAGTTGACTTATCTTGTTACATTCAAAAACCTACTTCTGTCCAAAGTAGTCCAGAGAGTACATATAGTGCTCCAACTGTACCTACGTACAAACTAAAGCTACCGCTCATTCATCTGCTGTCCAGGAAAGCTTAGGAGACATTCCTGCCTTTCTACATGGAAAAAAAAATAGTACAAGTTTTGGAATTTTCTGTAATTAAACAAGGCATATTCATGTACTACATATTTCAGCACTAAGGCGGTTGCTTCACTTTATATCTATATAAAAAAAGTGGTAAAAATCTTTTCCTTTTGTGCAGTTGAACCCATCCTACATTCAGATTCTCTCAAGCACTAATAAAATACTTATTTGGTTGAGGAAGATTTAAGGCAAGTTCGGGCCCTTCCAAAGGCACTGTGAGACTCCCCCCCCACTCCCCGTTATTGCTACATGTCTTTATACTCGAGTATGTCACAGTAGAACTGGTGGAATAAGCAAACACTTTTTTGCTAGTTTATAAAGTTGGAATTAGAAAAGCATGCCACATTTCAGCCTGATTGCAAAGTATGTGGTCATTTTTTTCTTTGAAGTTGGATGGGCTACAACCTTTATACATTCTAAGAAAACTCATAGGATGTTCCTCAAACTACTTCCACAGCATCAAGATCGATTTCTGTCAAGAAATCATGCAATCTTTCAAAATTTACGTAAACAAGGAAAGAAATTAATGAAATAAATATTACATACAATCTCTTAAATTAAGAATTTTGTACTCATTTACAATAAAATAACCAAGTGAAGTTACAAAAGGCATATATTACTGTGAAAAGAACATACACTCCACATTTTGCCGATTAATAATGGCAATCATAATTTAACATAATAAAAGAATATATATCTATTGCTTTTCATCATACTTGATAAATACAGTATGAACAAAATTTTCATTGTATACTTTTCACAAGATAATAAATAAGTTAAATAGTTTTCATATTGAGTTGTGGTGCAGTGGTGCGAATCAACTCAAAACAGCTAAAAATTCAGCAGTTATTCTCCAACAATTACAAAGTAAGCTCTGCGCAAGGCTTCCAGAGGGAGCAGACAAAATGGTTCTAAACTGAACATCCACTAAGTGGTGGCAATGAAACCAAGTAACCAGTATGGACCTTTGGAATGCAAGGGTTTTTTCACCCCCAGACATATATAATTCTGTTAAAAAACAAAAAACACCTATGGGCTGAGGGCTAACTATCAAGGCATATTCTTGGCAGAATATATTGGATTTTAAAAAGCTTATAGGTTTAGCAAGGTGGCGGCTGGCTGGTTTGTTTACACCGGTCTGAGACACAATTAGGAACTTCTTCCAAGAGAAGGGTTCCCACATCTGGACTTAACTAATGCTGTTCAAGTGAAGAGATGGAATGGTGGTTGGTAGCTGCTGGTGCTGGGTTGATTTTTCCTGAAGTCCCAAACTCATCGGAGTCCTAACAAAGTTTAAGTGTTTTTTTTTTTTTTTTGTTCTATTCGTATCACAACTGCCCTGTTGTGAATATTTTGTTCAACAGAAAAAGTTCGACTTTTTTGCTCAAAAAGAATGAAACTTCGTAATAAAAATAAAAAAAAAAAGACAAGAGGAAACCGAAAAAGGAGGGGTGGGGGCCCCTCCCGGCACAGAGTTCGAGTCCAAGTGCTCGGTCGGGCTTGCAGTCTGCCTAGGGCCCATGTCACCCCCCCCACTCCCGTGCCCCCAGCAAGGGCGAGATGGCGAGGGGTGTCCTCCAACATCTCTGAACCGCCTTCCCTTCCTCCTCACTGGCGCCCTCTTGCCTCAGTCGTCGGAGATGGAGAGGCGGCTGAAGATTGGCAGGCGGCGGCCAGGGTCGAGGCTGGGAGACTCAGAGCCGCTGAGGCTGCCGGAGCTCAGGGAGCCGCTTAGGTAGCTGTCGCGGTCCGACAGCGAGTCCGGGGGGCTGGGGGGCGCGTCGAACACGGGCGAGTCGGACAGGCGGCGCGGCAGCTGGAAGCTGAAGGGCGGCGAGGGAGGTGCGGCGGCCCCGGCGGGGAGGGTCGCGCTGGGCGGCGCCGGCGGCTGCGCGGGGGGCGCCAGGCCCTGCTGCTGCTGCTGCTGCTGACTGCGGTAGTAGGCGGCGGCGGCCACGGCGGCAAAGTTGTGGGTCTGGATGGCGAGCGGCGTGATGAGGCTGCTGAGCTCCGGACCGAAGGCGAAGGCGTTGTTGGCGCACGAGGCCGACGAGCAGGCCGCGCACGGGGCCCCCGGCGCCAGCAGGTCCTCGGCGCCCCCGGTGCCGTACAGCAGAGCGGCCGCAGCCGCGGCCGCCGCGGAGGCGCAGCATGTCGGGGCGCCCGAGGGCGTGGAGGCCGCGGAGGCCGAGGAACAGGAGGAGGCGGAGGAGGAGCAGGACGAGGCCGAAGAGCAGGAGGGCGGCGGCGGCGTGCGCGACGTGGGGCTGTCGAGCAGCAGCGGCGACTCGAGGCCGCCCGGGGGCTGATGGTGGCCCGACGGGAAGCCCGAGAAGCTGAGGCTGTGGTGCAACTTGGGCCGCGGCTCCCGCGGGAAGCCCAGGTGCAACGCATCGCGCGTGCCAAAGGCACGCAGGTCCCCGGAGGCGCCCCCCGACGGCGCGGGCCGCCGCTCGTCCGCGTTGTGGATGAAGTGGCAGCGCGGCCCATAGGGGCAGAAGCCGATGGTATGAAAGGTGCGGCACAGCTCGGTCTTGTACTTCGGATGGCGAGTCAGGCTGCGCAGCTCGTGGAAGCCATGCGCGAACTGGCACTTTTCGCCGTACTTGCACGTGCCGCTCTCCTCGAAGGGCCGGCACAGCTCGGTCTTGTAGCGCGTGGAGTTGATCTGGGAGCCGCCGCCCCCCTTCTGCTGCTGCTGCAGGTGCAGGAGGTGCTGGCTGCGATCGCCGTTCTCGCTAAACGAGCGGTCCCGGAATTTGTTCTCCTTGTTGAGCAGGGCTGTGCCGCCGCCCCCCGACGGCTCCTTAAGGGTGCCGTAGGAGGTCGGACCGCCGGCCGCCGCGCTGCCGCAGCTGCTGCCGTTAGCGGCGCCCGGGAACTTGGGCGAGCAGCTGCCGGGGCTGGGCGCGGGGTGGGCGAGTGCATGCAGGTTGCTGGCCGAGTGCCGTCGGAGGAATCCCGGCGCGAAGCCCGAGCTGGGGGCGGCGGCCACAGGCGTCCCCACCGCCTTCTTGTCCAGCATGTTGTTCAGGTTGAGGTTGGCCAGGGATTTCTCTGTCTGCCAAAGGGAGGGGAGCGGGGAAGGGATGAAAAACGGAAGGGGAAGACAGACTCGGGGCGAGCCGCAGAGGAACTCCCAGCCTGATTCTTTTCCTTTTTTTCCCCCACTCTTGGCGGATCCCGACTCGGCCTCCACCCTCCACCTATACACGCGCAAAACCAGCAAGATCTTGCTGGACGGAGCGGGAGAGGGGAGGACGCCCACCGTGGGCCGCGCTGGGTTTCGACACGTGATCCTCCGCCCCGGCTGCCGAGGTGGGCGGCGCGAAGCCTGTCCGGGAAGCCCCGGGCAGCGTGGCCGCGGTCGGCAGTGGAGAAACTCAACCGCGACACCGGCGCCCTCCTTGCCGCCCTCCCCGCCTCCAGGGCGCTCGGACACTCTTTTGCAAACCCCGGGACTTTCCCGACCTGAAAGGCAGGGCGGGAGGGGCGTCCCCCAGAACCTGGGGACAGAGGCAAAGTCCAAGAACTACAACGGCTGCTGCCGGCCGGGCCCGCTCCCTGGCCTACCTTGCACAAGAAGTCGACATCGTAGAAGGCGGACAGAAGTGTGGTCGACATGTTTCTGGATCCCGCAGTGGCCGGAGCGGCAGGCCGGGAGGTCGGGAGGAGCCCTTGGGGCGGCGTGGCCGGGCTTGAGCCACGACGAATAACGGGCGAGGGGCGGGGAGGGGCCGAAAGTTTGCCGGGGGGCGAGAGGAGAGGGCGAGTGCAGCGGCGCGGGCCGGCGGGAGGGTCCGGCGGAGTGCGGCAGGGGGGAAGGAGAGAAGCGAGGAGCGCTCCTCCGCGCCCCGGGGTGCCCGGCCCGCCCCCCCCGCGGAGCCGACGGCAGCTCGCGGACTGCTGGAACTCGGCGGCCTCCGAGCGCGCGCCCTATATAGAGCCCGGGAGTGCGGCTGCGGCGGGGCGGGCGCGCCGGGGGAGGGGACAGAACTCGGCCCCCGCCGGGGTCTCCAGGCAACGCCGCCCGCCCGCTCGCGGACGTCAGGCGCCTTCCCGGCCTCCCATTGGCCGCCGCCAATTTTTTTCCTCCGGGGGAGGGTGCTGGAGGCCTCCGGGCGGGGCCGGCGGCCCGGGCGGCCGGTGTGGCGTGTAGCTCTCGGCCCCAGTGGATGCCGCCGGGTGGCGGCGGGAAGGCACGGCTGTTCTCCTCCGGGGCTGCGCGGTCGGAGAGCCCCGGTACGTTTAGCGTGGCCGGGATTCTGCAGCCCTGGACGTGTCTTTCCCTGCCCTGTTCTCCGAGGCGGACCTGTGGAGCTTTAAGCTCCCACCTTCGGTTTTGTACTGGGCGCGGGAATTGCAAAATGCCAGAATATCGCAACCATCCCCGCGGCCCGGCGGGTTTGCAAAGGGTGCCCCGGCCAGGAGGCGGGGGCTCGGGGCCTGCGTCCAGTCGGTGGCGGCTCCAGCCCGACTGCACGTGGAGTCGCGGTGGGGGTGGGGGTGGCCACGCGGGCGGCCGCCGCGGCAGTCTTGCCGGTGGAGCCCGGGCTCGTTTCTCCGCCCCCTCCCCGCCCAGGCTCAGTAAACAGGGCTTGAGCGCCGGGGCCTGCCGGGCAGGGCTGAGTGTCTGAGGACAAGGCGCTGGCTTTGCTAATCACATCACAAGACCTTGAGCCAGGGCCAAAGGCGCGGAGTGGCGCGGGACGTCCCGGGCGGGGGAGCTGACTCTGAGGACAGGAGGAAAGGCCGGGAGAGCCGTGCGGGCTTGAAGGCGACTTAGCGCCACCTTTCCGTCTGCTGGTCGGGCCGGCCTTCCCCAGCCCTCTGGGGCTGGGGGTGCAGCTGCCTGCCGAGGCTCCCCGCCCGGCACAGCCTGGGCCTGTTGCGTCCTCCCAGCCTCTTCCCTCCCCGGCAGTGGGGGCGCCGCGCCCAGCCTTTGCTCGATGAGGGCTGCAGGATCCGGCTGAGACCAACCCGCGGCGCAGGTGGGGCTGCACAGACGCTGATGGTGGGCGCGCCACCCTCTGTTTTCCCTCACTCGCCAGCCCCGCACCCCAACAGCTTGCGCTGGAAAATGCGCTTTGCCAGCGGGCGCCCCGCCTTCGTCCGGGTACGGAGGGGACACTCCCATCTAGCGCCCAGTGAGGCTAAAGCCGCTGACAGCCCCACTAGGAACGATCTGGAGTCTGGTCTAGGGCACTTCTCCCTCCGCGTTCATACAGGTTGCCACAAAAAGCTTGGGCCTGAAGCTCGAAGGCCCCGGACCCGCTGGGGAAAGAACTAGGCCTGCCACTCAGGGATTCGAGTCCCTGGAGTGTATCCTGCATTTCCCACTACTGTACTCCCCTCATGGCCCAGGGAGCCAGAGTCCAGGGTAAGGATCAGGAATGCTGGGCTGGAGTTCAGGTCCTGCCCCAGAGAAATCATGTGGTCTTAGGCAAATCACATCATCTCTTTGGTACTTGGGTTTCCTTGTTAAACGAAGATAATATTCTTGCTTTATTCATCTCTCACCTTTGGCAAGGTGCAAATGATATCTGTGAAGGTGTTTAAAAGACAAGCAAGAACTAAACCATCTTTATGTATTAAACCAAATTGACAAAAGCGTAAGGGTGGAGAAAGCCTGGCTTCTGAACTGTGGCCAGATGGACAGAGAGCCACAGAATCATGAGTGCAGAGCTGTGGGGGCACCCAAGTCCTGGACCCTAGGACTCACAGCCAAGAGCAGGTGACCTCAGAGGGACCAGTTTCACTTTTAGCACCTACCCTACACTGACCCCTTGACATACCTGGGCAACTGTGGTCTGGTTTGTTCTTTGGTGAGATGACCCCAAACATCTCACCAAACTGTGAAACAGCCACTTCCCTAGGCACTCCTATTAGGTTAGTAACAAGATTTCAGATACAGAACCAGTGGAAACATCTGTTTGAAACAACGTCCAAATCTGGGGTGAGTCCCAGTCAACAGCTGTGAGAACACCCACTTTGCAGATTAGGATTCTGGAGATAACATGTGGACATGTTACGGGACATGCTTGTGTACAGAGTACCTGCTAGTATAAAATGTCTAATGTAGCTGCTTTTATTTCATTTTAAATGGAGAAAAAAAGAAGTGCTGGCCATTTCCAATGAGCTGGGCTTTGTTGGGCCAGTTTCATTATTATTTTTCTGTGGTTATCACCACATTTATTTTACCAAGTCCCTCACTTCTCACCAGCTAGGTCTTAGAACAAAAAGTGTTAGGTTGGCAGCTTTCCATCAGGTGTGGGCTACACAGTTTCCTAACTAGGTAATTAATTCAGGATCACAAAAACCACATTTGGGGCCGAGTGGTTGCAAAACCACCCAGGGAATTTCCTGTTCTCTTTAGGACAAAACTTTGGACACTGAGTTAACTTCTTTCCTGCCTCTTCCTACAAAGCCCCTTTCCTATACTTCCAGTATGGCTGCTTTTTTGTTCTTAAATTCCTTTCTTTTAGTGATGGGGTCTTGCTGTGTTACTCAGGCTGGAGTGCAGTGGCCTTTCACAGGCATGAACTCCTGGGCGATCCTCCCACCTCAGCCTCCTGAGTAGCTGGGATTACAAGTGTGCACCATCATGCCTGGCTTACAGCTGCATTTTTAGTGTTAGATGGTTTTCTCTCGAAGAGCGATGAATTACATTTGAAATATGAGCTTTTCTGCAGTAGGAAATGATTGTAAACTCACTCTCCTCTAACCCGCCCCTTCAGACTCTGTGAAACATCAATGAAATTACTCTAAGTGATCATTTACCTGAGTACTTTTTTTTTTTTACAGACCCTAAAATCTGGAGCAAATTTACATACTATGAAATGTTTTTTTCAGATCAGTAGGATGAAAAATGAATGCGGATGAAGCTACTACCCTTCCAAAGCTATGATTCTCAAGATAACTATTAGTGGGTAACACTTATTCTGAAATTATAAATGAAAAATGGTGAGCCAGTGAAAAACTGGACCAGCAGCAAAACGTTTGCAAGAGCGCCACCTGCTGGATGTGTGAGGAAGAGGGCTGGGCTGGGCTTGAAAAGGAAGAAAATCATTAAGGTTTCTAGATTAAAATCACTGCAAAGGATGTGAGAGAGAGAGAGAGAGAGTGAGAGTGTGTGTGTGTGTGTGTGTTTGAGTGTTTGAGACGAGTCTCACTCTGTCGCCCAGGCTGGAGTGCAGTGGTGCGATCTCGGCTCACTGCAACCTCCGCTTCCCGGGTTCAAGCAATTCTCTGCCTCAGCCTCCCGAGTGGCTGGGATTACAGGCGCCCACCACCACGCCCAGCTAATTTTTTTTGCATTTTTTGTAGAGACGGGGGTTTCACCATCTTGACCAGGCTGGTCTTGAACTCCTGACCTTGTGATCCACCCGCCTCAGCCTCCCAACATGCTGGGATTACAGGTGTGAAACACCGCGCCCAGCTGATAAATGTGTTTAATGGCATTTTAAGTGAGACACTTGTTACTGCCACCAAGCGATAGGTAAACAATGTAGGCACAGAATAAGTCATTTTCTCTGACTCTCCTTTCCCCAGGTTCCTCCTCACAGCTAAGAGGACGGATATACTTTCACTGGGTGGCAAAATCAGGTTTCCTAGCATTAGCATACTTTTTGGGGGGTAGGGGAAATGCTCAATGGCTCTTTGAATAATTAGGATGGAATGTGTAGGTCACTGCAGGACTTAACACATGCAGACAATAAAAATAAATTATTTGTGCAAAGTTGATCCTGAATTCTCCCAGGATCCAACATTTGGAACATATTTCTGCTTTGCTAAAATGGAACAAAATTCACAAATCTGACCAAATGGGCTGTTTGCCAACTAATCCAGCCCCTACATAAAGCCAGAAAAGGGGAGAGGGGAGGGATCATGTGTATGTGCTAAAATCCAACTCTCTGTAGTCATTTCACAGAGAATGCAGGGCGGCTATGGCAGGGCATTAGAGGCCCTGGGGGATGAAAAAGGCTCATTCAGGCCTGCAGGTGGCCTGCACCTGGGGACAGAGTAAATCTGCAACGGAGTCGCCTCACTTCCTACAGTAGCAGCAATAAAATAGGCTGCCCTGAATGAGTGAACTGAAGAAAAGTTTCTCTGTAAGGAGTGACAGACGACTGGACTCACAGAAGTAGGGGAGGCATGAATGGGATAAAATTTTTGAATTTATGTTCAACATGTTTCCTGCAGATTTAGTGGAGGAAAAATCCACACATACCCCCATCCCAATCCCCCAGATTTTCTTCAACATGCCGCTTCTGTTCTTGGAAGAGTTAACTGCCTCGATTCTGCATAAGAGTCCCAAACACTGAGAACTAGGGTGTCTTCCCCTTCCTTTCCTTCCAAAAAGGCCAGCAGCCTCAAGCAAGCCAAAGTCCTTTCCTCTTGAATGCGTAGTCTTGTGAACTCCACTGTCTTCACAAACTCAGCAGCTGGTGGAAGCTCTCTGAAGAACTGAGACAGGAGGTGGCACTGCTCTGACACCATCCTTTGAAGGTGACAGAGCATCTCAGGGCTTGGGGGACGCCAGCCGGACTTTGAGAGGAGACAGAAGAGGTGCTTGCAGAGGTATTTCACAAAGATCAGGGTCTCGGCCCAAAAGTTGACTTCTGCTTTTTCAAACAGGTAGTCTTCTTCCACCTAAATCAGATGAAAAAGCCGAAAGTCAGTCTTACAGGGAATGGTGACAAGCCCCAGTCCAGACCAAGCAGTACCCTGCCAGATGCAAGAGGGGTTTCCCTTCCCCCACCTGACAGAGGGTGCACTCTTGCCTGTCAACATCCATGTACACACACCACTTGCAGCCTTGAAGGTCACCTTCTATTTTCACTCACTGTATTTCTCCACCAGAGAGGAATTTTTTCCCCAGACTTAACATGACCTTGGATAAAGATGTGTTTGTGGTTCAAAGTCAAGATACTTTGGGGGATGGATGCTGAAAAGGGGACTTCAACAAGGGAGTGGGCTCTAGAGTTTAAGGTGCAGCTGGAAATTGGAGAGGAGGGAGGAAAGGTCATCTCTGCAGCAGGCCAGAGAGGAAGGAATCTCCAAACACAGGACACTAGGCTGTGTCCTGTTTCTATAACACTGTGATTCTCAAGGTCCTTTTGTCAGACACTTACCATGTCTCCAAATTTCTCATAAAGAGGGACAATGCGTTTTGAACCCTTGGCCTGCTGGGGATGCCAAGAAGGCCAGCTGAGTCAGATGCTGGTGGCGATCAATTTCAGTTCTCAGGATGCTTTTGCTGCTTGTCTTTGTCCTCAGTTTCCCTATCTGTGACTGCACCCACCCTGGAGGGGGCTAATAATAGTTTTCTTCAAGCAGGAAGTTCCCAGCAAAGATCCTAATTCTCTGAAAATGCTTCACCCTCAGACCTAACTTTGGGAAGCCCCAGGCTAACTCCAATACTGACTAACAAGCAGTCTCCATAATAAAACTCTCCGCATCCAGGGGCTTCTTTTTTTCTTTTCTTTTCTTTTCTTTTTTTTTTGAGATGGAGTCTTGCTCTGTTGCCCAGGCTGGAGTGCAGTGGTGCAATCTCGGCTCACTGCAACCTCCGCCTCCCAGGTTCACGCCATTCTCCTGCCTCAGCCTCCCGAGTAGCTGGGACTACAGGCACCCACCACCATGCCCGGCTAATTTTTTGTATTTTTAGTAGAGACGGGGTTTCACCGTGTTAGCCAGGATGGTCTCGATCTCCTGACCTCATGATCCGCCTGCCTTGGCCTCCCAAAGTGCTGGGATTACAAGCATGAGCCGCTGTGCCCGGCCAGGGGCTTCTTTCCGAGTTCTCTCCCCTGGCTAAGCTGGAGGCTGACCATCAGCACCCCAGAAGTCAGCCTAAGAGTGTCCCCGTGTCCTCGGCAGCACCCAGTGGGTGACTTTCCTAGTGGTTCCTGCTCTGTGTCTAAGCATGCAAAAGCCCAGCTGAGGCTGTAGGTGCTGCATCTAGCGGGTTTAGGACACTCCAACCCTGCCTCCTACTCCCCTGACACCCCGGGATCACCTGATGCATGCTCTCCACACAGGCCACGAGGTCATCACTCTCTCCCAACAGCCATCCCAGCAGGATGGGCAGTCCAGGGGCCAACTGGTCCCACTGCTGGAGCAGATCACACAGGACGGCCAGGGCCAGGGCCAGAGCGATGGAGGCATCCACCTGGCAGAAGGCAAACTCTGCAAAGACAGGAGAAAGGTGAGCAATGAATATACTGCTCAGGGCCGACCCCAGGGCAGCCTGCAGGACCCTGGGAACAATAAAGGCCTCAGGTAAAATCGCTGCCACCAGCCTGGCAGGGAAGCTGGTAGGGTGGGCTCACTGGAGACGATTAATCACCTTCTGAATCCTGCTATTTATACTGTTAGAATGAGTCATAGGCCTGAACCCACTGTTTCCATGCCCCCTAACTCAGTGTGGACAGAAGCAGTTCCATCTGCAGGATTAGAGAGTTATCTCCCCTCTGCTCCTCCAGTGTCACCAGAAGGATCAGGAAGGCTTCCCTGTCCAGTGTCTCCTCTGCACATCTGCCTGGATTTGACTGGTTTGCCCTTTCCTTGGAAAGCAGATCTCTTGGGCACAAGACACATCCTAGAGCAGGGCATCGGCAAGCTTTTCCTTAAAGGGCCAGAGAGTCAATATTTTAGACTTTGCAAGCCTATACCTCCTCACCTCGGCTGAAAGCAGCCATGGACAATCTGTAAACAAATGGTTGTGGCTGTGTTCCAATAAAACTTTATTTATGGACACTGAAATTTGAATTTAATGTGTCACAAAATATTATTTTTTCCCAACCAATTAAAAATGTAAAAACCATTGATAGCTCATGGGCTGTAAAAAGCAGGTGGTAGGCTGCATTTGGCTCCTATTTTGCTGCCCTCTGTCTCGGAGTTTTTTGTTTTTGGACCCTTGTTTTCCTGGGTGCTTGGAGGAAGGGCACTGAAAGAATAGAAGGGTGCAGAAAGAGGAAGCAGGGGGCCTTGGGGAAACCATTGCTTATTTCAACATTTGGCCTTAGACAATCCTAAATATGGGTTTGGAGGGAGGCTCAGGGGTGTTGTCACTTCCCCTAACAACTCTGCCCCTCCCATCCCAAACCTGGAGGGTGTCTGAAACACGGGACTGAAAGCCCACTGCACAATGGACCTCTGTAGGCCCATCTTGCACCAACTGACATTGAAAGGCCTGTCTTTCAATGATGCATTTCTATTGAGCCCTGATCACTCCCAAATCCACATCTCTAACTTGAGCACACAGACTTACCCTGACCATCTGGCCCCCGAAAGACTTACTCGGCACACAGGCAGACGACCGAGAATCTGCAACAGCAGGCTTAGTTCCCGTGGGTGTTGAACCAGGCTTACTGGGATGGCCCCACTGAGGGCCTAGTGAGTGCCAGGCCCTGATCAAATGCTGTCTCCCCAGTCCTTCTAGCATCCTATGGGTTGGGTATTATGTAACCCACTTGCACACATCAAGAAATTACAGTTGGCAACAAGTTTCATGGTGCATGCAAAGCGCAGATTTGGAGACCCAGCATCAACAATCCAGAGGTTTTGATGGTGGGGTCAGCAGGGGTAGTGACCCTGCAGTAGGGCCAGGACTATTCAGAGGTCACACAGCAGCACCTAGTTGCATGTAAGCAGGTGAAAGTACTGATCTCACCATCTTGAGAGCTCCAGATAAGTCCCCCAGGACACTTGCCCTTTAGTGTCCCCGTTCCCCATGCTGCTTGCTCTGCAGCCTAGAACCCAGATTTAAACCAGGAAACAGAAAAGGGGAGGGGGTGAAGGTGCATTTTGGCTGTGGGTCTGAGCCATGTGTTGACTGGGCCTCTACCTACAATACAATCTCCATTTTTACCTCTACCTAACTCCTTTCTGCAGTTCTCAATTGGCTGAGAATCTGTATAGAGAAGGGATAATTAAGTGGCCTTTTTCTTTCTTTTTTCCCTTCAACTTTTATTGATTGATTGAGACAGAGTCTGTTGCCCAGGCTGGAGTACAGTGGCGTGATCTTGGCTCACTGCAACCTCCGCCTCCTGGGTTCAAGCAATTCTCCTGCCTTAGCCCCCAAGTAGCTGGGACTATAGGCATGTGCCACCACACCCAGATAATTTTGTTTTTGCCCAGCTAATTTTTGTATTTTTTGTAGAGACTGGGTTTCACCATGTTGGCCCGGCTGGTCTCAAACTCCTGACCTCAAGTGATCTACCCACCTCAGCCTTCCAAAGTGCTGGGATTACAGGTATGAGCCGCTGCACCCAGTGGGTTTATCACTCTTTTTTTTTTTCTCAGACTGAGTCTTGCTGTATTGCCCAGGCTTGTGTGCAGTGGCGTGATCTCAGCTCACTGCAACCTCCACCTCCCGGGTTCAAGCGATTCTCCTGCCTCGGCCTCCTGAGTAACTGGGATTACAGGCTCCTGCCACCATGGCTGGCTAATTTTTGTATTTTTAGTAGAGATGGGGTTTCACCATGTTGGCCAGGCTAGTCTTGAACTCCTGACCTCAAGTGATTCACCCGCCTCAGCCTTCCAATGCGCTGGGATTACAGGCATGAACCACTGTGCCCAGCTTATCACTTTTTTGTTGTTGTTGTTTTGTCTTGAGACAGAGTTTCGCTCTTGTTGCCCAGGCTGGAGTGCAGTGGCACCATCTCGGCTCACCGCGACCTCCGCTTCCCAGGTTTAAGAGATTCTCCTGCCTCAGCCTCCCAAGTAGCTGGGATTACAGGCATGCGCCACCACACCCGGCTAATTTTGTATTTTTAGTAGAGACGGGGTTTCTCCATGTTAGTCAGGCTGATCTCGAACTCCTGACCTCAAGTGATCTGCCCCCTCGGCTTCCCAAAGTGCTGGGATTACACCCATGAGCCACTGTACCTGGCCTCCCACCACTTTTTTTATGGTCTCCTTAAGGCAAGGACTGAAAGCCCAACAGGGAAGAAAAAAATTTCATCATCCATCAGCAAAATCAGTATCTGCAGCTCAAGTGACATTCCTGTTGAGTCCATAAAGAACCTATGGGGGTGACCAGAGATGCCACCAAGGAAGGCTAGGCTGCTGCACTAGCCCCACCTGACAGGACAGGTAGCCTCTATCCTGCACCATTTTTTTTTTTTGAGACAGAGTCTCGCTCTGTCGCCCAGGCTGGAGTGCAGTGGCGGGATCTCGGCTCACTGCAAGCTCCGTCTCCCGGGTTCATGCCATTCTCCTGCCTCAGCCTCCCGAGTAGCTGGGATTACAGGCACCCGCCACCACGCCCGGCTAAATTTTTTTTGAATTTTTAATAGAGACGGGGTTTCACCGTGTTAGCCATGATGGTCTCGATCTCCTGACCTTGTGATCCACCTGCCTCGGCCTCCCAAAGTGCTGGGATTACAGGCGTGAGCCACCACGCCTGGCCCATCTTGCACCATTTTGCCATGAATCATGGTTAGGAAGGGGCAGGAGAGTGGCGGGATGACAGGCAAAAGGGAAGAGCTGGTGTGATGTGGCCAGAAGTGGGTCTAGATAGAACTCTTAACTACCCAGACTCCAAGCCTGCAAGGCAAGGACAGAAGAGGAAGGAATGCTGAGATGTTTTGGGGATGCGGGGGGAAGGATGAGTTGGATTTAGATCTCCTGCTTGAGGGACCAGCTGCAACCTGCCAAATTCGGTCTCTTACTACCTTGCCCTGGACTAAGACAGCTCAGCCAGAACTGCCTAGATCTCTACTGGCCAAATGCCTTATGAAGGGAGGCTGGAGTAGGGAGAGGAATTTGTCACTTAAGCATGCAGGCCAGCTAGGCTCTTACAGGCTGGCCAGTCCATCAAGGAAACAAGAAAGCAAGCAGCCAAGCAACAAGTGTGTTTTAAGAATCTGCTGAGAGGCTGGGCTCAGTGGCTCACACCTGTAATCCCCTAATTTTGGGAGGCTAAGGTGGAAGGATCACTTGAGACAAGACCGTGTTGCTACAAAAAATAAAGAATCTGCTGTGTATCCAAAACAATCTTGAAAAAGAAAACAAAATTGGAGGACTCACACTTCCTGATTTCAAAACTTACTACAAAGCTATAGGAATAAAGACAGCGTGGGCCGGGCACGGTGGCTCACGCCTGTAATCCCAGCACTTTGGAAGGCCGAGGCGGGTGGATCATGAGGTCAGGATATCGAGACCATCCTGGCTAACATAGTGAAACCCCGTCTCTACTAAAAATACAAAAAAAAAAAAAAAAATTAGCCAGGCATGGTGGTGGGCGCCTGTAGTCCCAGCTACTCGGGAGGCTGAGGCAGGAGAATGGCGTGAACCCGGGAGGCGGAGCTTGCAGTGAGCCGAGATCGCGCCACTGCACACCAGCCTGGGTGATGGAGCAAGACTCTGTCTCAAAAAAAAAAAAAAAAAAACCAGGGAATAAAGACAGCGTGGTACTGGCATAAGGATAGACATATAGATCAACAGAACAGCAAGGGCAGATTACACAAATCAACAGACTGAGAGTCCAGAAACACACCCTCACATTTATGGTCAAATGATTTTTGACAAGGGTACCAAAATAATGGGGAAAAAACGGTCTTTTCAACCAGTAATCCTGGGACAACTGGATACACACCTGCGAAAGAATGACGTTGGACCCCTACCTCACACAATATACAAAAATTAAAATGTACCGAACACCTAAATGTAAGAGCAAAAACTAGAAAACTCATTTGATTTTTTTTTTTTTTTTTTCTGAGATGGAGTCTGTCTGTCACCCAGGCTGGAGTGCAGTGGCGCAATCTCAGCTCACTGCAACCTCTGCTGCCCAGGTTCAAGCAATTCTCCTGCCTCAGCCTCCCTGAGTAGCTGGGATTACAGGTGCCTGCCGCTGTGCCTGGCTAAACTTTTTATATTTTTAGTAGAGACGGGGTTTCACCATCTTGGCCAGGCTGGTCTTGAACTCCTGACCTCGTGATCCACCCGCCTCGGCCTCCCAAAGTGCTGGGATTACAGGCGTGAGCCACCACGCCCGGCCTTGAGCCACCACGCTTGGCCTTAGAAAACTCACAGAAGAAAACATAGAAGTAAATCTGTATGACCTTGAATTAGGCAACTACTTCTTAGATATGACATCAAAAACACAAGCAACACTAGAGAAACTGGGCTTTGTCAGACTGGGTGCTGTGGCTCATGCCTGTAATCCCAGCACTTTGGGAGGCTGAGGTGGGTGGATCACCTGAGGTCAGGAGTTCGAGACCAGCCTGACCCAATAGGGTGAAACCCTGTCTCTACTAAAAATACAAAAATTAGCCAGGCGTGGTGGTGGACACCTGTAGTCCCAGCTACTTGGGAGGCTGAGGCAGGAGAGTTGCTTGAACCCAGGAGGTGGAGGTTGCAGTGAGCCAAGATCGTGCCACTGCACTCCAGCCTGGATGACAGAGCAAGATTCCATCTCAAAAAAAAAAAAAAAAAAAAAAAAAAAAAAAAAAGGAAGGAAAGAAGGAAGGGAGGGAGGAAGGAAAGAAGGGAGAGAAGGAAGACTGGGCTTTGTCAAAATGGAAAACTTTTGTGCTTCAAAGTAACATCAAAAAGAAAGTGAAAGGATAATTCACAGAAAGGGAGAAAATATGAACAAATCCTGTCTCTGACAAGGGACTGTATCTAAACTACATAAAGAACTCTTAATACTCTTAATAAACACATGAAAAGATGCTTAGCATCATTAATCATCAGGAAAATGCAAATCAAAACCCCAGTCACATTCCACTTCACACCCACTGGGATGACTATAATAAAAAAAAGTTAAGTTTTGGCAAAGATGTGGAGAAATTGGAACCCTCATACATTTTTAGTGGGAGTGTAAAATGGTGTAGCCACTTTGGAAAACAGTCTTGCAGTTCTCCTCAAAAGATTAAACCTATGACCCAAAAACTGCACTCCTAGGAGTGTATCTAAGAGAGAGAAAAAAGACACATCCACACAAAAACTTGTACATAAATGTTCATAGCAGCCTTGTTCATAAGAGCCAAGATGTGGAAATAACCCAAATGTCCATCAGCTAATAAATGGATAAATAAAATGCTGTTATAAATTCATACAATGGAATAGTAATCAGCCACAAAAGGGAATGAAGAAGCAGGAGGTCTAGGTGGGAAGGTAAGACAAACACCCAGGCAACAGCAGGGACATCAGGTGCTCAGTGGAGTGGTTCACATGCCAAGAGCTGTGGGAGCTGGGGGTTGGTGGGAGGAAGACGTCAATGTGGGGAATAAATGATCTCCGAGGCTCTTCCTCCCACCGGCTACACTGCTAGGGCAAGAAGAAATATGCCCTAGAATCTTCCTGGAGTGCTTCAAATGGGTGGGGTTAGCTGGTACACATTCATGTCTGTGGTAGGCCTACACAAGTGGGATTAACATGTGGTCATTTGGAATCATGTTGGAAATGTGATGGATCAGCATTTAGAATTGGTTAATCTGGTGCCTTCCATCCTTGTGAAGGGATAACTCACTGGGACTGCAGAGGAGGGAAGCAAACCAGAGCCTTCAGGGCTGCTGCAGTATAGCCTTCATCTTGCTACTGCCCCAGCCACATCAGGGCTCCCCATCCAAGGCAGATGCCTAGCTATCAGAAACCCTGTTATGTGCTGATACTCCCTGGTGCTTCTTCTCTGCCTCCACGATGAGCGCCTCCACCCCCATCCCCCGCCCCCCAACAGGGCTGGAGGTGAAGACCCAGGCCTCACACAGTGTGTTGCCTCCACTACAAATCTCAGCCTCTGATTCCCCCCACTAGGGGAAGTGATTATTAATTTCTAGGCAGGTAGACAGGTAAGTCACAGACTTTGAGGTTGCTTTCAACTACTGAATGAAAGAAAGATGTCAAAGTGGATGTCTTCCAGGTGCCAACCTTGAAAACTATTTCAGACCACGGATTAAAAAGCCCATGGTCTGATTTTAAAGTATTATGGGGGAGATGACTTCTAGACTAAGGCCATTGGTCAAGTCTGCCTTCTAGTCCTTCTCAAGAGAGGGCAATCAGCATAGTAAATGCTGTGCAAATGGCAATGGGTTGAATTCTCCCTGCCCCTAGCTCTGGAGAATCCTCCTTCAGGCATCTGAAAAATCCCTCAGCTTTAGGGGACTGGCCAAGGTGTTGGGTGGCCCTGCCATCCAACCAACTCACCACCCATCCACCCACTCACCCATTCACCCATCAATCTGATATTTTATCTACCCACAAGTATTTATTGATCACCTGTGTGTGGAGGACGCTGTGTGAAACATGAGGAAAACCACCCAGAAAACCACTCTAAGAGAGAGAAGAGTTGCCAGAGGCAAGCTGACCCACACGAAGTGTGACGAAACAGTCGAAGACGGTGTGTGACACAGACAAATTATATCATGAGTAGGGGTAATCAAAAGACAGAAAGGAAAAACAAATGTGGAAGGAGGAGGTGGCTTCACAGACAGGCTAAGCAGGGTGGGTGAGAGGACACACACAACCGAGAGGCAGTGAGGAGCCCAAGCTTGGGCCGCAGGGAGACAAGCTGCCCACTAAAGGGAGGACTGGAGGCGAGGCCAGGCAGGCTGGGGTGGCCTGGGCAGCAAAGGCAGCGTCTGACGGAGTGAGTGTTACTGCACTTTCTTTTTTTCTGAGCAAAAATACATTCAGGTTTCATGAGGCCGTTTCCAGATAACCTCATTATTTCTAGTCTTCTCCATGGTCGTCTTCACTTCCCCTTAGCAGGGGAAGAGCCTGAACTTTAAATTAGTCATGAAAAACAAGCTCGGTTCAGCTGACTCTGCCAGTCAACATTTCCTGGGGCTGCCAGAAGCCTCTCAGTCCCCTACCTCCCCTTACCCTCTACTCCGAGACTAGCCAGGGCTCTCCACCCACCAGGGCCATCAGAGCCCAGGCTCAGAGCTGGGATTCCAGGTGGGGCACTCTGTGAGTACATTCATGGCCATGCTATCAAATGCCATCATTTCAACCTTTACCACCAATTAAAAGCTCCCAGCTGACCCCTACTGGAGACAAATGGCCCAGAGGAAGGTCAGTGTCCTAAGGAATGGAAGGGGATCATCTCCCCAGCTGCAAAGAACCCAGTAGGAAGTCTGGGTCGGGGAACATAGGTGTTTGTGGTTAACAGTCTCTGTCCTTTATCTGAAAATTTAAAAAATTTCATCAAAGAAGAACCAAATGTGCTGGCCAGAGCTCTCAAGGGCAGCCCTAGTCCCAGCATGCACTGGGCCAAGTGCCAGGGCCGGGTGCAGCACCAGGACTATGGCCCACCCTCTCTCTGCCCTCGTCCCTGTCTGTGCCCTTGTCCACAGCCATCCCTTCCCCCAAATCCCTACCTGGCCATGATATTAAGTCTGGGGGGAATTCAGACTTCACCGGGCCCAGGTGGACCCCTCTTCCTTTTTTTTATGTTTATTTTTTTGAGACAGGGTCTCACTCTGTCGCCCAGGCTAGGGCAAAGTGGCACAATCACAGCTCACTGCAGCGACCTCCCAGGCTCAAGTGGTCCTCCCACCTCAGCCTCCCTGGTGGCTGAGACTACAGGCACAAACTACCATGTCCCCCCTAATTTTTGTATTTTTTGTAGAGACGGGTTTTGCCACGTGGCCCAGGTTGGTCTTAAACTCCTGGGCTCAAGTGATCCACACACCTAGGCCTCCCAAGGTGCTAGGATTACTGGTGTGAGCCACTTTGCCTGGCATCCTTTTTGTTTTAAGTCTTAGAGCCTACTATTTAAAAGAAAGTATATGCGGAGGCAGAATCCAAACACACACAACTTGGGTTCTAAGCTGAGTTGTGTCAGCTAAACTGTACTAAACAGTCCCTTTGCACCCCTGTCTGGACTTACCAGCAGTGTCTGGACAGGGGTGCAAAGGGACTATTTAGTACAGCTCACATGGATTTAAAAAAAAATCAGGGCAATTCTCATAAAGATCCAAATTTCTAGCATCTTTTGAAAATTAGGAAAATCAGACTGTGGTGTCTCTAGGCCTGCATTAGAAGACGGCAGCAGCTGCTGGAGCAGAGCGGTGGCCACGCCTACAGAAGGCGGATGCTTCCAGCCTGGGACCGCCCTACTGCCTCCCATCGCGCGCCTTTCACGTGCGTGCTCACTTGAGTGGTCTCTGTGGACATGTGAGTTGGTGACCCCTGTGAAATGGTACTGAAGAAGGCAGCTGGCCCCAGGCCCTCCCCTTACTTTTACAGGAGAGAACACTGAGTCCCTCAACCAAACCTCATCTCAGTGGTCTCCCCACACTGCTATCTGGGCCTTCCCCCTCCCTCCAACTCTCTTGGCTTTGATTCACTCACCATTCCCTGCTCTGGGGTCCCTTCTTCCTCCTTTTCACTTAGCCTGCCGGCCTGTCCCTCAGGACGCAACGCAGATCCTGTGGTGTTTCTCAGCCCACTGGGGACTTTTTCTCCACTGTATCTGCACAGTGCTCAAGGTGTTCACAGATGCTGAGGGGGGCACTTCATGGCTGAACCCTGTGTCTTTCCTTTCCCAGGACTGTCTATAAAACCAACACTGGGTACTGCCCAGATACCACCCGCTTAGCACTTGACTGTGGTCTTATACTATGCAATTTACTTGTGACTTGCATTTTCCCATTGGGGAAAAATCCAAGATTGCAAGAATAAGGTCTAGGTAGATAGAATTATTGTTGCCATTTTATACTCAAGGTGACTGACATTTAGATAAACAACTTGTTCAAGATCATACAGGATACAGGTTGCAAGTGGTAGGGCCAGATACAAATCCAGGCTTATCTGACTCCAGCACTCCAGCACCTATATTCTTTTTTCTTTTTTTTTTCTGTGCAGACAAGGTCTGGCTCTGCCACCCAGGCTGGAGTGCAGTGGTGTGGTCTCAGCTCACTACAACCTCCATCTCCCAGGTCAAGCCATCTTCCCATCTTAGCCTCCCAAGTAGCTAAGACTATAGGCACACCATCATGCTTGGTTAATTTTTGTATTTTTGGTAGAGACAGGGTTTCACCATATTGCCCAGGCTGATCTTGAACTCATGAGCTCAAGTGATCCACCTACCTTGGCCTCCCAAAGTGCCGGGACTACAGGTGTGAGCCACTGTGCCCGGCCCAGCACCTACATTCTTGACCACTTTGCTAAGCTGCTCATAAGTACTGAATACATGGATGGATGGATGGATGAACAGAATGATTATTTTCCGTTTTCCATTCTGTGCCCCTCCTCCACCCTGCCCAGTGCCCCAAGATGCTGATTTCAATAGACTGCCTTACCCAGGTGTCCTTGCCACCGGGCTTCTAGCTGACTTCTCCTAATGTGAAGGGAGCACTGGTATACTGGAGGGTAGAAGTGAGAGGAGTTGGCGGTATTTCTTTCTTGCACCCTCCCCAGAAAGTTGCGAAGATTCTAGCAGTGGCTGCATCCCTCATGGCTAGGGCACCTGCTGGGCAGCTCCTCCTCCCTGACTTCCACTATTCCTGGGGTCTCCCTTTCAGCCAGAGGGGTGGGAAGGGCTTCCTACTGTTCTTGTCTGTAGGTGCCTCAACATCATGACTGCTTCCCTTCACCCATGGTTCTCAGCCAGAGGGCACACTGCTCCTAGGGTACATCTGCCCGTGTCTGGAGACATTTTTGGTTGTCAGAGTCAGAGTTGGTGGTGCTACTGGCATTTAGTAGGTAGGGGCTAGAGATGCTACTCAACATTCTACAGTGTTCACGATAGCCCTACCACCCCAATTAATGTCCACAGTGCCAACGATGAGAAGCCCTGCTGTAGGCCTGCCTCCAATCTCACACAACCGCAAACAGTCCCTTCGTGAACGTCTCTGTGAGTGCTCAGTCTAGTACGCCGGTCTCTATTTGGGGCAGATGTGGAGGGGCTCATCTCCTCACCTCCTTTGTTCTGAAAGGCATCCCCTAGTTCACCCTTCCTCACCAGCTCCTGGGCAGAGAGGTGGCCACAAATGAGAAGCAGCCCCTTCCCAGGCACAACCTGCCGCAGAGCCCTTTCTGTCTTGAGGGGAAAATGTGATTCCAGGTCTGAAGGGAAGGGATACAACACCATCATTTGAAATTTTAAAACTACTTGAGAGAAAACCCTTTAAAATTCTAAGAATTTGCCTTTTCTTCATGCTTTAGCTATTTTCAAATGGAACAAATGGCCTGGGTTCCCCAGAATACCTGCAGGTCCAGTTCCCAAAGAATACAAACTCCACAGAAGTGTTACATGCCTAAAACCTATGACTGCCTGATGTAAACATGTTTCCTGGTGACCTATTATGAAACCAGAAATACCCTAGCAAATCCTTTGTTTTCATTTAAAAGAAAAGATAATTTCAAAATCTTTATTATTATTTTTAATCAACAATACATTCCAAAAAATCTTTATTTTTAAAGTTAAAATAACTATGATTTTAAAAATGTGGGCCCACCTCAAAACACTGGGTAAATAAAATTTTTCCCCTGATTTTAAAAATGGACACAGCCAATATGAATGAAAATAAGCAATTCATAAGAGTTAAAAAGTGTGCACTTCTTATTCAATAGGGACATACTTCACCAAAAAGGGACTGATAAATTATAGCCAGTTAACAGTACACTCAGCTCAAACCCTAGAAAAATACTTGCATTTGTTCACTTCAAACCACAGTAGCAAATAAGGAATGGATTCAAACAAATATTGCTCTCAGAAAATACCATCTGTGAAAAAGACGTGGTTCTCCAGGGGGCTTACAACCTGGAGCTGTCACAGCCTCCAGCCCTTCCGGGTGCTTCCATTATACCCAGTTTTGTGTGCACCTCACTCCTGTTTCCTGTGGCAATCTCTGGAGCTCAGCAGGAAAGGGTACGGCACCCATGGGCTGTTCATGTGGGCTTCATGGCTGTTCTGGAGCAGGTAATAAAGGCCAGTCCTTGGGGCCCTGGTGTGTGAAGGGACAGCAGAGCAAGCAGTGGGCCCTGTCCAGCCATTTTGGCCTGCATTTGGCATTCTTGCATTTGGTGACGATTCCTTTGGGGCCTGAACTGTGTCAGGCCTTTCCTGTGAAAAGTGCAAAGCCAGTCCCTCCACAGCAGATGAGTCCCTCCCTATGCCTGCTCCTTGATGATTTCACTCTGCAGAGCCTCCCAGAGGGTTCGATCGCCTCCAACTCTGACCAGGTGGTAAGTGCCTTGCACTTCATTCCTATCTGCATGGCCACTCACCCCAGAGCACTCCTCCTGGACATGGCAGCACCCAGCCCTCTTCTTTCCTCCCTACCCCTGTGTCATGAGCCAGTGACGGAGGCTTCCACAGACTGGCAAGTGCTGGGCAACCTGAGGTCTGCCTTCCATCAGCCTCCTCTCCTCTGCCTGGGCAGAGTTCACCAGCTCTGAGGACACATTCCACATTCCTCACTGACCAGCCTGGATCTTGAAACTTCTCTTTTTCCTTTCCTTGAAGTCACTTCAGTTTTCTTCAGCTTATTTCACTACTGGAGCTTCTTTCTTTCTTCTTCTTTTTTTTTTTTTTTTTTGAGACGGAGTCTTGCTCTGTCGCCCAGGCTGGAGTGCAGTGGTGTGATCTCGGCTCACTGCAACCTCTGCCTTGTGGGTTCCAGCGATTCTCCTGCCTCAGCCTCCCTAGTAGCTGGGACTACAGGCACATACCACCACGCCTGGCTAATTTTTGTAATTTTAGTAGAGACAGGGTTTCACCATATTGGTCAGGCTGGTCTTGAACCCCTGACCTCAGGTGATCCACCCGCCTTGGCCTCCCAACGTGCTGGGATTATAGGCATGAGCCACCACGCCCAGCAACTTCTTTCTTTTATAAGAAAGTAAGTCTTCTTGGCCTGAGCTCCTAAGACTTACTGGTTCCTTCTGAGTTCTTTGTGAAGCTTCACTGGCCCTCATTGTCACCTGCCTGGTTTCCCACTCCCACCCTCAACCCTCTGAGCTTACTCAGGGCTTCAGGTGGGAGAGAGGAAAAGCAAATGACTGATTCATTTCAACAGAGCTGTCATGAGCAAAAGGCACTGTGCTAGTCTTGAAGAATGTGCCCAGTCAAGGTACTGTAAACACAGCACAGAGCTCAAGAAAGGGGACTGCTTGGCTCCCAAAACACACTGGTGGGATATGGGTGGGTGGTGCAGATGGTCCTGAGGTGTAACTGAAGACTAGAATTTGAAAATCAGAAAAACTCAAGAAGATAATGTTTCTCTCTTGAGGACTTTAACATTACTGCCTCCCAGCTTTATGCAGAATCCAGAAAGTGTCTTACTAGATACTCGCCTCCCAGCCTTATCCAGAATATAGAAAGTTCCCTTACTAGGCGCCCACCTCCGAGCTTTATCCAGAATCCAGAAAGTCTCCTTACTAGGCGCCCGCCTCCCAGCCTTATCTAGAATCCAGAAAGTTTCCTTACTAGGTGCCCACCTCCCAGCCTTATCTAGAATCCAGAAAGTCTGCTTACTAGGCGCCCACCTCCCAGCCTTATCCAGAATCCAGAAAGTTCCCTTACTAGGCACCCGCCTCCCAGTCTTATACAGAATCCAGAGGCTGGACGTGGTGGCTCACGCCTGTAATCCCAGCACTTTGGGAGGCTGAGGCAGGCGGATCACTTGAGGTCAGGAGTTTGAGACCAGCCTGGCCAACATGGCGAAACCCTGTCTCTACTAAAAATATAAAAATTAGCCGGGCACGGTGGTGGGCGCCTGTAGTCCCAGCTACTTGGGAGGCTGAGGCAGGAGAATCACTTGAACCCGGGAGGTGGAGGTTGCAGAGAGCTTAGATTGCGCCACTGCACTCCAGCCTGGGTGACAGAGCAGGACTCGTCTCAAAAACAAACAAACAAACAAACAAACAAAAAAAAACAGAATCCAGAAAGTTCCCTTACTATAGGCACCCTACCTCACCCCCTAGGCCTTTACAGCTCTAAATAGAACAAATACAGTTTATGGTAATGCAATGACCAAATCAAGGTATAAATGACTTTTAAACTCACAACATGATTTTAAGATTTATAAACAGTGTTCAAAATGAAAATGCCTGTGATTTCAAAATTTCTGGGAATTTTATATCTTGAAATGGAGTTTACTCCCCAGAGCTCTCAAGGCCTTTCCTATCTGTCCCCTGTGGCCAACACTCCCCAGCAGCCTCCCTGGAGTGACTACATTTCCCAAAGGCATGGGAAATCACCGCTGACATGGCCCTAGGCTGACGCTGAGTGTGGAGAAGCCTGGAAGGCAGGCAAGAGAAGGGAGAGGTCCACAGAAAACCTTTCAGGAACATGCCAAGGAAGGGAGAACAATTCAGAGTTTAGAGGGCAGCAAGACTCTGGGTTTTGGGCCAACTAAAAAGGAGGAATGCTCAAACTGTTGCGGGATGGATTGAAATTACCTGCTAAGAGGAGCATTTGAGTCTTAAGGGTTTCGAGACTCCAGGGGTCCACTGCCCAGAAAACTTCCCTTCCTTTAAGCACCAGGTCTTCAGTGGAGAAGCTGGGAGGAGGGACTCCAGGAAGAGGCAGGCTGTTTTCTACTTTTCAGTGAATGTTAATAGTGAAGATAATCAGACTACACTGAAAATGGCAGCACATGAAAAAAATTCAAAGTAACCGACCCCAGAAGTCATTTTGTTAGTAACACTAAAAACTGCAAATAACAAGACAATGACTGGGGGAAATTGTGATTTGGTGGAAACAAACACAAAAAATAAAACTCACAAGTTCTAAAACTGGGCATGAAAAGTCCTACTGACTAAAATTGTTGAATAAAAATAAAATCACTATTAAAGGCTGGGCACGGCCGGGTGAGGTGGCTCATGCCTGTAATCACAGGACTTTGGGAGGCTGAGGTGGGGAGATCACCAAAGGTCAGGAGTTGCCAACATGGTGAAGCCCCGTCTCTACTAAAAATATAAAAATCAGCTGGGAGTATTGGCAGGTGCCTGTAATCACAGCTACTCGGGAGGCTGAGGCACGAGAATCGCTTGAACCCAGGAGGCGGAGGTTGCAGTGAGCTGAGATCGCGCCACCGCACTCCAGACTGGCGACAGAGCAAGACTCCGTCTCAAAAAAAAAAAAAAAAAAAAAAAAAAAGGGGGGTGCTGGGCATAGTGGCTCATGCCTATATTCCCAACATTTTGGGAAGCTGATGTGGGAGGATCACTTGAGCCCAGGAGTTCAAGCCCAGCTTGGGCAACATAGTGAGAACCTGTGGCTACAAAAAATTTAAAAATTAGCTGAATGTGGTGGTACATGCCTGTGGTCCCTGCTACTTGGGAAGCTGAGGCGGGAGGATTACTGGAGCCTCAGAGTTCAAGGCTGCAGTAAGCTGTGATCACACTGCTGTACTCCAGCCTGGGCGTCAGAGCAAAACCCTATCTTAAAGCAAAACAAAACAAACAAAAAAAAAGTTGATATTTAAGAAAATAAAGGAGAACTTTAGGAAATGCCTTCACTGCTCCATACAGAAATATATATATATATATATATATATATATATATATAGAGAGAGAGAGAGAGAGAGAGAGAGAGAGAGAGAGAGAGAGAGAGAGAGACAGAGAGAGAGAGAGACAGAGAGAGAGAGAGAGAGACGGAGTCTCGCTCTGTCACCCAGGCTGGAGTGCAGTGGCATGATCTCGGTTCAGTGCAACCTCTGCCTCTCGGGTTCAAGCGATTCTCCCACTTCAGCTTCCTGAGTAGCTGGGATTACAGGCGTGCACCACCATGCCTGGCTAATTTCTTTGTATTTTTAGTACAGATGGGGTTTTGCCATGTTGGCCAGGCTGGTCTTGAACTCCTGACCTCAGGAGATCTGCCCGCCTTAGCCTCCCAAAGTGCTGGGATTATAGGCATGAGCCACCACGCTCGCTCAGTAAAGAAAATTGATTAAGGAATTAAACTGGATTGTAGGAGTTACGATGGAAAATAATTTCTTGATGAAATGAATTAATGTTCATATAATTCAGATTAGAAATTTGCATTTACATAGAGTCACAGTGTCCTCCAGGTCAAAATATTGAAATCAAAACACATGGAATCCGTTTTGAAAGTTTTGTACCTGAAGGAAGAAAAAGGACACAAATCTCCTCCATATTTAGCCCTCACTCAGAAGGAGCGGCCCGGGCCGCTTCCACAGGCTTCCTGTCCCCACACTCTCAGCCTCGTGCCCAGTCTGACTGGGCTCTCTCGGCAGTGTGTGCAGTGCTCTGGAGCTCTCTGGAACTCTGAGGCGCCCTCCTCTGCTGCTTCCTGCTTTACTTTTTCTTCTCCACAGCATCTCATGCTCTGCCTTCACCTCTGTATGCACAGTAACCTGTCTGACAATTGTGCCCCTTTTTAAACACCTCTCAAACTTGTCACCTCTCCATCCCCACTGCCACTTCCTTGGTCCATCCTCACCATCCTTCCTCTCAGAACAATGGTAGCCTTCCTTTTTTTTTTGAGATGGGGTCTAACTATGTTGCCCAGGCTGGGTGGAGTGCAGTGGTGCAATCATGGCTCACTGCAGCCTCAACCTCCTGGGCTCAAGTGATCTTCCCACCTCAGTCTCCTGAGTAACTGGAACTACAGACACACGCCACTACACCCAGCTAATTTTGCATTTTTTGTAGAGACAGGGTTTTTGCCATGTTGTCCAGGCTGGTCTTGAACTCCTGGGCTCAAGCATTGCTCCCACCTTGGCCTCCCAAAATGTGGGGTTACAGGTGTGAATCGTTGTGGCCGGCCAATGATGGTAGCTTTCTAAGCAGGCTCCTTGCTTCCAGTCTTGTCTAGACTCCAAGCTTTCCCCTTCCCTGTGGTCAGGGTGACCTGTCTAAGACAACTCTGACCTGATTATGTCTCAGTCTAAAAGCCTTCAGTGCTCCCACAAGGCCCAAATGTCCTACATCCTTAACATTAAAGACTCTTTCTACGTGGCTTCCCGGCCCCCTAGTTGCAGGAAAAAGTAAGTTCACAGCTCTCTTATATCCCTCCCTCATCACTAGTGGATTGGCTGTACCAGCCATGGGTATTTTAGGCTTACAATTTCCTTCATTCTGGGTGGCTGAGTCCCTTTCTCTTAAGTTCTTCCTGGGCCTTAGTCAAATCTTTTCAAGTGACCCTGAATCTTCTCAGTACCCCATCCCCTTCCCACCCCCATCCAAGCTGTCTTTCTTCTGATTACCAGCATCTCTGTGGTGACCATACTCTTTTTTCTTCGGTTTATTTCCAGATCTAACAGAATGATGACATTGTGCCAATTCTCAGTGTCTTGGGAGGTGGGGATAGGTTGGAACATGCCTGCTATTCCTTGTCAGAGCAGACCTGGGGAGGATGTCCATCAAGAAAGGACCTCCAGTTCCTCAATAAGTCAAAGAATTACCATGTGACCCACAATTCCACTCCTAGGTACATACCCAAGAGAACTGAAAGCAGTACCCAAATAAAAGCTTATACATGAATGTTCATGCAGCACTATTCACAGTAGCCAAGAGGTGGAAACAACACAAATGTCCATCCATTAATGGATGAATGGATAAATAAAATGTGGTAGATCCATACAATGGACCATTACTCAGCCATAAAAAGAACTAAAAGTGCTGATTCACGCTACAGCATGGATGAACCTTGTAAACATTATGTCTAATGAAAATAGCCAAGCACAAAAGGTCATATATAAATCCATTTATATGAAAAAACTTAATAGGAAAAGTCACGGAGACAGAAAGCAGACTGGCAGTTGCCAGAGGCCAGGGGATAGTGGGGACTACTTAATGGGTACAGGGTTTTTAGGGAAGTGATGAAACCGTTCTGGAACTAGATAGTGGTAATGACTGCACACGACTGTAAAAGTACTAAACGCTACTGGAACTGTATACTTTAAAATGATTAATTTTATGTTTATTTCATCTCAATAATATATAAACATGAAAAAAGAAAGGGGCTGGGCATGGTGGCTCACACCCGTAATCCCAAAACTTTGGGAGGCCAAGATCGAAGGATCCTTAAACCCAGGAGTTTGAGACCAGCCTGGGCAACATAGTGAGATCGTTTCTCTATAAAAATAAAATAAAATAAAATAAAATACAGTAAAATAAAATAAAATAAAAGGACCCTCATGGGGATGGAGCAGGATAGTGTGTCAAGAACAGAGGACAATGGGTAATTCAATTCTGTGTCCCTGAGGCGTTAAAGCAAAGGGAATGGGCAGGAAAGTGGGCCCATTTGCTTTAAAGGGATTGGGCCTCTTCAATGAGTATTTCTCCCCAGGATGCATTCTCCAAAGACTAACCCTAAGAAGGGAGGTGAGGGGTGGACAGACGAAGGTGAACAGAGGGGTTAAAACAAGAGTGAAAAGGGGTCAGGCCTCCTTCCCTGTTTGCTGGGGTCTGGGCTCACACAAGGACAAGAAGACTGGAAAGGTTGCAGCCTGAGAGGGGTGGTCTGCACAGCCACCAAGAAGGGAACCCTTGCTTTCTGGTAATAAAGCAAGACATTTCACATCTGAAATCACCTGCATGGTAAGACTCAAATGTAAGTGGATCCTGTGAAACACAGTTTTATGCAGAGAGCAGAGATCAGATCAGATCACAAAGCTGCAAAGAGAAATCTCTTTACCTAAATTACACAGAACCACTCGTCTGGTTTCCATTTCACTGCCTGAGTCTGTTTTATAGTTGTGCTTTTTCATGAAGGCTTTTAAGGGAGGCTATACCCTGACATCATGTGGAAAAAATGTCCAAATACAATTACATTACAGAGCAGCACTCTTGGAAGAGAAGGCAGCCCTGAAGCCTGCTGGTGTCCTGTTTCCTCTCCTTTAAACCCATTTGTTGCTCTCTGCTCTCTAAAAGCAGAAGCCCCCAATCCCAGCTCACCTGGTCTGCTTCCTGTCTCTGTCAGCGTGCGAAACACCGGTCTGGGAAATACAGCAATCTAAGGTACTGTGGGACTGTGTACTCCCGAGTGGGAGATGTGGCAGGGCCACAGGGAGCTGTGTCCAGCTGGGGCATGCCTAGCACCAGCCCACAGGCCTGAGCCAGCTTGTCTCATGTCATGCACCTTACAATCATGGTGAGGAAACAGGGCCTCCCTCTGTTGGCTTTCTCAGAAATCTACTCCAAAACCTCCTACCTCCTCCCCTATCCTCATGCCTTTTTCAGATGTGTCCCCATGTTCAGGGAATAGTTTTTCTCAAAAGCTCTTATGAAAAAATAGTTCCCCTCAATTAAAATCTGTCATATTGTGAGCAAATTCTCCATATGTGTCATCTTTTCCGTGTTTCTTCCTCCTCCCGGCAGAAGCTACCATTCTCCTGATTTTCCATTCGGGGCTGTTCCTTCTGTCCCTGAGTCTCTGACTTGGACGGAATAGCAAACTCCTTCTGCCACTCCTAGATAATCCCCCTGCCATTCCCCACAATCTCTCTTTTGAAGTCCATACTAACCATCTCCCCATTCTTGCTGGCTACAGACCTGGCCTTCTTCAATGACTGCGCCATGGCCACCCCATCTGGGACTTCCACATCCATAAAGATGTCCCTCCCAGTATTTGCTTTCACCATTTTTCAACCTCTTCAATTCAAATACTCCCCATCTCTGATTTTACTCTACTCCCAATTAACCATGATGACATCTGAGAACTTGTCATTATTTAGAACTGTTTCAACTCAAGATCTCAAATTCTAAGTTTTATCATCACTTTGAAATGAACATCAGTATCATTGCGAACGTTTAGTGGGTACTTATGTGCAAGGCACTATCATATGTACTTCATATATATTAATTATAATGACCTTTTAAAGTAGGTTTTATGAGCCCCATTTTATAATGGGGTATAACAGAGAGACACAGTTTAGGATTTGGGATTTAAGCCACATAGTCTACACACTATGGCTCCCACATCATATGGCCTCTTTAATATTCCTAACACGACTGTTTAACCTTCTACCTTTTCCACTGAAATTACCCACGCCCCCTACTCCTGACCACATCCTTGACCTTGCCCTCTCTCCCAGGCTATTATTCTACATTATCCAGGATTCCCCAGGCCTGTGATGATCTTCCTAGTCCCCAGTGCTCTTGTCAATCTGATCTGCCACCAGGCTCAACAATGTTCCCTAGCCACCTCTCCCCAAACCCAATCTACTGTTCTACTTTGAGCCACCAATTCCAGCTGAGTAGCGGCAGTCTGCTGATGAAGCTGTCTATAAACTCACGCTGTTTAATCTCAGCTGGAATCTCCATGTCCTCTGGTAATTCTTTTCTTCCTATTCTGGTGACTCCTAACTGATCCTCTATATAAACTGTTCCAATCTTTTCCCTGTCTCTACATCTTACTCCCTAACCACTCATTCTTGACTTCTTGACTTGACATTCTTGATAATCTTGACTTCTACAAGGACATTCAGCATAAGCTCAAACTTCCGTCCCCCTCAAAGTCAAAGCTTCTCTAATGACTCTTTTGAAACATTGGCTTGAAGACAGATCAGGGTCTAGAAGATGTGGTTTTAGGGCAGGGGAGTGATGTAAATATTTGTATGAGAAGGAGCCACTGGAGGTAGAGAAGGAGAACCTGAAGACGCCTGGGAGGAAAGGGAATCGTGGCTGGATAGAGGTCATGGGGGAGGTATAAGGTGCTGTGTGAAGGATGTGTGCAGGGGAAAGAGCACCTTTTTTGCTGAGTTTGAATTGGGGAGGATAAGAAGACAGGTGATGTAGCAGAGTGGTCAACACTTGGGCCCTTTGCCTACCTCCTACTTACTTCTAAACTCCTTAAAGGTGGCTCTAACCTCCCACTACTGAACCTTCTCTCTCAACTCTCACTCATGACATTTTCTCAATCCTCATCGTCCTTAACCTGACCTTTCAACAGTGTTTGCGTGGGTGACCAAACCTGCCCTCTTGATAGTTTTTCCTTATGTGGGTTTCATGACAATGGAACCTCTTGGTTTTCTTGATGGGTCTTCGTTATTCCCTTTGCTAGCTCCCCTTCCAAACTGCTACGATGGCCTAAAAATGCTGCCCACCTTTAATTTCTCTCTCCTCTCCTGAGCTACTCATCTCTCTTTTTGCATTCACTCATTCAATATATAATTATATTAAGTACCTACCATGTGCCAAGTACATGGCAGCTATTAAACTGTAGCTGAATTAATGTTAATGTGTAGCTCTGATCACGCTGCTTATTTGCTCAAAAATCTTTACTGGTTCTCTGATGTAAATGATATCCAGGTTCTTTGGCCTAGCATTCCAGGTTTTAGCAGACATCTGTTGTTTTTGCTGCCCACCTTCCATTCGCCCTCCTTTGGATAGCTGTCCCCAGTCTCCCTCTGGAGACCCAGCCCCTCCACACCTTTTAGTCCATGTGGTTTGGGTGGGGCTAACCCTACCCTCAACTCCAGGCATGGGTACCCGCTCCAGACAGGTTCCAGGCCTATCCCTGAACTAATCTCAGAGGCCAGGAATATGATGCCCTCACTGGCATCTGGCCCCTGAGATTAGATCAGGGATAGGCCTGGACCCCAACTAGAGCCAATAAAATGCAATGGGATTGTACTGACACAGGACTTGGACTTGAATAAATGAAGATGTAAAGGCTAGAGCTGCTGTAGCCATCTTAAACTCCAAGAAAAGTGTGAGCTGATCGAAAACAGAACCAACCTAGGAGCAGAAGGGAGAAATGACAAGAAACCAGGTCCTTGGGACACTGTTTGAGTCCTTGAATTATGTCATGTCTTAAGCCAGTCTTAGCCTTGGAATTCTCAGTTACACGATCCAGTATGCCTCCCTTATGCTGAAGTGGGCTGCATTGGACATTCTGTCACTTGCATCTGAAAGAATCCTATTTGATCCAAAGGTCGTTTGTGTCATCCCGCTTCATCTCACCCCACCCTACTCACGCACTCGATGCTTGTACCACACTAACATTCCTTTCCTGAACAGGCCTCATACTCTGCCACCCATGTCTTTCTGGAATGTTCTCCATCTTTCTCATCTTTTCCTCTTGAAATTCTGCCCATCCTTTAAGGTTTGGCTGTAATGAACTTTCCTCCAAGCAGCCATTCTTCTCTAATTTCCCCCAATGACAAATGTTTGTTGGATAAAGTCTAACTGAACACACAGTGACATGGAGAACCTGGATCCAAGGTTCCTTAAACCTGATGCAGAGACCTGGGCCTCCAGCAAACTTGTTCATCTCCCCTCAGGGCTTGGGACTTGTTTTCTCGGTCCCCCCACTGGTCTACATCCTTGTCTCCTGCACTCTTTGGTCATCACTTCCCAAAAAGTTTTTCTGGGGACACTGGCTTTTTGGAATGTTAGTAGATATTTAAAACAACATAAAACACTCCAAACTTCAAAACCAACCAAAGCAGCTTTACTCCAGCTGGAAACTAAAGAGTGTAACTATTTAGTAAGTTTGGGAAATTCTGGGTTAAACAAATATTTCTATTTTAAAAACCTGGGGAGGTGGGGATGGGGGCAGAGTATGTAGCTTTTCTCCAACTTACTCATAAAGCAGGTACCAGAGCAGAGGGACGTACCACATTCTTCTCTGAAAACATATTTAGGTTTAAGGTAGGTGCGGGTTATTTTATATACACATATAAATATCCTACTCTTTGTTCAAGGTGCCTATTTGCTCTGCACAGTGACTATTATGAACACAGAAAACTGTTCATTGTTAAATATGGCATGCTAAGTGGTTTTGCTTTCTGGCAAATCTCCAAACCATAATTATTAAGGGACTGGAGCTGCTGAGGAATTCTTGGGTTACAAGAGGCTTTGATCCTGTTCCTGCCTTCTTTCCCTGACATGAATTTCCACGGGTGTGGCTGACTTTCATTGTTTTTCACTGCTGTGGTGCTGCTGTGAAGGTGAAGGATTAAACAGAACTTCAAGGTGACAAGGGATTGGGCCCCCCAGAACTGCTGAGAGGAGGCTCTGGCTAAACCTCTCCCGCCTTTTGGAGCCCCAAATGGCTGTAACCAAGGGAATGCACAAGCTCCATCCAAGTATTGGAGTCGGGGAATGCTGTGGCCTCTAATATTTGGTTTCCCACACACCCCGGGAAGCTCAGATTCTTAGGCCTCACTCATTATCGGGTTTCCAGCTGGGGTGAAGCCTCTGTCTGTACTAAACGGCTGACAGGACTTTGCTCAGCAAAAGGCAACAGGCCCCGGGTGGGTGAGGCTTTGTTATTTCATTCCCATCAAAGGTGAGAGATCTGATCCAAAATTCTTTGGGCAACTACAGCCATTTGACGTGTGTAGCCCTCAAACTCATGGAGCTGCCTCCTTTACAGGGTCAAGAAGACACCTCAGCTCGGTCACAGACCATTAGGTGAACTATTGAAAGAGCCAATCTCCTTTCTACTGAAACATTTGCTGAAATGTCAAGGGGCACATAACTATTCTTTCAGGCTCTTTTAAATTCTCCCCTGCCTGTAAGAAGAGGTAAGAAAGAACACCTGGATGTTCATGAATCCAAGATAGAAGGAATAAAAACACTCCTCCCAAAATGAAGTGGTAAGGTCCTCTTAACTTGGTGAAGAAAAGGCTTCTCTAACAAACAGAAACCCGCTTACGTCTGGGTGCGGTGGCTCATGCCTGTAATCCCAGCACTTTGGGAGGCCAAGGTGGGAGTTATCACTTGAGCACAGGAGTTTGAGACCAGCCTGAGCAGCACAGCGAGACCTTGTCTCTCTTCTACTTTTTTTTTTTTTAAACCAGTTAGCATTTGGATTGGGGATAGAACCTTGCTCACTTTTTGACATTGTATTTATTTATTTTTTTGAGTCTGTCTTCCAGGCTGAATGAAGTGCAGGGGCATGATCACGGCTCACTGCAGCCTCGACCTCCTAGTGGGCTCAAGTGATCCTCCTACCTCAGCCTCCGAAGTAGCTGGAACCACAGGCACATGCTACCATTCCTGGCTAATTAAAAAAAGAAAAATAAATAAATAAATAAATAATTTTTTTTTTTTGGTAGAGACAGAGTATGTTATGTTGCCCAGGCTGGTCTCAACCTCCCAGGGTCAAGTGATCCTCCTCCCTCAGACTCTTGAGTAGCTGGGACCACAGGTGTGTACCATCAAGCCCCCCTAATTTTCTTATTTTTTGTACAGATGAAATCTCACTACGTTGCCTAGGCTGGTCATGACCTCCTGGGCTCAAGTGATCCTTCTACCTCAGCCTCCCAAAATGCTGGGATTATAGGTGCGAGCCACTACACCTGGCCAACATTCGTTTTTATTCATATTTTAATACAAACAAAATCACCTTCATTTTATACAGAAACTGAAGCCAAGAGAGTAGAGCCAAATAGCTCAGGATAGAGAGGACTCCCTGATTCCCAGATCAGTATTCTCTCTCCAAGATGGCAACTGTCCTTCAAAGTTTTCTTCCCAGATGGGAAAACGCCTCCCATCTGGTAGACAGGTAGAGGTCCCTCTGTTGGTGGGTGGAGAGGGGGGATGGAAAAACAAAGGCAGACAGAGAGAATGGGAGAGAAAACAGACATCAGAGTCCTTGAAGGTAGCAACTAGCAACCAGAAGCTTCTAACACAGGGGGACGTCAGAAAGTTGTCCAGACTACCTGTTTTGGGAGGGGACAGAGTGGAGTTTCCTTCAAGTGTCTGCTCCCACTGGGAGAGGCAGAGAGGGAAGGCACAAGGCCCCTGGGGCGCTTGTCTCTAACCCCAAACCCTGCGCCTCCCTATGACAGGCTGCTTCTCACTGCATAGGAGTCAGGCAATCAATCATAAAGAGGAGAGAGGAGGCTTCTCCCGGGCCAGCGGGGCCCAATTCCAAAAGGCTGGGCTTCGGGGCAGCACAGGAGGCTTCCGAGTCTCCTTCTCTCTTGAATAGGTCAACCTAGTGATGTCTCCCTTCACTCGACCACCTCAGTCTATCCCATTCCCCACTTCCTCCGTTGGCATCTGTTCTAGGAAGATGTGCATGAGTTCATTCCAGATATGGAAGGCCTTTCTCTCAGCTCAAGGTGAAGGTCAGTGATTCACATGGCTAAAAATGAATTTAAGGCCACCTATCAATAAAAGCAAAATGAAACACACACAAAAAGTTAAATTCCCCTGCTATTTAAATTACAGCAAGGAACATAAAACCTTATTTAGTAATTACAACCAACACTCAAATATGTAAACTTTAATTACGTGTTACGGATCAGTGAGAGCAAAATGAGGAAAAAAGAGGAGAGGTGAGGGTAGGGGAAAGTCACAGACTAAAAGAGAAAGTCCAGAGGCAGGCAGCTCAGAAGCAGAGAAGCCAGTGGGAGGAAGGGGAGGTACAGAAAAGCAGGAGTTGGGGATTCAGCAGGCTCTGGGGCTGAGGTGACGTGTCATGCCCTGGACAGTGCTTATTAGGTTTATTACTGACACCTCCTACTGCTCTTGATCCTCACACTTTCAGGTGCCTCCCTTAGAAAGGGAGAGCCCCAGCGGCCCACGGAGCAGGCTTGCAGGATTAAATGCGAGACACTGAGTAGGTCTGAATTTCAGGTAAACAATAAATATCCTTTTAGTGTAAGTATTCCCAAATATAGCATGGGGCATACTTATACTAAAAAAAAATATTATTTGTTGGCCAGGTGCGGTGGCTCATGCCTGTAATCCCAGCACTTTGGGAGGCTGAGGTGGGCGGATCACCTGAGGTTGGGAGTTTGAGACCAGCCTGACCAACATAGAGAAACCCTGTCTCTACTAAAAATACAAAATTAGCCAGGTGTGGTGGTGGGTCCCTGTAATCCCAGCTACTTGGGAGGCTGAGGTGGGAGAATCGCTTGAGCCTGGGAGGTGGAGGTTGTGGTGAGCCGAGATCGTGCCATTGCACTCCAGCCCAGGCAACAAGAGTGAAACTCTGTCTCAAAAAATAAATTAATAAATAAAAATAAAAATAAAAATTATTTGTTATTTATCTGAAATTCATTTAACTGGGTGTCCTATATTTTTATTTGCTAAATCTGGCAACCTTACACAAGAGACCAAATCATTCTTTGGACGACCTCAATGACCAGGCCAATATTTACACTGAGGGCCAGGGGGAAATCAAGTTGAAGGTCACTTTTAGAAATGAAGAATGAAGCAGCACAGAGACTTTGCTAAGCAGGATAGAACTTGGCAACTGGAGGATATCGACCCTCAAGTTTTCTCATCCATTGGCTGTTTATTTCCAGCTGTTCTCCTCCAGTACAGCTGAGGCTGTTTTGGCCCCCTCCCCCTGCCAAAAAGGTTAGAAGGACTAAAAACAGTAACTCTACACAGGGCTCACATTGGGACTATGGGTAACTTGGCCTGTGTGAGGCCTCCTGAAGATTCTGGAGGTTCTGTGGTGGAAAGTGAACCTTCTGGAGCACTAAGGAACCAGGCCAAAATGAAACACAGTCTGTAAGTTCTATGGTGTTAAAAAAAATCTTAATGTCAACTGCTGTCAGTTTCAGAGTGACATGATGGAGCCCATTTCACCAAGTCAAGGGGAGGGGGTCAGTGAAGCTGCCATCAACTAAAAGCTCCAGGTTCACCCAGCACTTGCTGAAGAGGACCCAAAGTGATACTGATAGGGGTCACTACTACTGCCCTTGCTAGGGGGCCAGAAAAGGCTGTCTTGGGGCTGAAACTCAAGACTACTCAAGACTACTAAATTCAGAGCTACTGCTCCTGAGTCTTGATCCATGAATGCTGGCCAGGGAAACCTGGCAAGGTCAGGAATCACAACCATTGGCTACAACTGAGATAGTACATGATTGTCCGCTCCCTGCCAGTCCATCCTACTCTGACTGCACGTCCTGCCAGTTCACGCATTTATGCTCCTTGCCAGGCCCCTGTAGGCAGCAGAGGCCCTATAGGCAGTAATTCATAATATGGAGCTTTCTAGACTTAAAAAGATTACAGAGTTATAGAGAATAATAACAACTTATTATAGCTGACAGTGGAATCACTCCAGATGTTCTGTTCTGACTTGCTTTTTTCAGTTAACAATATATCACGGATGCCTTTGCATGTGGGTTCATACTGATTTACTCCATTTTTAACTGCTGCATAGTATGTGGAGGTATTAACATTTACTTAACTAATCCTTTGATGAATATTTAGGTTATTCCTTTTCCTGTTATAAACACTGTTGAAAGGAATACCTTATACATATATCTTTGGCCCTTGTGCAAATATTCCTGTAGGATAAATTTACTAAAAGGGAATTGCTGGCTCAATTGGCATACACATTTAAATTTCTATAGACACCATTAAACTCTCTCTAAAAATGTACCAATTTATAGTTCCACCTGGTATGATCATGCCTGTTCCTTCACAGCTCTCACCCCAGGTGACAGCAATCTTTTTTTTCTTTTGAGATGGAGTCTCGCTCTGTCGTCCAGGCTGGAGTACAGTGGAATGATCTCAGCTCACTGCAGCCTATGCCTCCCGGGTTCAAGCAATTCTCCTGCCTCAGCCTCCCAAGTAGCTGGGATTACAAGTGCCCGCCACCACATCCAGCTGGTCTCGAACTCCTGAACTCAAGTGATCCTCCAGCCTCGGCCTCTCAAAGTGTGGGATCACAAGTGGGAGCCACCACACCTGGCCAAGAACAATCTTTTTATTCTTTGCCAATAAGATACAGGGAAATGACAGGGTGCTGATGTTCTAATTGGTATTTCTTTTTTATTAGTGAGGATGAGCATTTTTTTCATGCGTGTCCTGTTCACATCTTTTTTCTTCTACAGAGTGCTCGGTTTTTATCTTTTGCCTCTTTTTCTATTGTCTTCATTTACCTATTTTTAAAGACTTCCTCGTATATTATTCATAAAAACTTAATTGCCTAATATATTGCCTGAAGTCCCACCTACTTGGGAGGCTGAGGTGGGAGGATCACTTGAGCCCAGGAGGTACAATGCAAGTACTTCCTCTGAAGACAGGTTCATCTACTGAAATCTTGATTGTGTTTTCCTCTGTATGGGCCTCTAAGGAGTCTTTAATTTTTGTGTTGTCATTGGCATAACGTATTTAGAAGACTGTGCTTAAATATCTAAGTGGCATTATGTTGTTATATTTTTATTTTATATTTCTAGTGTGCTTGCAATTTGGTCAGAATGTGGCCTAGGAAGATTTCTTTATGAAATGGAAATTTTTTTGGTAACATGAAATATGATCAGTTTTTGTAAATGTTATGTAGCTGTTTGAAATGGATGTTTATTTTCTGTCAGAGTACAAGGTTTATACCTATACAAACTTTTAAGTCTGGTATTTAAATCCTTTAAGGCCTCATTCATCTTTGGTTGGCTTGACCTTTTACATTCTGAGAAAGGAAAAGTATCCTACTATGGCTGTATTTTAATAACTTTTATCTAATATTTTGTAGAGTGTTTTTTTTGGTAAATTTGGATGTTATTTTACCCGATATGTAAAGGCTCATGCCTGTTATTTTGTGGATAACTTTTATCATTATCCAATGCTTCTCTTCCTGTCCATCTTCATACTTTTTGTCTTAAATTTGTTTGCCTAATATTATTATTGCCACTCCTGCTTTCTTTCTGTTACCAATTGCCTGAAATAAATTTGTGCATTTCTTTTTTTTTTTTTTTTTTTTTTTTTGAGAAGAGGTCTTGCTGTGTCACCCAGGCTGGAGTGCAGTGGTCCAATCTCGGCTCACTGCAACTTCCACCTCCTGGGTTCAAGCAATTCTCCCACCTCAGCTTCCTGAGTAGCTGGGACTACAGGCATGCACCATCATGCCCAGCTAATTTTTGTATTTTTAGTAGAGATGGGGTTTCGCCATGTTGCCTGGTTTGTGCTTTTTTTTGTTTGAGACAGAGTCTTGCTCTGTCGCCCAGGCTGGACTGCTGCTCTGTCGCCCAGGCTGGACTGCAATGGCACGATCTTGGCTCACTGCAACCTCTGCCTCCCTGGTTCAAGCAATTCTCCTGCCTCAGCCTCCCAAGTAGGTGGGATTACAGGTGCATGCCACTAATGCCTGGCTATTGTTTTGATTTTTTTTTTTTTTTTTGAGATGGAGTTTTGCTTTTTTGCCCAGGCTGGAGTGAAATGGCATGATCTCGGCTCACTGCAACCTCCACTCCCCCAGGTTCAAGCGATTCTCTTGCTTCAGCCTCCCACGTAGCTGAGATTACAGGCGCATGCCACCATGCCCAGCTAATTTCTGTATTTTTAGTAGAGACGGGGTTTCACCCTGTTGACCAGGCTGGTCCCGAACTCTTGGCCTCAGGTGATCCACTCGCCTCGGCCTCCCAAAGTGCTAGGATTACAGGCATGAGCCACCGCGCCTGGCAATTTTTTGTATTTTTAGTAGAGATGGGGCTTTGCCACGTTAGCAAGGCTGGTCTTGAACTCCTGACCTCAGGTGATCCACCCGCCTCGGCCTCTCAAAGTGCTGGGTGTGCATTTCTTTATTTTCAACCATTCCTTGTAAATTTAGGCTTATCTCTTTATCAAAGTGACATAGAGCTGGATGTGTTTCCTTCTTCCTTAGCAAGCGAACTCTAGGTAATGTGCTTAGCCCAAAACATTATGTTTCTTTGCACATCTTGCAGCAAAATATGGACATGTTATTAGGTTGTAGCCAATGAGAGGTAAAGAGAAGTGTTTTATGGGACTTTGGGGGCACTCCTTGAAAGGAGAGGATGCACACTCTTTATTGTTCTTTCTTCCCTTTCTTTTCATCTGTTATGAGGATGAGCTAGCTAATGCTTCTGGCAACCATCATGGATGAAGAGGTGACCTTGAGGATGGAAGCCACATGCCAGGAGAGTGAAGCAGAAAGACAGAAGAAGCATGGGGCCTGGGGCCTGGGGCCTGCCAATCAGTCTGGACTCACTCATATGGAATGGACTGCAGTCACTTGAGAGAGAAAAAAACTTCCACTGTGTTTAAACCTCTGTTTGGCTTTTCTGTCACATGTAGACATCAGGATTACCAAAAGACACATCAGATTTTGCCTTTCTTTAAAAAGAAAACTCAATCTAAGTTCGTGTTTTTTTCCTTTAGTGATTTGAGAGTGTTAATTTCTATTTCAGTTATATTAGTAGTTACTATAAAATGTCTAACAAACGTATTTGTACATTTATTTTTGAAGAACATTAGGACCTTGCTACTCCAAGTATGATCCCCTGATCAGCTGTGTCAGCATCACTGGGGAGTTTTTACGAAATGTAGAATCTCATGCCTTACCTAGGCCCACAGAAACAGAATCTCATTTTGACAAGATCCTCAGGTGATCTGTGTACATATTGCAGTGTGAAAACCACTGCTCTTGAGACTGGCGTCCCCTCCCCACTTCTGTGTAATGTGCAATCATCTCCCACTTTCCTCCTTACGCCTGTGATGGCTTCCATAGAGAGCCAAGTCAGCAGCAGGGCATCCTTGGCCTTTGAAAATCTGGTCCCTATCTACCTTTAGTGTTTGTCCTTCTCCCACCCTACCCCAACTCGACACTCCTCGTGCTGGACTAAATGTGTCACGTAGTTCCCTAAATGTGTCACGGCACTTCCTGGGTATACACTAATCCCTCCCCAGTAGCCCATCCAACAGCTATCCCACTTCCTCCTTGCTAATTAATAGAAGGCCAATTTTGTTCTGGGAGGTGATGGTTCCAGTTCCAAGTGATATGCCCAGAGCCGTCTCATTCTCCATTGCATGATACTTTCTCCTTCAGCCTACCCTCATATCTGGGATGGCCATGTACCTGACCTGGCCAAGGATGCATACAGAAATATATGCTGGGTGGGTGGGTGATTGGGGGGGCATTTTAAATACCTGGATAAAAAGAACCCCGTGAGAAGAAAAATGTATGTTCTTATCCCTTCTTTCCTACCTAAAATGTTGGGATGTATCCGAGGTATACAAGCTATCTTGTAACCATGAGGACAAGCACGGGGTCAAAGAGCCAACATGCTAAGGATGAGAAGCAGAAACACCAAGCCAGGTCCTCAAGTGACAGTCTGTTTCTCTCTCCCCACATTCCTTTCTCTTCTATTTGCTCCAAATTCACCCTCCTTTCATCTCTCCTTTAGCTGATGCAACATGGAACTGAGGTATGTTCTAGCCTGTTAGCTATATTACACTATAATACTTATTTATTTTTAAGTTCCAGGGTACATGTGCAGGAAGTGCAGGTTTGTTACAAAGGTAAATGTGTGCCATGGTGGTTTGCTGCACCTATTAACCCATCACCTAGATATTAAGCCCAGCATGCATTAGCTATTTTCCTCATGCTCTCCCTCCTCTCACCCCACCCCTCAACAATACAGCTAAGCCTTTCATTATAAATATCACCCTGTCTCCCCAAATTTCCCCACCCACCAAATCCATCACTCTAAAATAAGAACAGTGGGTTTTTAGTTCCCTGAGACTGAAATTATTTTCCTCCATGGGCTGAGACAGCTAGCCTCCATCTAGGCAAACCTACCCTTACTCTCACCTTCTTCCCTGGTTCTAGCTGGCTATGTCACGGGGCACCTTGCCTATTGGGGACTGATTTTTTTTTTTAAAGCCCATGGTTTCAGGGGAGTGGATGTTGTGAAATAGAGTGAAAAGAAACTGAAGTCTGAATGTAGTGAACTTTTCCCTGCCCCTACATGTGAATAATGACTTGCTGATAGAAGTAGCTTTCTCTTTTTCTTTTCTTTTTTTTTTTTTTGAGACGGTGTTTTGCTCTTGTTGCCCGGGCTAAAGGGCAATGGCGCCATCTCAGTTCACCGAAACCTCCGCCTCTCGGGTTCAAGTGATTCTCCTGCCTCAGCCTCCCGAGTAGCTGGGATTACAGGCATGCACTACCACGCCTGGCTAATTTTGTATTTTTAGTAGAGACGGGGTTTCTCCATGTTGGTCAAGCTGGTCTCGAACTCCTGACCTCAGGTGATCCGCCCACCTCTGCCTCCCAAAGTGCTGGGATTACAGGCATGAGCCACCGTGCTGGGCCAGAAGTAACTTTTTCAAAGATGAAAAACAATCTAAGATTTATGGACAAGGCTGTTCAAAGAGACTCAGTGCTGTTTGTAGCCAAGGTGGAAATTTCAGATTCCTAGATCTACTCTGGATTGGGAGAAAAGAAGGGAAGGGAGGAGCCTGGGGGAAAAAAGAGGGCAAGAGGATAGAGGGCAGGGTTAGAACTAGCTGGAGAAGAACACAGGAAGGTCAGCGCTTTGGAAGATTTCTTGCACCCATCTCTGAGTTCTACAGTACCGTGAACATGACAACCATTTCCAGCAAATGGTGGTGACAGAAACAAATGAACCCACTTTGCTGGCACTGTTTTTCCCTAAGTACCGTGCTGCACACACTTTCAGCATGGATGGAAGGGCGATGGGGACCAGCACTGCATATTGGAGATGAATGAACATTTTATCTGAAACTGGGAATTCTGCTTCTGCAGGTTCTGATCCCTGAGTGTGTGCTTGGGAAGCCACCAGAACAAGATTCCTGCTAGTTTCTCAGAGTCGAATTTAAAATATTTGGCCAGAAGCTTGCCTGTGGTTGGACCAGTCTCTTACAGCAACTCCTGCCCATTCCATCTATCCCCAAAGGCCAGCGGTGGGGGCGGGGGCACTGAAAGGCTGCTGGGAGCAGCCCCAGACCCAGTGCATCTGGACAACCTCCTGGGCCTCGTGGGTGCCGAGCCAACATTTTTGAGTGTATATTTTAAAACCACAGCTTCAAAGTATAAAAATAGTGTGAAAAATAAAAACAGGACTCACAATCAGAGCCTCAATCACTCTGCTGATTAGAGAGGTTAGAGAAATAATAAAATTAGAGTAACCAAACTGAAAGCTTTAAGAGCGTTCCCTTGCTTAGCGAGGAGAATCCTGGGGCCAGACTTGTGCCGGGCCCTTTCCTAAGTTCTTAAGGCAGCTGGGCTTCCACTTAAAACGTCTGTTATCACTCCTGTATCCCCCACGGAGTTATTTATGAAGAAGGTTCCCAGCCAGTCTGCCTGCCAAGCAAGGCATCTCTAACAAGGGCCGGGCAGGCAGGAGGAGCTGAATGAGAAGCCCACAGAGGCTATGCTGTACAACCCCACTTCTTCAAACACGCCCAGGCTGTAACTCAAAACTTGAAAACAACCCGAATCCTTTTCCAAACACAAACCGAATCTCTTCTGTCAGTTTCCATATATTTTCCTAACTCCATTCCCCACCCTGACCCACTCCACAGCAGAAACCAATTTTCTTAACAGAGTGGGTTCTTGGGAGTTTTCTTCCTAAGCGTTCTCATTTGGAACAGATTAAGGGGGCGAGGATGATAATCCGATTTTTTTTTACTTTTGAAACACACACACACACACACACACACACACACACACACACACACACACACACACACACACACAGACTCTTGAGGGTCTGAAGCAGAACCACCACAACCACCACTATGTTCTATGAGTGGCTTTTAAAAGAGGGGAATTTCATTTTCTGGTGTGATGGGACTGGGTTGCCTGGGGAGCCCTTACCAACCTGTCCCAGTGTAACCTGACCCTACAGGCTCATCGCTGGGGCCAGTGAGCTTGCCGGGAGGCTGAGCAGGGGACTGACTGAAGGGAAGCTGCCCATCTCAAACCCCATGTCCACTTTCAACTCCAAAACCAGGCTGTGCTACAGAAACAATAGGTCTGCCTGTCATGAGCCACTCTAGAATGTAACATGCTCCGGGCTGGGCATGGTGGCTCACGCCTGTGATCCCAGCACTTTGGGAGGCCGAGGCGGGCGGATCACAAGGTCAGGAGATCCAGACCATCCTGGCTAACACGGTGAAACCCCGTCTCTGCTAAAAACAAAAAAACAAAAATAAAAAGTTAGCCGGGCGTGGTGGCTGGCACCTGTAGTTGCAGCTACTCGGGAGGCTGAGGCAGGAGAATGGTGTGAACCTGGGAGGCAGAGCTTGCAGTAAGCCAAGATAGCGCCACTGCACTCCAGCCTGGGCGACAAAGTGAGACTCCCTCTCAAAAACAAAAAACAAAAAACAACATGATCCACTCTGCTGTGATGGAGGCCTCAGCCCTTAAAAAGCTTAGTGTGGGTGAAAGGAGGAGTCTCCTAAAGAATGAGCAATGTAAGAGCTAAACAGTGTGGGTCTGACTCAAGGAGAGACACAAAGACTGGAAAGGCTTTGTGGGAAAGGAGGGCATGGGGCTGGGTAGAATCGCGACACTTAACCAGGTTGACTGGCACAAGGAGGACATGCCACGCATAAGCACAGTGGTGGAACAGGCAGGGTGCCAAACTTGAGCCTCCCCTCTCCACTTCCCCATTCCTGCTCCCTTCTAAGTGTGGCTCCCTCCCTCCCGCCATTGCTCCTTTTTTTTGGTCTCTACTAAGTGTTTTCTTCCTTCCCAGTCCCCTTCAATTAAAAAGCTATCTTTCTAGTAAATTCTTGCTCTGGGTAATGCAACTGCAAAGCTTGTGGGCTTGCTTCCTAATGAAGTGTCTGCATTTTGGGTGATGTGTGTGGTCCTAAGAGATGATACAGGGATCAGCAAACAAACTTACCAAGTTAGTGAGAATGTTTAGAACAAAATTCTTATTATTAATGGTTACTTCCTTTTCTTATAAAATTAGCCATGTAAGTTGCTAACAGAAAAAATGATTTGGATACATGTAAAGGAAGGTCTGTTGATTTTAGGTGGCCTACCACCTGAGAGGGTGGACTCCCAACAGTTTAGAAGCAGATGCTCTATCTAATTCATCCCTGTGTCCCCAGATGTTAGTGCCCATGCAGCTGGCACTTGCCAGAACCTCAGTGATTAGGACCTGGTAAAAATAAGAAGATGGCAGATTGCGAGAAGTGAAGTTCCTATCTCCCAAAACCCAGTCTTTCCCCCTTACACAGAAATGGGCTTTTTAGCTAAGCGTGTGTCCATTTAGCTCAACACACGATTTCTGAGCCTCTTTGGCTGAGATCTGTGGCAGATGACGAGGGCCTGGCTGATAAGATCCATGGAAGTGGTGCATGTGACTTCCAGGCTGGCCCTTCCCTCCTGCCTTCCGGCTCACCAGATTGTGGACATGGCAGTGGGAGCTGGCACTGCCATCTGGGGCCATGTGAGGGATGGTGTGTCTTGAAAATGTCAGAGCACCAAGAAAGAAGGTGTGCGCCCCTAATCATACGGACCATCACACTAGTCTACTGAGTGCTCTGTGTGAGGAAAAAATAAGCTACTGACTTGTTTAAGCCACTATTAACTTCTCTTACAGATGCCAAATCTATACCCCGACTAAAACACCAGCTGTTTCATGCTTGAAACCCCAGAAAATACTTCAGAAAGTCCATTTCAAGATACACCCCAAGCTGACAGCCCTGGTTGTACTCCAGTAACTTCAGTACTTCAGCTGGAGGTGAGGAAGCAGGAGAGGGGGAAAGGAACAAGGGAAGAGGAGGCAGAGAGGGAGAAGACAAGTTGCCGTCAAGGCCAATTCTTTGTTTTTGATTCCCACCTGCTGTTCTCTGCCTCTGCTCCTGTAGATCAGCCTCACAAGAAATTCACTTCTGACAAACCCAATTACTGAAATACAGCAACGATTTCCTGGCCATTTTGACATTCAGGGAGGGATTTCTTACTTTTAGCTCATCATGATGCATCAGTGAACAGGTCAGAGCACATCTCTTGAATCCCATTCTCCTCCTAACGCTCATACAGACATTCACATCCAAACTGGGGCTGTGTACTCTTTACAAACAGACACTCTGAAAGGTGCACAGATTCCCAACATGCCATTCTATCTCAATGTACACACCCTGCCCCACGTGTGCAGAGAAAAACCCTCCCTGTACTGGCCCGCCACCACCAGAGCCACTCTCCATTCTGCTCTTCTGCCCATGAGAGGTCTTGCCATGGGGACTGCTGTAGTCAAAATAGAGCAGCAAAAACAAGGAAGCCCAGGCTTTCACAATCCACCAAGCATCTTCTGGGAGATTTGAGAACAGAATTGGAGTTTGGTGGGTAGGATGAGGGCTTCCCAGGTCTCTGATGTCACCCTTTACGCCTCCTTGGATAACAGCAGGATGGTGAGGGAGGGGTCGCCACCGTGGCCAGTGAAGAGGCCTCTCCTGGGCCCCACCCCTGCCCTGCAGAACTTCTCGGGCAGCACTGTCATGACAGCCTGGGTCTGACCTTCATCTGGCTGTTGGGATGGAAGAAGTCTGTGGCTGAGTGAACTCAGGAGGGCAAAGGGCAGGTGCCAGTGCTGGCTGGGGTGCTCAGGAGGGATGCTCCCAATAGAGTCAGGCCTGAAGCTGGGGCTGGAGGAGTCATCCTCACTGAACCAGGGACGAACGAGAAAGGTGGGGGGGCCCATCTTGCCACCCCTGACAGAGTAGTGACCCTAACACCTGAAACTGGCTTAGGTTCAAAAAGGAAGCCTGCTCACCACAGTGAAGAGAAATCCTGCATTGTGATATGGCCTTGCTGAGGAAAGCGAAAGTTCCTGAGGAAAAGGAAAGCACAGAAGAGGAGAGCCGAGGCCACGAGCTGGAGAAGGAAGATCACCAGGCACCAGGCTTGCCCTGACTAACAGGGAAGACAACACCCTGCAGCCGCGTCAGCACCAGATGGCCTAAGCCTCAGACTGAGGGCTTATCATCACCCACAGGGGTCAGTCGCCTTGGCCAGAGAGCTCGGCTTTCAGAAGCAGCAAGAGTCAGGGCAAAATGATGCAAAAATGACCCTCATTTCCTCGAAAGGAGCCTGTTGTTGTCTCTCTGGGGATTAGTCACTGGGAGGCCATGGTAACAATCCCATCACCCCAGCAACCAGGCCCAGCCAGGGTACTCACTGGCACTCATAACTGGCCAGCAGATCGAAGACGGGAGCATTAGTTTGCACCTGCTTTTGCACATCATGGGAGCCGCTGCCAGTGACGCACTCGCTGAGATGCAGGTGAACGTCAGGGGGCCCAGGCTCTCTGGAACAGCAACTGATGGCACACGCAACTTGGAATGCGGCAACCGGAGCTCCACCGTGCCCACCCACTGCAGCTGGCAGGAATGGGGGCCTACCTTGATCAAATCTCTTTATTTTGAAGGAATAAATAAGAAAACAGATAACTGGCTCCCACATAACTATCTTCCTTCAAAAGCATTTCCCCTCACCCTCCACTGGTTCACAGTGGGTTAGGACCACAATTCCTAGCCTCTTCTGTTTCCTCCCCTGCAGCCCCACTGACAATACTGAAGAACACACAGCCAGCTACGGAGAGAGGCCCAGAGAGACCAAGGCAGTGGAATCCCGGGCTGACTCAGGGTGTGGTTTGATTGCTGACTGCTGAGAGATGGCTGGTTTCACAGAACACTTAGTTCTTCCCACCCCAGTGTTGCTGGAGTTCCTCCAAGCCCTCTTCTCAAGGCAGTGTTCCATCTTCTCTGCCCTTACCCCACACCACCCCATCTCACCCCTGCCAGCTCCTCTCTACCCGAGTCTGGATTATTCTCAGGGGGCATCCCTACATTTCTGTCATTTCCTCTGTATAAATCAAGGCTTGGGGGACAGTAGAGAGGTACTGTCCTGGGCCTCAGGAGTGGGTGTTGTAGACCTCGTTTTTCTACTCATTATGTGACACTGGGGAAATCATTTACCTTTCTTGGGCTTCAGTTTCCACATCTGTAAGTCAGAGGCTCTAAAACCCTCGAGTCCTGGGATTCCCTCCCTTTAGGAGGGGCACTGGAGAACAGGAACAGCAGCAGCCTTGACAGAGGACCACCTGCCGCCTCTTGCTGCATCTGCCCTCTATTCCCTTTCCCCAGGGCACACTCTGGTATCTCAGCTCTGGTCCCCAACCCATTTTCTTACACTCTGACTCCAGTGTCTTCTTTCAAACACAACAGTGAGTTTAGAAGACCTTCAATGCACCCCTTTCTCTTAACTCCTGGGTTCTAAACTAGATGCCAGGTTTGGACTCCTTTCCCTGTCTCAGAGAGGATCTGAGAGTGCAAGGCCTCTGTCACCACAGGGGCCGGAGCTCCAACTCTGGCTCTGACACTTATCTGCCTTGGGACGTTGGGCCCATTCCTTCAACTCTCTGAACTTCTGCATATTCACATTTAAAATGGAGGAAGTATAGTAGGTCCCTATAATCCCAGCTACTCAGGAGGCTGAGGTGGGAGGATCCCTTGAGCCCAGGAGTTCAAGACTGCAGTGAGCTACAAGTGTGCCTGTGAACAGCCACCAGTACTCCAGCCAGAGTGATGCCATGAGACCCCACCTTTAAAAACATAAAAATATAAATAAAATGGAGGAAATAATAAAGTATCTCACAGTGTTGTGAGGATCAAAGGGGATAAAATGAAACAGGAGCATCAAGAGGGAGGTGATGAGGTTCTCCTTCCCCTGTCCCCCCACTGGCCTGCTCAGAGTGGGAAAGAGCAGACGGGGCTCTGGGAGGAAGGGGCCACCTCCCCTAGGCCTTCCAGATCGATTCATGTAGCCTTGGCTCTGGTCTCTCACCTGGGACCTGATAAGCAACTGACAAGTATCCACCTGCTGGGCACTTCCCAGGGCCGGCCCTGTGCTAGGCATGTGGGTCCCTATGGATGAAACTCTTGCTCAAGAAATTCCATCCTGCATGATCCAGTATGGAGTGACAAGGGAGACACAGAGTTAGTCCAGGATTTTCTACAGTGGCCAGTCTTAGTAGATGCTTCATCAGTTCCTCATCAGCTGTTTGAATTAATGTCTCTAGGAAGAAGTCAGGACTAAGGCAGGCGATTTAATCTGCCATAATAAGAAAATGCTGTGACCTCAGGGCAATTTCATAACATAAAATCCAAACAGCTCCCCCACCAGGTAGATCTGAAAAACACTAAGCTTCTTACTGGGTTTAACTACTTTGATAGATACATTCCTCAATTCATTCATTCAATTGATCATCAAACAGTGATTCTTATTGAGAATCTATTATGTGCCAAGTTCTGAGAATATAGCAGCAAACAAACAAGACAAAAATCCTACACTCTTGGAACTTTTTTTTTTTTTTTTTTTTTTGACAGAGTTTCGTTCTTTTGCCCAGGCTGGAGTGAAGTGGTGCAATCTCAGCTCACTGCAACCTCCACCTCCTGGGTTCAAGCGATTCTCCTGCCTCAGCCTCCCGAGTAGCTGGGATTACAGGCATGCACCACCACGCCCAGCTAATTTTTGTATTTTTAGTAGAGAAGGGGTTTCACCATGTTGGCCAGGCTGGTCTCGAACTCCTGACCTCAGGTGATCCACTTGCCTCGGCCTCCCAGAGTGCTAGGATTACAGGCGTGAGCCACCACGCCCGGCCTCTCTTGGAACTTTTATTCCGGTGGAGAGAAACAAATAACAAATAAATAAAATTATGCAGATAATTAAACCAGTGGGGTGAATGATAGCAAATAACTGGGTGGTTACTGTAGTCTGAGAGGTCAAGGCAGGCCCCCTGTGCAGATGACACTGAAGCTGAGATTGGAATGATATGAAGGAGTCAGCCATGCAGGACAAGGGAAGAATATTCCAAGCAGAGGGAACAGCTACTGCAAAGGCCCTGAGGTTGGAATGGGCTCTGGAGTTGGAAAACCCCAAAGATGGCTGGAGTGGCTAGGGGAGGAGCGGCAGGGGCTGGACTGGGTAGGATTTTATATGTTGCCTTAGGAGTCTGGGTTTTACCCAGATTAAGATGGGAAGCCAAGAGAGAGTTCTGAGCAGAAGAGCAGTATCATCTGTTTTACTCCTGAAGAAGTGAGCCTGAATTGCAACGAACAAAAATAGAGGCAGGAAGACCAGGCTGTAGAAGTCTGGGGAGAGATGGTGGTGGCTTGGACTAGCACATGAAACAAGCCTGGCGGACAGGCACTTTCTAAGTATTTGTTGAATGAATGAACAAGTGAATGATTGAATACCCTTGATCTGACCACTTCTCATCTCATACTTAAATAGTAAGAAAAATCTATAGACTATCTTAAGTAGGAGTAAGAGAAGGGGTCAGAAAACAATTTAGAGTTTTGGTTTTGTGCTTTTTTTTTTTTTTTTTTTGAGACAAGGTCTCACTCTGTCACCTAGGCTGGAGTGCAGTAGCATGATCATGGCTCATTGTAGCCTTGACCTTCTGGGCTCAAGTGATCCTCCCACCTCAGCCTCTTCAGTAGCTGGAACCACAGGCATGCACCACTACACTTGGCTAATTTTTAAATTTTTTTGAAGAGACAGGGTCTCCCCATGTTGCCCAGGCTGGGTTTGAACTCCTGGGCTCAAGTGATCTGGCTGCCCCGGCCTCCGAAAGTGCTGGGATTACAGGTATGTGCCACTGTGCCTAGCCCCAATTTAGAATTTTAAAGTAGACACATATAAATGATGGATGGCCAGGCACGGTGGCTCATGCCTGTAATCCCAGCATTTTGGGAGGCCAAGGCGGGCAGATTACTTGAGGTCAGGAGTTCAAGACCAGCCTGGGCAACATGTAGTAGCCCCATCTCTACTAAAAATACCAAAATAAGCCAGCCATGGTGGTGTGTGTCTGTAATCCCAGCTACTCAGGAGGCTGAGGCAGGACAATCGCTTGAACCCGGGAGGCGGAGGTTGCAGTGAGCCGAGATTGCACCACCACTGCACTCTCGCCTGGGCGCCAAGAGTGAAACTCTGTCTCAACAACAACAACAACAACAAAAAAAAAAAAAAGAAGAAAAAGAAATGATGGAGGCAAATAAGTTTAACTCATCTGAAGAGGAATTTAGGCCAGGCTTGGAGATAGGTAGGAGGATATATTCTAGTAAAGTGATTCTTAACTTTTTTGGGTCATTCTTCTTTAGAAAAAGGTACTTGGTACATCTACAATATTGAGTCTGGGGCCAGGCTCTGGCACCACAGAGCAGAAAGGGCACTTTGAAGGCGATATACCTGAGTCGATTAGGAAAGAGCCTACTGGAAGGCAGGAGGAAGGGGGAGGCAGTCAGTACTTGCAGAGCCCTTCTAGTGCCTGACTCTGTGATCTGGCAGGAACTGAAAAAAGCACAGGGCCTGCTGCGGGTCTGAGACTGGTGGGCAGCCTTAGAGGTTCCAGGAGTGGAATCATCTGTGACTCAGTGTGAAGTCCCACAGGGCTGGGGCTTTGCTGACTGAGCTGTCTCACTCCATAGGGCCACTGGAAAATGTCACAGTGACCCAGGCCTTTCTATCTCTCTCCTCCCAGGCTTCCCTCCCTGTTTGCTCAAGGGTCGGGGCATATGAGAAGTGTTCATCCTTTCATGCTGGCTCACGGGCTCTGTGTGGGTGACGATGATGCACACATGTATACATGTGTGCAGATGTTGTTTTTTTCCTTCTTTGCCTTGCCCTGGCTACATGGCTGCTTGGACTCAACCTCACAATGCCACTTGCCTACTGCTCCCTCCTCTAACCTCTGAGTCTCATTTTTCTACATCTCGCTCCTACTTCCCCTCTTCCACCTCCCTCCTAAACACCATTGTTATTCCAGTCTCTATGGGTCACCATGCCAAGCACAGGAGGCTCCTTTGGTGTCTCCCAGATAACCCAGGGGCATGGTCCCTGCAGCCCCAGGCTGGCTTTCTGGTCCTGTAATCCAAGACCCTGACTTCAGAGGTAAGAGTGAGGAGGGACCCAACACTACAGGCTGCAAACTCAGCCTACCAGACCCGGACAGTGTGCGAGTCAGCAAGACTGCCACCCTAGTTGGTATGAATCAGTGAAAAACGCTGTCCCTTGAGCTGGTTCCAGCAGAGAGGGTCTGCCTGCTTGTTCTGAAGCTTTCTTATTTCAAAGCGTACTCTCATGTTTCTTTTGCCACCTGACTATGGTGAAAAATCAATCCATTAACACAAATTGAGCACCCACTGTGTACCTAATAGAAAACAGTCTCTAAGTTCATGAGGGCTAGTTGGGAAGAGAGAACTAAAGCACAGGAAAGGGAAAATGATAAAAGCGTAGAATAGCAAAGGCTCTGTGATGATACAATAACCAAATGCTGCAGCGGCTCAGGGAATGGGGAGATCCTGGAGGGCAAGGGTGCTGTCGAGAAGATGGGATTTAATGCATTCCCGCTAAATGTCCATATTTGGAAGGATGAGCAGAAGTTTTACATGACTTTTTGTGGGCAAGGGGCCTTCTAGGAGAGAGGGACCAGAACTACTTGGAGACAGTATTCCAAGAAAAAGAGCCACAGCCGATCTGCCTGCTTGCCTACCCACTATCCCCTTTAAAGGTCTTACATATTTTCTTTCATAAGAAAGTTTCTACCAAGAAGTCATCCTTCTTGAACCAAAACACTGACAACAGGCATGAAATCTGGCACGCCTTAAAATTCCTTGCTCAGTGCCTTCTCTTATCCTGTATCAACTCAAGCAGAAACTGTTTTCCTTTCTTTTCTTTTCTTTTCTTTTTTTTTTTTTTTTGAGGGAGTCTCACTCTGTTGCCTAGGCTGGAGTGCAGTGGTGTGATCTTGGCTCACTGCATTACTGCGAAAATTCCACCTCCGAGGTTCAAGCAATTCTCCTGCCTCAGTCTCCAGAGTAACTGGGACTACAGATGTGCACCACTATGCCCAGCTAATTTTTGTATTTTTATTAGAAATGGGGTTTCACCATGTTGGCCAGGCTGGTCTTGAACTCCTGACCTCAGGTGATCTGCCCACCTCAGCCTCCCAAAGTGCTGGGATTAGATGCGTGAGCCACCGCACCTGGCCAGAAACTGTTTTCTGAGCCTCACAAATGGAGACGGGAATGGGAGGAGGCCATCTAAATTAGGTGGCCAATAGTGGCTGAAGCCGAAAGAGCAAGAAAGGGGGAGATCCAGTGCCAGGAAAAGCAAGAAGCCTGAGGGAAGTCCAGAAAGCCATCCCCCTGCCTGCCCTGTCCCCATGGCCCATCCAGCTCCCAGAGGCACCCTGCCTCTGCTAAGTGGAACGTATGTGGTTCTGCCTGGGGACCTCCTGATCTAGCCATCCTTAAGCCCATCCTGGAGTCCTTCGGTCTAACTCTCTGCAGTATTTCCAGCTAAGCCACACCAGATAACTTGCATCAGAGTGAAAGAGCTCTGCAAAAAGAAAAGGCTCAGGTATCCCTGGCTTGTAGGAAAGGCTATGGAAGAACCCCAATCACTGGATTCTTTCTAACCTTCTAAGATACCTTTCTTATCTTCTCTTCCTCTGAAGGCAGCTTCACAAATTTGTACCTTCATGGGTTCCTCTCCTGCTGCTCTCATCCAGAACTCTGCCTAACTTAAGAATCATGCAAATGCCAGGATTTAAAGTTAAGTATTGTCCAGGTTGTTTTTCCCACACAGAGGCCTTTGTTCAAATGAAATCTGACATTAAATGCCCGATGTGGTATATAAAACAGATCTGAGTGGCCGCTTGGTGGAAGAGGGTGGGGAGCTGCAGAGATAGCCTTGAGCATCTCCTGCTCTTGTAGCATTAGAGCTCTTTCCTGAGCATTTCAAGGCCTGAAGTCAGAGCAGGGAAAGGAGGAAGGCAGAGCCTTGCCTGGAGTCCAGCCCACAAATTTTTTTTCTCCTAGCTACAAATTTCAATACCTTACTCTTAAGTCCTGGAAATGTCATTTCTTCCATTCCCTTCTGCAGGCTCCATGATTGGTACAGAGTGGGGAGGGAGGGGCAGAGAGGGTCCTGCAGCTGGGGCTCCCTGATGTCCATACTTCTAAGGGCTGAGGGTGCTTTGGACATTGCAGGGAGAGAGTTGTTAACAGGCTGTGAGTTTCATGCTTCCCTGTGTGGGCTGCAGCATGTGCAGGAGATTCCAGCAGGCAAAAAAGGTGAATAAGAAATCTGTTCTCAGGAGGGCCGGCTAACCATGGCATTATTTTCTCCAGGCCTTCTAGAATCATTAACTAATCAAATCTAGACCTAAAGCCAATTATGCAAAAGGATATGTTAGGGTGAGGAAGTCTGAATGACTGCATTTAATGCTTGCCTATTCTACAGGTTCCAGAAAGTGCCCGTGGGGACCGATAACTAGATCTGTTAAGGAGCACTGGAGATCCCAGGATAGCTGTGCTGCGTTCTGAGGAAGGCAGGACAGAACCCAGACAGTTTATTCTGTTCCCACAGCAGATAAAGGTCTCCCTTTGCCCTCTCCATTTCGAATGTTGAGCTCTCCAAGACCTAAGGAAAACTTTGTCCTGGATCACAGTGACTTGTGGCCTCTGAGTGCCTTTCCCGATTTCCTGGTAGTTTCACTTCCTGGAATGCCACAGTCTGACTTCTACATCAGTGCCAGAGGCATGCCTTGTTATTTTCCCCTGGACACCTCACAGGTTTGAAACTCTGAAGTCACCTCATGCTTTCCCTTCTCTCCCACCTCCCACAGCAGCAGTCCCCATGTTGAGATTACCCAACCCCCAACCAGTATTCTCATACATCAGTCCTCTCCTCTCCATCCCAACCCCACTGAGAGCAGCTGGAGAGGACTGTTGCTGCCAGCCCCCAGCTGATTTCCCTGCCTGGCAAATCCCCTCACTCAGCCCCAGCCCTGGCCCATCACACACACTGCTGCCAGAGATTCCACAAGTATGTCTCCGGTAACATCAGTCTCCTCTGAGTGCCTTCCCACCTCATTCCTGCTTTAAACCCTCTCTAGCTTCCCATTACCTGCAGAAGGAGATCGGGCCTTGGCACTGAGCCATCCCACAAGCAAGTGCCCCTGCCTTGCTCAGTTCATTTCCTGCTCCTCTTCCTTGCCTGGCCTGAGCCTGTGTTCTGACCACAAAAGTCCACTCACTGCTGCCCAATCAGCTCCCGGGTTCTCCCCAACTCAGGGCTTTGGCTCCAACTTCTCTTTCTGCATTGACTGTTCTGCTCTCATTTGTGTCACATCTCTCCCTTCCTTTGGGCCCACTCCACTCTCCAGACCCTTTCCAGAGAGACCCCACAGAATGCACCTCCTACTTCCCCAAGCTCCTCCAGCAGGCTGCTAGGAGACGGTCTGAGAGCAGAGCTCTGTCTGCATCCATCCCTCACTGACAGTGGGAGATCTCAGAGGTGTGGAGCTCTTGTGTTGTATTTCTTTCTTCGAGGAAAACTGAGAAGTAACTTTAATTTTTTCATTGTAATTTTAACTCCTCAAAGAAGACATTAAATATTAACACAACTTAATAATGTTATTTTACTGTGGCATTTAGTCAACCACCGATTTGGGGACAAAAGAAACAACGTGTACTTTTAAGGTAGTCAAGATTCAATCGTAATTAACTTGGAACACCAAAGAGGAAAACATCAGCAGTGTATTCTACAAAATCCTTATATGCTGAAGGAATGTGAAGTTACCACCAGCACTTGATATCCTTGAGAGATGGTAAAACAAGACAATATTGTTCTTTTTTTTTTTTTTTTTGAGATGAAGTCTTGCTCTGTCATCCAGGCTGGAGTACAGTGGCACTATCTCAGCTCACTGCGACCTATGCCTCCTGGGTTCAAGAGATTCTTCTGCCTCAGCCTCCCGAGTAGCTGGGATTACGGGTGCCCGCCACCATGCCCAGCTAATTTTTCTATTTTTAGTAGAGATGGGGTTTCACCATATTGGCCAGGCTAGTCTTGAACTTCTGACCGCAAGTGATCCACCCATCTCAGCCTCCCAAAGTGCTGAGATTACAGGCGTGAGATTACTGCGCCTGGCCTAAAACAAGACAATATTGTTCTGATCAATCAATTGCCTAACTTCTGATTAAAGAAAAAAATCAGGGTGATTCTCAGTCCTCAGCTACTTTTCAGTCTAAAGAAAAAGATCTATATTTTATGCTTAAGAAAATCAAGCTGGGCTGGGTGCGGAATCTACTGAGTATTATATTCCAACAAATATTTACCGAACACTTACTAGGCTTTCTGTGTGTCCTTCTAAGCAAATGCTGCAATTGGAAAAATGAATAAATTGCCAATGGCAGAATTTTAGCTATTGGGCAAGTCTGGCAGGTTGGGGGCTGAGGGGAGCCTGCTTGCATATCACTTGCAGCTCTGTTCCAAATGCTATCCTGCTGAGAGGAAAAGCTGATCTAGGCGAAACCTGCCCTGGTGCGGTATCACTGAGAGATTATTCCAAAACTAGCTTCTTCCACATAGGCAGAGAAGTGTACACAGACCATTTTGACTGAGGATTCAGATCCTGGAAGGTTCACACATCTGGGGAGGCTTCCAGGGAACACAATCCTGTGTCCTGCCTTGGCAAGCAGCCCCAGCCACAGTAACTGATGAGGGGCCTTGCATCAATTACAAAGGCTTATCTGGCCTCCTTTTCTCTCATTCTGCTGTCTATTAAGGTGAACTTCTTTGCTCAGCTTTGATCCCTTGCCTCAAAACAGTGTTCTTGCTTCTCATTGGGACCGCTGATCCAGAGACCTTTCCTGGCACCCAGCCCCAAGCACAGAGAATCCGAGTCTGCTAAAGCAGGCACCCTCCCAGATGGCCACTTGTCCAGAGGTGTGACCTTATTTCTACTCCATCTGCCCCCATCTCTTTCATCCAGCAGCCCATTTTCTACCCACAGCCTGAGTTCCTTTTAGCTTTCGTAGCATTTGCCATTACATGCACATGACCCCGGGCCTGGGGCTGTAACCGCTTATACGACGGCTGCGACCTCAGGACTACCCAGCTAGGGTGCTCTTCTTTCCACTCCCCTCCTCCCTCCTGGGTTCATGTTATTATCAAATGAGCAGCTAGGACACAAAGTAGAGAAACTTAACGTACACATAATCATTTCTCGCTTTCTGTCACATATAAAAACTCAGGAACAAAATGATGGTTTTGTGATTCCTGAGTTATGGAACCACACAGATAATAGAGACTTGGCATTATTTAAAACCGATGACAACGTAACCAGCAAAAGACCTAACAGTTTATTAAATTTCTACCTTTAAAAATAATTTTTCTTTAGGATGTCCTACAGCAGGGGTCAGCAAACTACGGCTAGTAGATCAAATCTGAGAAGCTGCCTATTTTTGTAAGCAAAGTTTTATTGGAACACAGTCATGCCCATTTGTTTACCTACTGTTTGTGGCTTTCCCACTAAGATGGCAGAGTTGAGACACAGACCAAATGACCAACAATGCCTAAGATACTATCTGGCTCATTATAGAAAAGTGTTCCAACCTCTATCCTGCAGCGATAAGACAATGCAAAAGGATAAGAACGAGGTACCTGTTGACTGGCAGGTATTTTCTTGTGACATGGCAGTTGTCACGGTTTCCGTGGCTGCATCTCTAACAGCTTGCTCCTCACTCTGCAGAAGGGTAAGGACACACTTCCAGAGAGCAAGTGTATCCTGCAACTCTAAGAAGACCAAAAGGAATCTGAATTACCTAGAATGCAATTAACAGGCAGGTGCAAATACTGCTTCAAATCCCTGGTGGAAGAGAGGAGCATTGAATGAGTTACAGCTATCTCTTTTTTTCTGGGTATTGTTAAGATAGAAAGAGTGTTAGACAAACATTGGCAAAGACAGACTCCTAAGGGAGCAGATTTGGAAATGCCTTTTTTGGGGGTGAGGATGTAGGCTTTCCGGAGGCAACCAGCGCTAGGCAAGGCCTCCAGAAGATGCTGCCCAGGTGACAAAGACCCTCTGCCCTGCTCTCCTAGTTGAGTCCTGATTCTCTAGAAGAAAACTTTATGCATAAGACTGCTTTGGAGAAACTAGCCCAGTGTTGATTCAAGTGTCTGAGCCTATAAATTCTGAAAGTGAAGCATCAATCAAGATTATGCTCTGGGGGCAAGAATAAAAAAAGAGAGGCTAGGTGTGGTGGCTCATGCCTGTAATCCCAGCACTTTGGGAGGACGAGGAGAGTGGATCACGAGGTCAGGAGATTGAGACCATCCTGACCCATATGGTGAAACCCCGTCTCTACTAAAAATACAAAAATTAGCTGGGCGTGGTGACGGGCGCCTGTATTCCCAGCTACTTGGGAGGCTGAGATGGGAGAATCGCTTGAACCTGAGAGGCAGAGGTTGCAGTGAACTGAGATCGTGCCACTGCACTCTAGCCTGGCGACAGAGTGAGACTCCATCCTCGCTCCCGACCAAAAAAACAAAAAACAAAACAACAACAACAACAAAAAAAAGAGACCCATGATAAAGGCAGCAGCTTGTGTCCCATGTATGTAGGGGGTCCACTATCTGACTGCCATTACTCCTGGACACTGATCTGTCTAGTCAGCCTGTGCTAGGTGCTGCTGCGGACAATGAATAATAAAAGATAGTATCTTGTCCTGAGCAATCAAAAGGAATATAAAGTCAAAAACACAAAGCAATGAGTTGTGAAGAACAAAATTGTGTGGCTGTGATTCCCAACAGGAAAGATGAGAGTGGACTGCTGTAACTGACACAGAATTCATGACGAAAGTGAGAGGTGAGCATGGCCTCCCAGAAAGGGGTACCTCTAGTCCAGGTGGGGTGGGCCTGGGCTTGTGGAGGGTTATCACTGGAGGGCCATGGAAGACCACCACGCAGCATCCCCATCCTTTCAATGGAGAAACTACCCTTCCCTAAGAACTCCCCTTTGTCTATCCTCTACCTCATCTGTACATGGAGAACCTGGTTTCAGAGTCACTGATGCTTTAGTCATACCAATAATAACAGTGGCTCCATTTGGGGTTTCGTTCTCTTCTTTTCATTACAGATCTGATTTAAATTTTACTCAGCCTTTCAGTCTCCATTCTTTCTAGTTGTTCTGTAAGGGTTCAATACCTTCCTTTCTTAATATTTTCCTCTTTAATATGGTCATCATTTATATCCTTCAGATCCTTCCCTCTTTAGTCCATTTCAATTTTTCTTTTTCCTTAAATGACTTTGCTGTGCCCTTGACTTTTCTCATGTACTTCTTTTTTTTTTTTTTTTTTGAGATGAAGTTTCACTCTTGTTGCCCAGGCTGGAGTGCAATGGGGCAATCTTGGCTCACCGCAACCTCCACCTCCCAGGTTCAAGTGATTCTCCTGCCTGAGCCTCCCGGGTAGCTGGGATTATAGGTATGCACCACCACACCCGGCTAATTTTGTATTTTTAGTAGGGACAGGTTTTCACCATGTTGGTCAGGCTCAAACTCCTGACCTCAGGTAGACCCACCCTCCTCAGCCTCCCAAAGTGCTGGGATTACAGGCATGAGCCACCACGCCTGGCCTCTCATGCACTTTTATGTCCTTTGCTTCTACCTATTCAGTACCTTTTTCATTGAGATGGGGTCTCACTATGTTGCTCAGGCTGGAGTGCAGTGGCACAATGGCTCACACTGCAGGCTCGACCTCCCAGGTTCAAGGAATTCTCCTGCCTTAGCCTCCTGAGTAGCTGGAACTACAGGTGTACACCACCACATCTGGCTAATTTTTTTATTATTTGTAGACAAAAGATCTTGCTGTGTTGCCCAAGCTGGTCTCGAACTCCTGGGGTCAAGTGATCTTCCTGCCTCGTCCTCCCAAAGTGCTAGGATTATAGGCATGAGTCACTGCACCTATTTCTCATGTTCTTGTAGGCACAGGACCAAATTTCACAAAAGAATTCCAGGTTATTCCACACACATTTTACCTGTTATAAGCTAGGGTTTGAGTAGTTAAAGTCACCCAGAAAATGTGCTGCAAAATGGTATTAACTTTACTGGAGAAGCTTGACTAAGGTTTGTCACCCTTTGCTCTTATTCCTTCGGGTCTCATGATTAAATCACACTCACAGAAGGTCCCTTCTCAATGTCTCTCTGGCTGTAAGAAAAATGCCTGAAGTCACTAAGAAGAAAAAAGTTAAAACCATATTGAAGAAAACGTTGTCTCCCAGAGAGATACAGGGACAGGAGACCCTTTATTGGTCTGAACTCCTACAACATTTAAAATTTGGATCTCACTATCTAAAAAACAATTCCTTCCTTTATTCTATAAATCCTTTCTCCACAACTATACTGAAAGCTCCTTGGAGGCAGTGACCATGTCTGATTCTTGAGGGCTGGGCATGGAAGAGGTACACAAAAATATAATTCTACTAATAGGTGAGAAGAGAATCATAGCATGTTAATACGGGATTAAACATGGCAGGAGAGGGCAGGGTTGGGGTTGAAGCACAGCTGTAGAACCTGGGGTTTCCTTTTATTAAACCCTATGCTTAAAAGCAAAACAAAAAACAAAATGACACAATTTAAAAAATTTTAAAAAAAGAACTATGCTTTTCAATTCCTTAGGATATTCTCAAGCTTGGTTTTCTTATACATCATTGACATGCTGCCCTTTCCTATTACTCTTGACACACGGAGTAGCAGTGAGGAGAGACATGGACGTGTACAACATGCTGGAAACCAGATAAGATCTGTACATCCATTTAATTTCAAAATATCTCCACCTTTACGTCCCAAAGATACTAATATGGTTTGGATTCACAAATCTCATGTTGAATTGGAGTGGATGGTGGGAGGTGAGTGAATCCTGAAGGCAGATTTCCTCCTTGCTGTTCTCATGATAGTGAGTGAATTCTCACAAGATCTGATGGTTTAAAAGTGTGTGGCACTTCTCCCTGCTCTCTGACTCTCCTGCTCTGCCATGGGAAGCTGTGCCTTGCTTCCCCTTTGCCTTCTGCCATGATTGTAAGTTTCCTAAGGCCTCCCAGCCATGCTTCCTGTTAAGCCCATGGAACTGTGAGCCAATTAAACCTCTTTTCTTGATGAATTACCCAGTCTCAGATAGTTCTATATAGGAGTGTGAGAATGGACCAATACAGAAAATTGGTACTGGAAGTGGAGCACTGCTATAAAGACATTTCCACCTGAAAATGTGGAAGCAACTTTGGAACCGGGTAATGGGCAGAGGTTGAAACAGTTTGGAGGGCTCAGAAAAAGACAGGAAGATGTGGGAAAGTTTGGAACTTCCTATAGACTTGTTGAATGGTTTTGATCAAAATGCTGACAGTGATATGGGCAATGAAGTCCAGACTGAGGTGCTCTCAGATGCAGATGAGGAACTTATTGGGAACTGAAGTAAGGTCACTCTTGCTCTGCTTTAGCAAAGAGATTGGTGGCATTTTGCCCCTGCCCTAGAGATCTGTGGAACTTTGAACTTGAGAGAGATGACTGAGGGTATCCGGCAGAAAAAATTTGTAAGCAGCAAAGCATTCAAGATGTGACCTGGCTGTTTCTAAAAGTATACACTCATATGCATGAACAAAGAGATTATCTGAAACTGGAACTTACATTTAAAAGAAAGTGAAGCAGAGCATGGAGCCTGGCCATGTGGTACAAAAGAAAAACCCATTTTCTGGGAAGAAATTCAAGCCTGCTGCAGAATTTGCATAAGTAAAGAGGAGCCAAGGCTAGGTGCAGTGGCTCATGCCTATAATCCCAGCACTTTGGGAGGCTGAGATGGGTGGATTGCCTGAGGTCAGGAATTCAAGACCAGCCTGGCCAACATGGTGAAACCCTGTCTCTACTAAAAGTACAAAAATTAGCCAGGCATGGTGGTGGGCACCTGTAATCCCAGCTACTGAGGAGGCTGAGGCAGGAGAATCGCTCAAACCCAGGAAGTAGAGGTTGCAGTGAGCCAAGATCGTGCCATTGCACTGCAGCCTGGAAAACAAGAGTGAAACTCCATCTCAAAAAAAAAGAGAAACCGAATGTTAACAGCCAAGATGATGGGGAAAATGTCTCCAGGGCATTTCAGAGACCTTCACAGCAGCCCCTCCCACCAAAGGCCAGGAGGCCTAGGAAGAAAAAATGGTTTCTTAGGCCAGGCCCAGGGCCCAGCTGCTCTGTGCAGCCTCAGGACACAGCACGCTGTGTCCCAGCTGCTCTAGCTCCAGCTGTGACTAAAAGGGGCCAAGGTACAGCTCGGGCCATTGCTTCAGAGGGTGCAAGCCCCAAGCCTTGGTGGCTTTCATGTGGTGTTGGGCCTGTGGGTGTGCAAAAGGCAAGAGTTGAGGTTTGGGAACCTCTGCCTAAAGTTCAGAGGGATGATGAAAACACCCAGATGTCCAGGCAGAAGTCTGCTGCAGGAGTGGGGCCCTCATGGAGAACCTCTATTAGGGCAATATAGACGGGGAAATGTGGGGTTAGAGCCCTCACACAGAGTTCCCACTGGGGCACTACCTAGTGGAGCTGCGAGAAGAGGACCACCGTCCTCCAGACCCCAGAATGGTAGGTCCACCGACAGCTTGCACTGTGTGCCTGGAAAAGCCGCAGGCACTCAACACCACCCTGTGAAAGCAGCTGCAAGGGCTGTACCCTGTAAAGCCACAGGGGCAGAGCTGCACAAGGCCTTTGGGAGCCCACTCCCTGCATCAGCATGCCCTGGATGTGAGACATGGAGTCAAAGGAATTTATTTTAAAGCTTTAAGATTTAATGACTGCCCTGCTGGGTTTTGAACTTGCATGGGGCCCGTAGACCCTTTGCTTTGGCCAATCTCTCCCATTTGGAATGGGAGCATTTACCCACCACCTGTACCCCCATTGTATCTTGGAAGTAGCTAACTTGTTTTTGATTTTACAGGCTCATGGGTGGAAGGGAGTTACCCTGGCTCAGATAAGACTTTGGACTGTGGACTTTTGAGCTGATGCTGAAATGAGCTGAACCTGGAGGACTGTTGAGAAGGGATAATTGTATTTTGCAATGTGAGAAGGACATGAGATTCAGGAGGGGCCTGGGGCAAAATGATATGATCTGGACTTGTGTCCCCACCCAAATCTCATGTTGAATTGGAGGCGGGGCCTGGTGGGAGGTGATTGGATCATGTAGGCAGATTTCCCCCTTGCTATTCTCATGACAGTGAGTGAGTTCTTATGAGATCTGATGGTTTTAAAGTGTGTGGCACTTCTTCCTGCTCTCTCTCTCTCCTGCCACCATGTGAAGAAGGTGTTTGCTTCCCCTTTACCTTCTGCCATAATTGTTAAGTTTCCTGAGGCCTCCCAGCCATGCTTCCTGTTAAGACTATGGAACTGTGAGTCAATTAAACCTCTTTTCTTCATAAATTACCCAGTCTCAGGTAGTTTTTTTTTTTTTTTGAGATGGAGTTTTGCTCCTTGCCCAGACTGGAGTGCAATGGCGTGATCTCGGCTCACCGTAACCTCTGCCTCCCGGGTTCAAGCAATTCTCCTGAATAGCTGGGATTACAGGCATGTGCCACCAAGCCTGGCTAATTTTTGTATTTTTAGTAGAGACAGGGTTTCTCCATGTTGGTCAGGCTGGTCTCGAACTCCCGACCTTAGGTGATCCACCCGCCTCAGCCTCCTAATGTGCTGGGATTACAGACGTGAGCCACTGTGCCTGGCTCAGGTAGTTCTTTATAGCAGTGTGAGAACAGACTAATACAGATACCTTCAACTTAAAAATCACTGAATGCAACCAGCAGCCTATCCAGTCACTTTAGCCAGAAGCCTAGAAGTCATTCTTGAATTTTCCTCTATATCAACCTCAATACCACCAAGTCCTGTTGATTCTACTTCCTAAATCTTTTGAGCCTGTTCTCTCTTCCTTGCTGCCACAGCTTCACACTCATCCATTCATTTCTCACCTAGATTATTGCAATAGGCCTCCCAGAAGAGGGGACAGTTAGGCTGTTTTGAAAGACAAATAGAAGTCAGTCAAGCAGTGGTTTGTTTAATTTAGAGAACTGTTCCCTACTGATGACACATAGGGCCCGTGTTAGGGAGTGGTGGATGATAAGGCAGGAGGAGTGGGCTAGGGGACAGAAAAGGAAGGGCCTTATGAGCCGTGCTAAAGGGTGTTTAGGCTTTATACTGAAAGCAGTGGGAACCCACTCAAAGGTTTTAAATAGTGGACTGAAATTATCAGACTTGCATTTCATAAAGAGGCTCTTTGTAGAAAAAAGTTTAGGGGTAAGGCTGAAAAACAAGAGGCTGGTTAAGAGTGTGTTGGTGGTCTGGGAGTGGTGGCTCACACCTGTAATCCCAGTACTTTGGGAGGCTGAGGTGGGTGGATCACCTGAGGTCAAGAGTTCGAGACCAGCCTGGCCAATATGGTGAAAACTCATCTCTACTAAAAATACAAAAATTAGCTGGGTTTGGTGATGGCTACTCAGGAGACTGAGGCAGGAGGATTGCTTGAAACCAGGAGGTGGAGGTTGCACTAAGCCGAGATCGTACCACTGCACTCCAGCCTGGGTGACAAGAGTGAAACTCCGTCTCAAAAAAAAAGAGTGTGTTCGTGAAAATGATTAGAGCATGAACTAAGACGGTAGGAATATAACTGAAAGACATAAAGGCAGGTGTCATGTTGCCATCTTTCACCTTCCCTTTTTTTAGGCAAGAATATCTATTCATATTTTAAGTGAGTTTGGTACAACAGACTTCCGTCTCGGCGCACTTACCAAGAATAGGATGGGGGTTGGTGAGGAAAAGTGGTGTAGTACTGGTGAGGACTTCAACGACGGCCAGCCTAGACTCTGTAGGAAGATGGTCTTCACATGACAAGATGACCAGCTGAACCCACTGCTTCAGCTCAGCAGCTATCAATTCCCTGTTCTAAAAGCACAAAATGTACCTATCAGTAGTTCAGAAGATGCAACAAGGGCTGACACAGAATTAGGGGTGACCTACACCAAACTGGGCCTGTAGATTAGCTCTTAGCTCAATGGGAAGAAAGTTGTTTTTTAGTTGCTTTTCGATTCCAACTAGAGAGAAATATGCCCAAGGAAGAAAATCTGACTTGTCTTTCGGTAAGATGGAGTCACTATGACTAGACAACAAGTTCCTTTAGTCTTTTTTTTTGGTTTGAGGCAAGGTCTTGCTCTGTTGCCCAGGCTGGAGTGCAATGGTGCGATCTTGGCTCACTGCAACCTCTGCCTCCTGGGTTAAAGTGATTCTCTTGCTTCAGCCTTCCGAGTAGCTGAAAGTACAGGTGTGTGCCACCACACCTGGCTAATTTTTGTATTTAGCAAAATTAGACAGGGTTTCGCCATGTTGGTCAGGCTGGTCTCAAACTCCTGGCCTCAAGTGATCAACTTGCCTCGGCCTCCCAAAGTGCTGGCATTACAGACATGAGCCACTGCTCCCGGCCTTCCTTTAGTCTTTTTGGATGCAAATCAGGTTATGAGAACACTGGCATACATTTGGTCTGGTAAAGACCAAACTTGTGGGGAAAGACTGTCCAGCAAATAACAACTTATTGTCACCAATAACCAGATGCCCCTCCTATAGTAAAAGAACCCCAGATTCTTGGCTGGGCCCATGGGCACCCAGCTAGAGACTACATGTCCCAGTCTCTCTTGCTTTTGGGAGTAACAGGTGATTAAGTTCTGAAGACTGGGATGACACTAGAAGTAGTATCTGTGCACTTTCAAGTCATGCCTTAGGAAATGCCCATGATCTTTATTTCTTGGGTTTCCCCTTCCTGCTGGCTAAACAAGGACAAGATGGTGGAAGCTGGAGCAAACAGGTGGGACCCTAAGATAGAAACTATGTGTTTAGGACAGCAGAACAACAAAGTATGAGAACCTGGTGACTCAACACTGTCAAGATACATTGGCTTTGGACTGTTTCTATCTGATTTAAGCCACAGTATTTATGTTTCTATTACAACATTTAAAACAGAATCACAGGCCGGGCACAGTGGCTCACGGCTATAATCCCAGCACTTTGGGAGGCCAAGGCAGGTGGATCACCTGAGGTCAGGCGTTCAGGACCAGCCAGGCCAACATGGTGAAACCCTGTCTCTACTAATACACAAAAATTAGCTGGACATGGTGGCGCGTGCCTGTAATCCCAGCTACTCAGGAGGCTGAGGCATGGGAACTGCTTGAAGCCAGGGGGCGGAGGCTGCAGTGAGCCAAGATCATGCCACTGCACTCCAGCCTGGGAGACAGAATGAGACTCCATCTCTAAATAAATAAATAAAGCAGCATCTAACACTATTGTTTAAACAAAGCAGTGTTGTTTTTATTTTTTAGAAAACTAGATTCTCAGTTTATTACAAAGATGAGAATCTAGATGAAGAGACAGATGAAAAGACAGATACACAGGGAGAGGTCCAGAAGGATCCCAAGCACAGGACTTCCTCTCCCTATGGAGCTTTGGGGTGTGCCACTCTCCTGGCACATGAGTACATCTTGTTCACCACCCAGAAGCTCTCTGAACTTTTCATTCTTCAGGGTTTTTAAGGAAGCTTCATTGCAACAGCATGATTGATTTAAATCATTGGACATCGGTGATCAACTCAACCTTCAGCTCCTTGTTTTTAATAGTAACAGTTTTACTGAGATACAGTTTACATACCATAGAATTCACTCATTTAAAGTGGCCAATGCAGTGAACTCTGGTATATTCACAGATATGTGCAATCACCACCACGGTCAATTTCAGAACATTTTCATCATCACAAAGAGAAACTCTGCACCCTTTATCTATCACTTCCCTATCCTCCCATCTCCCCAGCCCTGACTAAGCACTAATCTACTTTCTGTCTCTATCAGTTTGCCAATTCTGGACATTTCCTTTAAGTGGAAATTTCCTATAAATGGAATCAGATAATATGTAGTCTTTTATGACTAGGTTCTTTTACTTAGCATAATGTTTTCAAGGTTCACCCATGCCGTAGGATGTATCTGTACTTCACTCAATTTTGTGGCCAAATAATATTCCATTGTATGGATACATTACATTTTGCTTACTCATTCATCAGTTGATAAACATCTGGATTGTTTTCATCATTTAAACTCCGTTCTTTCACTTTTTCTAGAACAGGGACTGTTGTTCCAGATGTACTTTACTTCTATCAACTGAACCTCTTTAAATGTTCAAAATGTAACTAATGATTCCTTTGATCATCTATGGGCATCTACGCAACTAACATGATGAGTATTTTAGACCTTGAGGAAGATGCTAATTCCCAACGCACCAAGAAACTCATGTTTCCCCAGGAGCGTCTTTTATTTATTTCTCTCCAGTTCTGTTAATTTTTTTCTCCCTGGAAAACTCCCAATTTTCATTAAATATCACTTTATTCATGTAGTGGACATAACAACTGGTTAAAAACAGCTTTAGATAAGAATAATGCCTTGGCAGGCTTGTTAGGCTGCCTGGTGACTTCTTAGAACTTGGTGTTTTTTTGTTTGTTTGTTTGTTTGCTTTTTTTGAGATGGAGTCTTGCTCTGTTGCCCAGGCTGGAGTACAGTGAGACAATCTCGGCTCACTGCAGCCTCCACCTCCTGGGTTCAAGCGATCCTCCTGCCTCAGCTTCCTGAGCAGCTGGGATTACGGGCGCATACCACCACATCTGGCTAATTTTTATAATTTTTAGTAGAGCTGGGGTTTTGCCATGTTGGCCAGGTTGGTCTCAAACTCCTGACCTCAAGGTGATCCGCCCGCCTCAGCCTCCCAAAGTGCTAGGATTACAGGTGTGAGCTACCGTGCCCGGCCCTGGTGTTTTTTTTTTGTTTTTGTTTTTTTTTTTTTTTTTGAGACAGGGTCTTGCTCTGTTGCTCAGGCTGGAGTGCAGTGGCATGATCTCAGATCACTGCAATCTCTGCCTCCTGGGTTCAAGCAATTCTGCCTCAGCCTCCCGAGTAGCTGGGATTACAGGCGCCCACCACCACACCCGTCTAATTTTTGTATTTCTTGGTAGAGATGGAGTTTCACTGTTGGTCAGGCTAGTCTCAAATTCCTGACCTTAGGTGATCTGCCTGCCTTGACCTCCTAAAGTGCTGGGATTACAGGTGTGAACCACCATGTCTGGCCGTTTTTTTTTTTCCCCTTCCTGGGCTATAGTTTTTAGCAAATCATCTCCATTCCTATACTCCCTCCACCCCACCTGACTTTTCTGGGGGCTTTTTTAGCTCCTAGTGACCTCCTACGTTTGGCTCCCTGGCTTGCCTTTGAGTGACAGATCTAAGGAAATTGGACCTGCTTGTTAATTCTTACCCTTGGTTTTATCTCTGCCCAGCCTCATGCTCTCTGAACTTCATGATCTCCTCTATGAAGTCTTCTTCAGCCTCTGAACTCTCACTCCCTCCTCTGGGTTCCCACGGCCCTGGCACACCTTGTTACTAGAGCATTTAATGTAATTATCTAACTTTCTCTCATTAGACTATAGCTCTAGTCTCTGTTCATCTCTGTATCTTCAGTACCTACACAGCAGTGCTAGGTTTATTGTAAGGGCTCAGGGTCCACAATGTTATGCCACCACCATCAGTGTGGCTGTGTGGAATCTGGATCTTCAGGTAATTTTCCTGTGGTATTGGCTGCCTTCTACTTGTGATTCTGTGAGGGTGCTATCTTGTATGCACCTAAGTAGCATGTATTTGTCTTAAGACATCTTCCCAGGAAGCTGTTTTTCTTACTTCGGTTCTATTTCACTACCAAAGGACATGTAAAACAGGTGGGGCGCATCTGGGCCTCCATCCAGAGCCAGCTGGGCCATGTTCTGGGGGAATATTTAAGCCTTAGCGATGTATTTGCATACTTAGTTCACTAGGTTGCAATCCTAAATACTTTTGGAATTGACATGCTTACTCCTCTTTAAATAAAGAGTCCAGCTAGAGAAATGGGGAAAAAACAAGGGGTTTGGGCATATGTGTTTTGGGGGGAAGGTTCTGTTATCCCTTTGAACTCTAATTAAAAAAATGCCTAAAACAGGCTGGGCGCAGTGGCCCACATCTGTAATCTCAGCACTTTGGGAGGCCGAGGCGGGTGGATCACCTGAGGTCAGGAGTTCGAGACCAGCCTGGACAACATGGTGAAACCCCGCCTCTACTAAAAATACAAAAAATTAGCCGGGCGTGCTGGCACAAGCCTGTAATCCCAGCTACTCAGGAGGCTGAGGCTGGAGAAGAATCGCTTGAACCTGGGAGGCAAAGGTAGCAGTGAGCCGAGATCGTGCCACTGCACTCCAGCCTGGGCAACAAGAGCAAAACTCCATCTCAAAAAAAAAAAAAAAAAAAAAAAAAAAATCCTAAAACAAGAGAAAAGAAAGGTGGTGTCCAAAGAAGTCTTTTGAAGTTATACTCGAATTGAAAAACCAGCACGAACAATATTTCTGTAGATGTTACATACACATATCACAGGGGTTCTGCCTGCTAAGACTGTTCACTTTTACTGACATCTTCTGAGTAAATGAGAACAAAAAATCCTAGGTCCCGGAACAAGATCAGAACCAGCCTTACCTCCACACATGTCTGCATGTGGTGGGAAATGACTTTGGAAGCAAGTCTCAGAGCTACACTCTGAATTTCAGATCTAGAAAAATAAACAAACAAAAAAACAACACAAAATTACAATCAGACATATTTCATACACCGGTTTTTGCAGATAGTCTGTAATCCATGCAGAGGTGAATACTGAAAATCTCTACCTCCTGGTTACAAAAATGCCTCCGGAAGCAATTACCTTTTGGTTATTAATGCAAATCACTGACATCATTCTATTGCTTGAGTTTAGAACTCTTAGGCTGAGGTTTAGAATGAAATACAGGACCTGAGACCTGAGGGCAGGATTGTGTGCAAGTTCATTACATAATGACTGATGGGACCATACATCTTACCAAGGTTGCACAGGAGGTTTTGGGGGCAAACCTTTCATTGGAAGCAATATCCATCGTCCAGATCAAGAACTCCTTTGGGGTCAGATGGACACAGTGCTCCGTCTGGGGAAGCCACTCACCAGGGTCCATGCAGTGGAGAATTTTCAGTATCTGTGTAAGCCAAATCCGCACACAAAAAAGAGAAATAAATACTCAGGGAGATGTCTCTAGATGTTACATGATAATCAATTGTATCAACAAGAGGTCTACCTTTCAAAAGGCTCCCACTGACTTCTTATTTCCCCCATAATACCTTTGGGAGACTGAGGCAGAGTGATGCAATGACTAACCAGAGGGCCTCTAGTGACTTGGGATGGGAGCCAGATGCCCTGATTTTAGGCCAGTGCCCTTTCCTTTTGATTATGCTTCCCAGGTGGCCAACTGCCCTGAAATAGCCATGTCAGCAAAGACTACCTCTGACACACTCTACAGTGAATTTTTAATGATCTGTTTCCTAAACATCCCAAAGTGGTTTGCTCTGTCTTTGGTTAATCTCTGCCATCAATACTCCTATCATCAAAAGCTTTTCTTGGTGCCCTACCAGGTATGACGCCATGCCAACCACCATAAAAAGAGAGTCCTTATCCACTGGCTGCCGAATCTACTTCCTATTGCCCCTGGAGAGCCTAAACCCAATCTTGCCTTCATGATCCTACCATTCCAGTGGCTCACAAAAGAATGTGGGGAGTGTAAAGGGCCAGTCAGTACGTTGGAGACTTTACCTTGCAGAAGCATTCTGGGTGATTTTCCTTCATGGCCAACAATAAGAACTTCTCTCCCATGTTGCACAGCAAGGGTGGCACGCCCTTCTCTCCAAGTCCAGAGGCTGCTGCTAAGAACTTTTCCAAGAGGGCTTCCAGTGTTAGTGAGCGCACTTCAGGGAAGGCAGATTCTAACAGCTGAGAGAAAGAGATGGGGACATTCGTCTCCCGCTCTCCACTCTTGGCTGCCGCGGCCCACACTGCAGCAATGGCTAGTCTGGTGAGGCTCTGGAGGTACTGGGGCAGGCCTGGCACCTTGAAGGCCCAAGGGAATCCCGTTATCAGCTCTGATCCTGAGATAATCCCTCTGACTTCCTCCCAGAAGCCAAGACTCTCCAGAACTAAGAAGCAAAAAAAGCAAAAGGGAAAGAGATAATCACTTTAAATTTCCACAAAAGGACATGAAAGAATGAAGACTGAATCCACTGCGTGAGGCCATCAGATGTCTCCCATAAGCAGATTTCAAACACTGTCATAAGTGAGTGGCCCTCTAAGGTTCAGACTTCTAGTCCACAACAATTTCCATTTAGGTAATGTATAATTTTTCCAACAGGGGCACAAAGGCATTACTATTAGAAAATGCGTTCCTGGCACCCCTCCTCAACATTCAATAAATACGAACTCAGTGACCTCTTATCACCGAGCCTCAAAGCTGACCATGAGAAGAGGACATCTAGTATAAACTTCCTTCAGGGGTGAAGCTCCCCTCTGTAACACCCTTTCCCAGAAGCTCTTGGTTGAACCCTACAGTACCCTGGAGCTCATGAGACAGCTTATTCCATTGTTAGTAGATCTAATTGTCAAAAAGTTCTTTTTGTGTTTCTACTCACTGGCCTAATGCTACATTTTGAGGCTCCCAATGACAGCTCTTTAGACATTTGATTACAATTCTTGTGTCCCCTCTGTCTTCTCCAGATGAAACATTCCTACTTCCTTCCTCAAATGATGGGGTCACTGTCTCTCATTATTCTAGCTGCTTTCCTGTGGACATGCCTCACCCTCTCTTAAAGGATGGCCAATAGGCTGGATCACAAATCTCCTGCATGGTTTGACCCGCAGGACTATTACTTTCTCTGTTCTGAACTGGAGTTGCATCACACTGTTGACTCATATGGAGCACAAAGTCAACTGAAACCACAGCCCTTCTTTTTTGACGTGGTCTACTGATGGTGGTGAGTCATCTTTCTCCCACTTTGTACTCAGTACTTAAGCCAAGATGTGTTTTCTTTGTTTATTTTAAGCCCAAGTATATCCCTGTTAAATTTTATCCTCCTGTTAAGTTTTATGGTCTACCTTTCATTTGCCGAGATCTTTTCATATTCTCAGTTCTGATTAAAAAAATAAAAAAACCAAAAACTTATTGCCTGCTTACTATGTGCTAGGAGCTAAATAAGATCACTGCCCTTAAGGAGTTTATAGTCAGTCTAGTTTGAGAAAGAGAAATGCATGAACACATAATTCCAATATAGTGGTACAAATGATAACCTAGGCCTCAAAGAGGAAGACAGGTGACAATGTGTTAGCACCACCAAAGGCAGGGGAACCAGCTGAGCAAAGGCTCAACAAAGGCATGAAACAGAACGGACCATGTGGGGAACTACAGGCCATCCCATAACACTGGAGCATAAAATTTGAGGTGGGAAAGGGCAGGAGATGAGGCTAGGGAAGAAATGTGGCTAGAGTACAGAAAGCCTCCTAGACAATGTGAAGCAGCTAGTTCTGTATGCAACGGAATGCCACTGGGGGGTTATTTTAAGCAGTAAGGTCAGGGGCCCATTTTCACTGAAGTGCTCTTATCGTTGAGGAGGCAATATTAGAGGCAGGGAGACCAGTTACAACACTACTGCACCGTAGTCCAGGAGAGAAATAAATGACGAGGGCCTTAAGTTCAGAAGGAATCAGGAGAAGGTGGGTTTAAGAAACGCTGAAGGTCTGAAGCCAAGGTGATCATTTAAAAAGGCAAAAAAGAAAGAAAAAAAAACACTGAAGGGATAAAACTGGCAGGACTAGGGAATGAGGGTGCGGACTAGGGTAGGAGTCTCGGGTACCTCCCAGCACCCAGTTCTTCACACATGTTCATCATCTAATAGAAATTGGGTAAACCAGCTGGGCGTGGTGGCTCATGCCTGTAATCCCAACATTTTGGGAGCCCAAGGTGGGAGGACTGCTTGAGCCCAGGAGTTTGAGACCAGCCTGGACAACACTGTGAAAATCTATTTCTACAAAAAATAAAAAGTCAGCTGGGTGGGGGATCACTTGAGCCCAGGAGGTTGAGGATGCAGTGAGCCAGGATGCTGACACTGCATTCCAGCCTGGGCGACAAAGTGAGACCCTATCTCAAAAACGCATACAAAGTAGTTGGCAAACTTCAATTTCACAGGAATGCCTAAATGCCCAAAATCAAATAATTACTAAAAATGTGGGCAAGCTGGAGGGTGGAGGCCTTTGGTGAGCAGGCTCCCTGCTGGCCCTTGCCTCAAACGCTCTTCCAGGCTCTCACTAATTCATTAACTAGCCCTCTTCGGTTTGAGTCATCCCCCACTTATGAATCCTCTTAATTGTATCATTCTGTCCATGAAGTTTTATCTACAAGAACTTATGACAGACTTCACCAAATGCCTTGCCAAAATTTAGATATTATATTCATAGCATTCTCTGATAAATCCTGACAACTGTACCCAAGATGTTAACAAGTTTATCCTGGATTGGCTTACCAGACAGCATTTAAGTGATACGCATTTATAGCTAATAAAACACCGTTTATATTTATCATCTCATTATAACTCAGAGAACTCTGCTGACTTCTAGAAAACTAACATAAACATAATGCATATGTAAAACATTCAGGTAACAGAAAAATTTATTTGAAATTGAAAATTTGCATAGACTTGCAATAATTCGAGATTTAAAAATATAGAGTATTTATGTAACACATCAAATTGTTTCAAAGTCTGTCACAGGGGGCAAAATGGGGACTGGACTTGGGCTCCAACATGATGGGACCCCAGGGAGGCCACCATCTGGGGCTGCAGACAAACCTCTACTGTTTTTTTTTTTTTTTTTTTGAGATGGAGTCTCGCTCTGTCGCCCAGGCAGGAGTGCAGTGGTGCGATCTCGGCTCACTGCAACCTCCACCTCCAGGGTTCAAGTGATTCTCCTGCCTCAGCCTCCTGAGTAGCTGGGATTACAGGAGCATGCCACCACGCCTGGCTAATTTTTGTATATTTAGTAGAGACAGGGTTTTGCCATGCTGGACAGGCTGGTTTCGAACTCCTGACCTCGTGATCTGCTCGCCTCAGCCTCCCAAAGTGCTGGGATTACAGCGTGAGCCACCGTGCCCGGCCATACCGCTACTCTTAACTCAGACACTGCAGAATTCCCAGCTCACCAGGAGGCATCTTTTTATTTTTTTATTTTTTTGGAGACAGAATCTCCCTCGGTCACCCAGGCTGGAGTGCAGTGGCACAATATTGGCTCACTGCAACCTTCGCCTCCCCGGTACAAGTAATTCTCCTGTCTCAGCCTCCAGAGTAGCTGGAAATACAGGCACACGCCACCACACCCAGCTAATTTTTGTATTTTTAGTAGAGACAGGGTTTCACCATGTTGCCCAGGCTGGTCTCAAACTCCTGACCTCAGGTGATCTGCCCGCCTCGGCCTCCCAAAGTGCTGGGATTACAGGTGGGAGCCACTGAGCCCAGCCAGGCAGTATCTTTATAAAGCAGTGGGGGAAACCCTGGGCAGCTGGGATCTTCAACCTCTGTGTCATCTCTGTTTCAATGTCTAAAAACCGAATCTCATAACAATCTAATAATAATAAGAGCACAGTACTATCATCTCCAGGTACCATTTCCCTATCCTTCCTACCCACTGCTGCTAGAGGACAGCATTACATTCAAAAGGAATTTCATTTATTTGGCACAGTCAGAAATATGGCTCAGAAATCTGCTCTTAAAATTGTAATTAACGGCCGCCCGGGAGGCAGCGGCTGGAGGAGCGGACGGGCCCCGCGGGGCCCGAGGGCAAGGAGCAGCCGCCTGCCTTGGCCTCCCAAAGTGCCGAGATTGCAGCCTCTGCCCGGCCGCCACCCCGTCTGGGAAGTGAGGAGTGTCTCTGCCTGGCCGCCCATCGTCTGGGATGTGAGGAGCCCCTCTGCCTGGCTGCCCAGTCTGGAAAGTGAGGAGCGTCTCCGCCCGGCCGCCATCCCATCTAGGAAGTGAGGAGCGCCTCTTCCCAGCCGCCATCACATCTAGGAAGTGAGGAGCGTCTCTGCCCGGCCGCCCATCGTCTGAGATGTGGGGAGCGCCTCTGCCCCGCCGCCCCATCTGGGATGTGAGGAGCGCCTCTGCCCGGCCGAGACCCCGTCTGGGAGGTGAGGAGCGTCTCTGCCCGGCCACCCCGTCTGAGAAGTGAGGAGACCCTCTGCCTGGCAACCACCCCGTCTGAGAAGTGAGGAGCCCCTCCGCCCGGCAGCTGCCCCGTCTGAGAAGTGAGGAGCCTCTCTGCCCGGCAGCCACCCCATCTGGGAAGTGAGGAGCGTCTCCGCCCGGCAGCCACCCCGTCCGGGAGGGAGGTGGGGGGGGGTCAGCCCCCCGCCCGGCCAGCCGCCCCATCCGGGAGGGAGGTGGGCGGTCAGCCCCCCCGCCCGGCCAGCCGTGCCGTCCGGGAGGGAGGTGGGGGGGTCAGCCCCCCGCCTGGCCAGCCGTGCCGTCCGGGAGGGAGGTGGGGGGGTCAGCCCCCCGCCCGGCCAGCCCCCCCGTCCGGGAGGTGAGGGGCGCCTCTGCCCAGCCACCCCTACTGGGAAGTGAGGAGCCCCTCAGCCCGGCCAGCCACCCCGTCCGGGAGGGAGGTGGGGGGGTCGGCCCCCCGCCCGGCCAGCCGCCCCGTCCGGGAGGGAGGTGGGGGGGTCGGCCCCCCGCCCGGCCAGCCGCCCCGTCCGGGAGGGAGGTGGGGGGGGATCAGCCCCCCCGCCCGGCCAGCCGCCCCGTCCGGGAGGTGAGGGGCGCCTCTGCCCGGCCGCCCCTACTGGGAAGTGAGGAGCCCCTCTGCCCGGCCAGCCGCCATCCGGGAGGGAGGTGGGGGGGTCAGCCCCCCGCCCGGCCAGCCGCCCCGTCCGGGAGGGAGTGTGGGGGGGGTCAGCCCCCCGGCCCGGCCAGCCGCCCCGGCCGCCCCTACTGGGAAGTGAGGAGCCCCTCTGCCCGGCCACCACCCCGTCTGGGAGGTGTGCCCAACAGCTCATTGAGAACGGGCCAGGATGACAATGGCGGCTTTGTGGAATAGAAAGGCGGGAAAGGTGGGGAAAAGATTGAGAAATCGGATGGTTGCCGTGTCTGTGTAGAAAGAAGTAGACATGGGAGACTTTTCATTTTGTTCTGCACTAAGAAAAATTCCTCTGCCTTGGGATCCTGTTGATCTGTGACCTTACCCCCAACCCTGTGCTCTCTGAAACATGTGCTGTGTCCACTCAGGGTTAAATGGATTAAGGGCGGTGCAAGATGTGCTTTGTTAAACAGATGCTTGAAGGCAGCATGCTCGTTAAGAGTCATCACCACTCCCTAATCTCAAGTAATCAGGGACACAAACACTGCGGAAGGCCGCAGGGTCCTCTGCCTAGGAAAACCAGAGACCTTTGTTCACTTGTTTATCTGCTGACCTTCCCTCCACTGTTGTCCCATGACCCTGCCAAATCCCCCTCTGTGAGAAACACCCAAGAATTATCAATAAAAAAAAAATTAAAAAAAAAAAATTGTAATTAACAACAGGAAGAACTATCTGGGCTGTTCTGGATATAGTCCAGGCTGAGTGTAAGTATAGTCTGCTGGACTTGAGAGTTGGACACCCAGACCCATTTTTCTGGTCTGGGGCCTTAAGAAGGGATGATATCACCAGGAAGCCAGGGAATGAAGGCACTACCCCAAAGAAGGAGGAGATGGGGAGCAAGCATGCTGATGAGTGTAATGAAGGTAGACATTCCTTTGGGACTTCTTGACCTACACTGCCTGTGACTTGAGTATTAACTCTTTAAGTATTTCCTAAGCATATACAGGTTGAGCATCTCTAATCTGAAAATCTGAAATCCAAAATGCTCTAAGATCGGAAACTTTTTACGTGTTGAAATGGTGCCATAAGTGGAAAATTCCACACCTGACCTAATGCAGTCAACACACAGATGCAGTTTATTCAGTGTCCCCAAGGGAAAAATAAGATCACCTTCCGGTTATGTGTATAAGGTATGTATGAAACATAAATGAATTCTGTGTTTAGACTTGGGTTCCATCCCCAAGATGTCTCATTATATATGCAAATATTTAAAAAAAAAAAACCCAAACCTGAAATCTGAAACATGTTTGGTCCCAAGCATTTTGGATAAAGGAAGCTTAACTGCATTAGGTACTTTGGGAGATACAGAGATGCAGAGCTGAGAAAGAAAAAGATCTGCTTCAAAGAGCTTTAAGACCAATGGGAGGACAAAGAACAAGTACACAATAATAACTATAAAAATCTAGCCGGGCGCAGTGGCTCACGCCTGTAATCCCAGCACTTTGGGAGGCCGAGGCGGGCAGATCACCTGAGGTCAGGAGTTTGAGACCAACCTGGCCAACATGGTGAAACCCCGTCTCTACTAAAAAAAATACAAAAATTAGCTGGGCGTGATGGTGGGCACCTGTAATCCCAGCTACTCAGGAGGCTGAGGGAGGAGAATCGCTTGAACCCAAGAGGCGGAGTTTGCAGTGAGCCAAGATAGGGCTGCTGCACTCCAGCCTGAGCAACAGAAGAGACTCTGTCTCAAAAACAACAACACCAACAAAAACCTATAAAAATCACAAAATGTTTAGTGTCCTAAAATTGTTACTAATAAAAGCTGAAATTTGGGCTGGGCACAGTGGCTCATGCCTGTAATCCCAGCACTTTGGGAGGCCAAGGTGGGCAGATCACCCAAGGTCAGGAGCTTGAGACCAGCCTGACCAACATGGCGAAACCCCGCCTCTACTAAAAATACAAAAAATTAGCCAGGTGTGGTGGTGCATGCCTGTAATCCCAGCTACTCCGGAGGCTGAAGCAGGAGAACTGCTTGAACCTGTGACGCGGAGGTAGCAGTGAGCCGAGATTGTGCCACTGCACTACAGCCTGTACAAGAAGAGCAAAACTCTGTCTCAAGGCAAAAAAAAAAAAAAAAAGCTGACATTTGTTGAGTATTTACATGTCATGTACTATTCTGTAATTACAAAATATTACATACCCATGATTTAATGCTACGAATAAAAATTACTTTTATTTATTTTTTTGAGACAGAGTCTCTGTCACCCAGGCTGAGTGCAGTGGCACCATCTCGGCTCACTGCAACCTCCGCCTCCCGGGTTCAAGCAATTCTCCTGCCTCAGCCTCCCAAAGTGTTGGGATTACAGGCGTGAGCCACCGTGCCAGAACAAAAATTACTTTTAGAATTGACACTTGTTGATATTATTCTGAGCACCTAGACAAGATTTAACTCTTTAATGAGGTAGGCTCTATTATTATTATTATTCCCATTTTACAGATGAGGAAACAGAGAGGTGAAGTTACTTGCTCAAGGTCACTAAGGAAAAGGTAGGTAAAGAGAATACACACTAAAGCCATATGAAAGACCAAAATGAATGCGATGGCACTGATATTCTACTGGAAGAAATGGAAAAAGGGCTTTCAAGAGGCAACACAATTTAAGGTGGGCCCTGAGGCTGCACAGGAACCTTGCTGGGAGAGGAGAGGAAAGGGCAAACGTGTCAGGGAGAGTTAGGAGAGAACAGACACAGAGAGACCTTTAAATAAGTTTGCTGAATTAATGTGTCAACAGAGGAGCAGCAAGAGAGGTTAGACCTAGAGCCAAAAGGGAGGAAATTATCAAGTGACATTCATTTAGGCACTTTCTCCAAACTGCTGCTTGGAAAAAATATTCTGTTTGTGCAGCAACTCGGACTCAAGGAGATGCCCCGAAGGGCTTGTGAAACCACGGACTGCTGCCTCGACCTCACCCCAGAGTTTCTGATTCTGCAGGTCCTGGGATGGGGCTGATGATTTGCATTTTCAACAAGCTCACAGGTGAAGCTGCTGCTGCTGATCCAGGTATTTTAAAAACCACTGCCCTCAAGTAAAGGTAATGACTAATGATATTAAAACCACACATGCCTGAATCCCACTCTTGTAGATTCTGATTCAGTTGGTTTCAAGTTGGGCGCAGACAGCTGTAATCTTAAGAACTGGCAGGTAATTCTGCTCTGCACCCCAGCTGAGAACCACACTCCTCAGGGCCAACTTTCACGCGGGTTGGCAGGGTTTATGGGTGGGTAGGGCACTGGAGTTTCACGCAGAGCACGTATGATTCCAGCGCAGGACTTCACAGTAGTGAAGAACTAGAAAATTCACCATGCCCCAATTTCTCTTTCAAATAAAAACACCAAAGGAGAGAAAATAACCAAGAATTCAAAAGAACGAATACGCACTATGAATGTTCCTGGCAGGCAGGCCAGCCACCTGGCCAGACCTTCAGCAATGTAAACACTGGCTCGTTGTGTGCAGGTTCTGTTCTAGGTCTAGATGCAGCAGTGAATTAGACCTGGCTTTGCTCTCATGGAGCTCCAACTGGGTGGGGACCACAGGAACCATATTCCCCTATTCCATCTCAGTACCCAGAGTGAGAGGGTCTCTAGGTGGAACAGAAGGTTGGAGGCAGGAATGTCCAATACCTCAGCATAAGCTACTGCAGCAGCTAACAAAGAAATGCTGCTTTTCTCTTGCACAGTGGTTCTCAGCCCAGAAAGCACATTACATTAATCTGAGAGCTTTAGAAAAATACTCATGTCAGGGGACACTTGACCACATCTCTGGGGTGAAACCTAGCAGTCTAGTTTTAAAGTGACCTAGGTACAGCAGGGATTGACGGCTACTGTTTTAGTGGTACAGTCTGTTTCCCACTGCAGGTAGAGTTCGTCAAAGGGTTTTCACAATCGGGATTTTTCCCTGGTGCAACAACGTTTGTGTCCTGCCATAAAGAGTCTAGATGAACACGTGGTACTTATTTTCATTTCTATGAGTGCCCTTCGTTTGCAGGACACAAATAACTGAAGTTTGATCCAGTCTGAAGTTTAGCAGCCTTCTTCTTTAGCAGACTGTAATTTTTAAACCTTCTTTGCCTTTTTTTTTTACAAAGGAAAAGAGATGGTTTATCACAAGCTGATCTTGAACTCCTAGGCTCAAGTGATCCTCCCACATCTGCCTCCTGAGTACCTGGGACTATAGGTGCATGCCACCACACCCATCTGAAACCTTACCTTTTCTACTTGCAACCTCAACTTTGATAGATTTGGGTTTCTTCTTTGTTGGAAAGCCCAAATGTTTGAGTGAAAGAATCAAGTCCCTGCTTTAATGGCCCCATCGTACTTTTCCTAAGTTAGAGTGATTTTTTTCTAACTCTTCCTGGCTGGAGCTTTTTTCAGCCCTCCTTGTTTGGAAAGTCTTTGTACTTTCCCACCAGTGCAGTCAACTCAGCCACTCAAGTATGTGTGACTGATTCTTGCATCCAATTTGATTTCATTTTTGGAATTAACTTTTTTTTTTTTTTTCACTCTTTGGAGCAAGTAAATTTCTGGCCTTCAAGGGAATGGCTGAATGGCTGGATTCACATGGAAGGACAATACCTCCTACTGTGCTATGTCCTGGTTTCCTGGAGAAGTAATTCCTAATGAAATGTCACAATGTGGCAGACTGGTGTAAGTTGCCAGCTTTTTATTTTGCAAAGGATGTTAAAAACCTACTATCTATTATCACTTCATGAAAGAAAGTCTCTTATGCCCCAAAAGGGAAAAAATCATAGTGTCATCATAAAAGATAATTTAAAGAAATTTGTTTTTAAGAAAAAGATGTAGCCAGGTATCGTGGCGTGCACCTGTAGTTCCAGCTAGCTGGGAGGCTGAGGCAGGAGGATTGCTTGAGCCCAGGAGTTTGAAGCTACAGTGTGCTATAAGCACACCTGTGACTAGCCATTGCACTTCAGCCTGGGCAACATAGTGAGACCCTATCTCTAAAAACTAAAAACTAAGAAACTAAAAAAAACTAAAAAAAAAAGACAAATTTGCTATAGTATCATTTTGCTATAGCTTCCTTGTGCCATGGGCTGGTGAAATCACCAGGGAGCAGCACTAGTGAATTACAGCTTTGGAGAAGTTGATAAAAGCTTCTTGAGGCTAGTCTGTTTGGATGGCATAACTATTAGGAACCTCTATTCTCAGGAAGAAACTGAAGGAACTTTGCAGAGTCCTTCATGGCACTGAGGAGTGTTTTGCATAAAGGAGTATGGTGGCCCATTCACACAATTCCTTTGGTAATATCAGATGTGTTATCTTAGCAGTGTTTGGTTCTTTGGTAGGTTGGAGATTCCAGTGTAATGTCTGCAACATGAACAGTCATTGTGAAAGTTAACTTTAGATATCAAAACTGCCACTCCCTAACTAACCAAGGGAGAGTGCTAATTTTGACAGGCTGCTGAAAGAGGATTTAACAGTAGCACAGACCTTGAGCAGGGATGGCATCATACTTAGCATGTCCTGTTCTATTATTTAGGGCAGTCTCTCTCCTCTCTAGAGGAGAAGCATAACCCAAAAGGGAAGGCCTGTGGGCCATTCACCTTTGCTCTTCTGAGCTACTCATATAGGTTTGTTAAATTAAAAAAAAAATCAATATAATTTTTAAAAGATGCATGTTAATCTAAATAGCTTTAACAAGGGCATTCTGAAAAAAAAATGGTAATATCATTACCACATAATTATGGATACAGTGAAGTTACATCATAACAGCATTTAATTTAGGTGAATTTAACTTTAGGTGGGGCCGGGGGTGGGGGAGGAATAATAATTAGAGAGGGCAGTTTCCCCTGGCATTCCAATCAGTGGTCAATGTCCCATGTAGGGTTGCTGTACTGTTACCTCAGACCGGCGGTTCTCAAACTTTAGCTGCTCACCCCAAGTTTCTAATTTCAGTAAGTCTGAGCAGGGCTCCCCAAAAGTTACATTTCCTAACAAATTCCCAGGTAATGCTGATGCTGCTGGGGCAGGGACCGCACTTTCAAGGCCTCCACCTCAGACCATCTGACATCATCCATGCTTTCCACAGTGTAAACATCTTGCCATGCTGAATGTGTGTAATTCTAGTGTTTAATGGTATTTGTTTTTGTACACCATGGCCCTTCATCATAAGTCAACCCCTTCATCTAGTGCTCAGAGAGCTCCTGCATATTATACAGTTCCTGGCCTTCACTCTTACGTCACTCATCAAGACAGCCTGATTGTCTTGTGCCAAAATAAAAAGGGCAAGAAAGAAAAAATGCAAGGCCCAGAGTGACAACATTTTCTCGGTCCCAGCAAAGATGACTATGGGGGAGGCAAAGCCCCGGTAATCACACACAACTTGTTCTATTTAGAAGCAGCAGTCAGTATCCATGAAGGCAGAAGGATCCTCCTCAGGACTGAAAAGACCAACCCAACAACAACAAAAAAATGGTTTCACTACTACAAAATGTCACTTATAAGTGCAAATGGCAGTGATACTGGTCGTGCCACCGTGGAAGGTCATCTGAGTCTCAGAAGGCTCCTCATTCTGTCTGCACTTGCACATGTTCTTCCCTCTGCCTCAAAGGAATGAATGAACAAATAAGTGAATTTCTCCTTTGCAGACATAACTGTTCTAAAGTTTTCTCTATTCTCCCCTTTCTCTCCCAGTATCTCCAACCTCCTTAAAAAAGTAGGAGACGAAAAAATACAGAGCAGACTTCATTTTTTTTTTTTTTTTGTGATGGAGTCTCACTCTGTTGCCCAGGCTGGAGTGCAGTGGTGCAATCTCGGCTCACCGCAACCTCCGCCTTTCGGGTTCAAGTGGTTCTGCTGCCTCAGCCTCCCGAGTAGCTGGGATTACAGGCGCCAGCCATCAAGCCTGGCTAATTTTTGTATTTTTAGTAGAGACAGGGTTTTGCCATGTTGGCCAGGCTGGTCTTGAACTCCTGACCTCAGGTGATCCACCCACCTCGGCCTCCCAAAGTGCTGGGATTACAGGCATGAGCCACTGTGCCCGGCCTAGACTTCACTTTCAATGCATAGGGAGACAGCCTGCTTTTTCTATTTTAAAGAATTGTAGCATTGGTCAGAGCTCTGTAATCAGATCCAACAAAAGTTTTTATCTGAAATGGTGGATAAACTGGTTCTAAAAATAATCACAGATGATAATTTGTACACTCTTAACGTCAATGTCCTGTTATGCAATTTCTCCGTTAAAAAAATTATATTTGTAGAGAAAAGGAAACCATAGGAACAACAACAACAATAACAACAGAATAAACTGACTTAATAAATCTTGGCTTCTCCTTATCAAAGGGAAATTCCACTCTTCTATTTAATCCTTGACCCTCCCAGTAAACTGTAATCCTGACCCCAGGGGCCCCTCCAGTTACAAACATGTTGAATGACCTGGTGGAGGGATTTGGAAACTAACTTTGTCTCACCCTGAACTAGTACTGGTTGTTTATTTCTTGCCTTGGTTTGTTTCTGGTTCTCTGAACCCCATCATCTCTGCTTACACAGGTGTGGCCCCCATCACACACACCCCTTGGAAAACATTCCTACTTTTCCTTGTCCCAGCATACTCTCAAAGGCATGTATTTTTCAAGTGTAGGATTCCCGATCGGCTGCTGAGGAAGGAGGATGTGCTTCTGAGGATACTCTAAAGACTATCCTGGCAGCCCATAAAATCAAAACACAGCCCCTCTGGCCTGGGAGACAGCAGAGCCAGAAGAGCTCAAAGGATCTGGGTAGGCTAAAGATGAGCTCACCAGGCCCTGGGTGGGACCCACAGCTTTTACTATTGCCTCCACCCACCATCCCATCTCAGCCTTTGCCCAACACAGGGAGGAAGTCCAGAACTACTGTGGATAAACACATGACAACCCAAAGACACAAACATAGTTATTTCTAAGCATACACTACTTCTGGTTTCCTTTCCCCTTTTCTTTCTCCTTTCCCCTTTCCTTTCCTTTCCTGTCCATCCCTCCCTCCCTTCTTCCCTCCCTCCCTCCCTCCCTTCTCTCTCTCTCTCTCTCTGTCTTTCTTTTTTTGAGACAGGGTCTTACTCTTGTTACCACGCCGGAGTGCAGTGGTATGATCGCAGCTCACTGCAGCCTTCCCGGGCTCAGGAAGCAATGGAAATGAGTCTGGGAGGTGATTCTCCCAACTCAGCCTCAGTCCCAGGGAGCTGTGACTACAGGCACGAGCCCCCATGCCTGGCTAATTTTTTGTATTTTCTGTAGAGATGGGGTTTTGCCATGTTGCTCAGGCTAGTCTTGAACTCCTGGGCTCAAGCAATTTACCTGCCTTGGCCTCCCAAAGTGTTGGTACTACAGGTGTGAGGTACTGCGCTCGGCCTACTTCTGGTTCTTTCGGCGAATTGGTCCGAAGAACAGGATTGGGAATCAGAAATTTGTCCACCATGACCCTGTTTAATTTAAACTCTAACTCACAAAGGACCTGGGGCTTCTCTTCCACACTTAGTCCATGGGATACTGCAAAACCAACTTGGGAGTCAACTGCTAACTGGGAAGATTCCTTTACATAATGGGCTTACCTCTGTTGCCTCACCTGTAGTAAGAGAGGCTAGGATCACCCATCTCAGTCCCTTGCTAGTGCTACAATTTAGTTCTGGGAATGCCCCTGGGGTTGAGGGTCTGTAGAGTCTGAGACTGAAGAGGTTCCTGGCACCAAATCATCTGTGATGTTGCAAGGTGCAGTATACAGCTGCTAGCAAAATCCAACAAAATCTGGTTGTACTAGGAGTGCTCCTATTTTAATGTGAAGTCCAGCCCCAACATGGAGAGAGGAGTTAGGTTAATTCTGCCAGGTAATCAATGGAAATGAGCCTGGGAGTCAGGATCCAGCTGCTTCCACCCTGGATGTGATGGCCATTCATTTCTTTGTTCTTGCTATCAGTTTTATCTCTTGATAGCTGCTGTTCTCCCAATGTTGGCTTTTTCTTGTAATGTGACTATTCACAATTTTTATGACATTTATCCCAATCCTCTGAGGGTATTATGCCCACTTTACAGTTGAAGAACCAAGAGGCCTCAAGACAAGGTGATGGAAGTGATTTTTGCTTCTGTCTATGAAAGATTAACCATTGCAGGAACTGTCCTTCCACCATAAACAATTAGAAAACTGAACAAAATGTATGAAATTATTGTTTTTAATCATTGGATATGAGCAATGCAAGACTCAACAAGAAGACAATAAGGGAAGCATTACAATTGCCTGAGCTTACTGCCAAGAGGCAACTTCTAAGCCCCAGTACAGAGAGGAGGAACCCAGAGCCCAGAGGTCTTGGCTCAGTTGAAACGATGAGATATCAGAGTTTGGGAAGACTCAGGCAGCTGGAATTTGTGGGGCACAATACCGGAGAGAACAAATCTGTATAGTGAGAGAGCTCTGGAGATCTGTAGACCAAGGGACCCTGTGAATCTTTCAGCTGAATACTGATTTGCACATGCAAGGGGTGAAACTCTGAAAGGCTAGAAAAAGAACTGCAGAACTGCAAGAAAGCAGTGAGCTGGACAATTCCTGGAACTCATGTAGGCTCACAATAGTTATGTGTTCTCTCACCCAGAGTAGAGACCTTGTAACACATGGGACATCATGTAGGACCTCAGAAGGATCCTGTTAGAGGAGCTACATTTGCCCTAAACTAAAGGCTCCTCTTTGGATTGAACCCACCAGAACTAAGCTTAAAAGCAAGTCTTGGAAGAATCCAACCAATCCTAAGTAACTCAACTGTGTGCTAAAACAAAGTCCAACACTTTAAAGAATAAAACAAAATCCAATACCTGACAACATAAAATTAACATTGTCTGGCATCTAATAAAAAATTATAAGCACGCAAAGAAGTGGGAAAATATAACCCATAACCAGGAGAAAAAAAATTTAAAAATATCCTAAAATGACAGCAATAATGAAATTAGAAAGTAGAACATGAAAACAGTTACGTACACCTGCTACATATGGTCAAGAATCTAGAGGAAGACTGAACATGATAAAGGGAGATATAGAAGATATAAAAAGGACACAAATGAAACTTCTAGAGATGAACAATACAGTATCTAAAATTAAAAAAAATTCACAAGATGAAAATAATAGCAGAGGCTGGGCATAGTGGCTCACATCTGTAATTCCAGCACTTTGGGAGGCCAAGGGAGGAGGATTGCTTAAGCCTAGGAGTTCAAGGCCACCTGGGCAACACAGTGAGACCCTGTATCATTCTTTTTAAAAGAGAACAGTAGTACGTTATACGCTGCAAAAGAAAAAGTTTGTGAATTTAGAGTCACAAAAGTTGAAGCTATCAAAAGTAAAACAGATTAAAAAAAAAGAATGAGCATCAGCGACATATGGGACAACTTCAAGTGACTTAATTTACATTTGAATGGAATCACAGAAAGAAAGGAAAAAGGGCAAGAGATGGAGGAAATATTTAAAGCAATAATGGTGTTGGGGGCTGGGCACGGTGGCTCACGTCTGTAATCCCAACACTTTGGGAGGCCACGATAGGAGGAGTGCTTGAGCCCTGGAATTCAAAACCAATCTGGGCAACATAGTGAGACCTTGTCTTTACAAGAAATTTAAGAATTAGGGCATGGTGGCATGTGCCTGTAGTCCCAGTTACTCGGGAGGCTGGGGTTGGAGGATTTCCTAAGCCCAGGAGTTTCAGGCTGCATTGAGCCATGATCTCGCCATTGCACTCCAGCATGGGAGACAGTGCAAGACCCTGTCTCTAGAAACGAAGAAAGAAACAAACAAAAAATGGTGCTGAAACATTGGATACCCATACCAAAAAAAAAAAAAAAAAAAAAAAAAAGAATGCCAACCATATCTCATGATACACATGAAAATTAACGTGAGATAGACTACAGATCTAAATGTTAAATGCAAAACTACAAAACTTTAGAAGAAGTTTTGAGGGAGCATCTTTGTGACCTTGGAATAGGCAAGGATTTCTTCACTAGGGCATAAAAAGTCTAAAACACACAAAAAAATGGATAAATTTGACCTTATCAAAATTAAAAATGTCTGCTCTTCAAAAGACAATGTTAAGAAAATGAAAAGGCAAGCCACAGCCAGGTAAAAACTGTGCAAAACATTTACCTGTATAAAGGGCTTGTATTTAGAAAAAACTCTTACAACCCAGTAAGACAAACAACTCGAATTTAAAAAGCAATGTATAAAAGATGTGAATAGGCACTTTACCAAAAAAGACATACATAGTCAAACATGACACATGAAAAGATGCTCAACATTATCAGCCATGCTTCTCATGAATGCAAGGTGGGAATGCAAAGTGGTAAACATTTTGGTAGTTTCTTGTAACATTAAACAATCCTTATCATATGATCCAGTAACCCCTTTCCTAGGTTTTTACCCAAGAGAAATGAAAACATATGACCGAACACTTCTATGTGAATGTTCAGAGCAGCATTATTCACGATCTCCAAAAAGTGGAAACGACCCTAATGACCATCAACTAGTAAATTAGTATAAACAAGCCATACACACAATGGAATACTACTCAGCAATAAAATGTCACAACTCACACCATATTGACAGAATGAAGGATAAAATTACAATATCATCTCAACAGGCACAGCAAGGTCATTTGCCAAAATTCAACATTCTTTTGTGGTAAAAGCACTCAACAAACTAGAAATGGAAAAAAACTTCTCCAACCTGACAAAAGGCATCTATAAAAAACCCACAGCTAACATCATACTTAATGGTAAAAGAGTGAATGCTTTAAGATCCCCTAGGATCAGGAATGAGACAAGATGTCTGCTCTTGCCACTTCTATTCAACACTGTATTGGAGGTTCTAGCCAGAGCAATTAGTCAAGAAAAAAGGAGTCCACAATAGAACCTATTAGAGCTAATAAGTTTGTTCAGTAATGTTGCAGGATAAAAGATCAATATACAAATATCAATTGTAGCTCTATACAGTAGCAATGAACAATCCACAAATGAAATTAAGAAAATAATTCTATTTATAACAGCATCAAAAAGAATAGGAACAAATTATTTAATGAAAGATGTGCATGAAGTATATGTGCACTGAAAACTATAAAACACCCACTGAAATAAATTAAAGAGACCTAAATAAATGGAAAGACATCCAGTGTTTGTGGATTTAAAGACATCATATTGTTATGATGGCAGTACTCTTCAAATTGATCTACAGATTTAATGCAATCCCTATCAAGATTCCAGCTGGCTTTTTCTTTCCTCCCTCCCTCCCTCCCTCCCTTTCCCGCCCCCCCCCCAAACAAGCTGATCCTAAAATTCATGTGAAAATGCAAGGAACCCAGAATAGGCAAAGCAATGTTGAAAAATGAAGAAAGAGGACTCACACATCCTGATTTCAAGTTACTATGAAGTAATGATAATCAAGACAGTGTGCTCCTGGCATAAGGATAGATACATAGATCAATGGAATACAATTAAGAATCGAGAAACAAACCCCTAATTTATGGTCAACTGACTTTTTGACAAGGGTGCCATGACAATTCAATGGGGAAAGGATAGTCTTTTTGAAATACAGTGCTAGGACAAATGGATAGTCACATATGCCAAAGGAATGAGGCTGAATCTGTACCTCCTATCAGATATAAAAATTAACTCAACATGGATCATAAACTTATGAACTAAAACTGTAAAACTTCCAGAGGAAAACATGGGTGCAAATCTTTGTGACTTTGGATTAGGCAATTATTTTAGACATGAAATCAAATGCACAAGCAATAAAAAACAGATACAATGGACTTCAAAACTAAAAACTTTTGTCCATCAAAGGATATTATGAAGACAGTAAAAATCCACAGAAAGGGAGAAAATATTTGCAAACTGTGTGTCTTATAAGGGATTAATATCTTGGACATAAAAAGAACCCTTACAACTTGAGAATAAAAAGAGAAATAACTCGGCTGGGCGCGGTGGCTCACGCCTGTAATCCCAGCACTTTGGGAGGCTGAGGCAGGCAGATCACCTGAGGTAGCGAGTTCGACACCAGCCTGGTTAACATGGTGAACTCCTGTCTCTACTAAAAATACAAAATTAGCCAGGTGTGGTGGCACATGCCTGTAATCCCAGCTACTTGGGAGGCTGAGGCAGGAGAATCGCTTGAAACCGGGAGGCGGAGGTTGCAGTGAACCGAGATCGTGCCATTGCACTCCAGCTTGGGCAACAAGAGCGAAACTCCGTCTCAAAAAAAAAAAAGAGACAACTCACTTAAAAATGCGCAAAGGATCTGAAGAGACCGTTCTTTGAAGATATATAAATGACCAACTAGCACTAGAAAAGATGCTCAAACTCATTAGTCATTAGGGAAATGCAAATCAAAAGCACAATTAGATCCCAGCACTAGGATGGCTATTAATAAAACAGATGGACAGTAAGAGTTGGTAAGGATATTGAGAAACTGGAAACTTCATACACTGGTGGTAAAAATGTAAGATGGTTGCAGACTCTTTGGAAACAATTTAGCAATTCTTCAAAAAGTTAAACTTAGAGTTGGCATATGGCCCAGACATTCCACTTCTAGGTAAATACCCAAGAGAATTGAAAACACAGGTCCCAGCAAAAACTTGCCCATGAATGCTCATAGCAGCATTATTCATAACAACCCAAAAGTGAAAACAACCCAAATGTCCATCAAACTGATGAATGGATAAACAAAATGTGATATCTATATACTGGAATATTATTCAGCCATAAAAAGAACAAAATGACCAACATGGATGAACCTTCAAAACATGTTAAGTGAAAGAATCCACACATGAAAGGCCACAAAGGTATGATTCCATTTACATGAAATATCTTAAATAGACTTTCAAAAACTACTTGCATAAAAATTTAACTGACATGGGCAACTACTTTCAGATTATCTGTGATGTGCAGCTGGAGCTGGGAAAGGCAGGAACAGAGAACACTGAAACCACAGATGTGGCCGGTCATGGTGGCTCATGCCTGTAATCCCAGCACTTTGGGAGGCCGAGGCAGGAGGGCTGCTTAAGCCCAGAAGTTTGAGACCAGCCTAGGCAACAAAGGGAGACCTCTCTCTACAAAATAAAAAATTAAAAACAAAAACAGAAAAACCACTAGGTTGGCATAGTGGCATGCGCCTGTGGTCCCAGCTACTCAGGAGGCTGAGGCAGGAGGATCACTTGGGCCCATGAGGTTGAGGCTGCAGCGAGCCATGACTGTGCCACTGCACTCCAGCCTGGGTGACAAAGCTGCAAAAAAAAAAAAAAAAGAAATCACAGATGTTCTGAGACCCTAGTTGTTGACTAGAACGGTATTTCACTCCTGGGATGAAAATGTGGGTAGAAGGTTTCATGACACGGTTCTGCCACAGACACAACTCTCACATTATATGAGGCCTTTAACTTTGGTCACAGAAATGGACGGTGAATAAGGAGTCAGGAAAGCTCACCCTTTTCACTAACCAGCTGTGTAACCTTGGGTAAGTCACTTAAATTGCTATGATCTCTAAACTAAATTTCTAAAGAATTGTGGGCCTCTGTACTCAGCGCAAGGTTTGGAATTAACAGAGTAAACACCACGTTAACCTAGCAATCTAATAACATACCCTATATTATTCTGACTTCTGAAAGACAGCTAGGAAACATCTGTTATTTTAGAAGCTCACTGTTCCCTGGGAAAGATAATTTTGGCACAAGCAGCAGTTCAGATGACAGTTCCAGTGTTTTGGGGAAAACCAACTAATTTATTGACAACAAAGCCTGTTTTTTTTTTTTTTTTTTCCTCCTCCTTAAAATTTCATAGCTATAGGCCCAGAAATACAAAGTCCCCAGAAGACTCTAAAAATATGTTCTCAATTCCTTTTTATTTCCCACCCAGAGCTGAGAAAACAGCACCAACTGTGTCATATTAAACACATCTGCATCCAACACTGATAAAGTGCATGACCGAGGAACAGATAAGAATTGTTTTCAATTTGTTAAAATGGAAATAGTTAAATTTAACCTAATTAGACTAAATAATCAAAGCAGGTGTTTGTAAGATGCCAGTGTTTGTTTTCATTCTCTGTAACTGTTCAGCTATATTTCCCAGGAACTTAGGTAAAGGAAATTAATATGTCATAAAAATCACTGACCTATTTATTCATGTCACATATGTATTATTCATGTTTTAGGCAGTACAAATACAGGGCATTGTTGAACATTTCTCACAGATTTTACCATTTAAGCATCATCAACATCTAAGCTGGCCTGCAGAGGGGCTTATGTTACCTAACTTCCATTATATAAATACAAGCAGTAATAAATGAGAGCCTGTCTTCTAATCGTACACTGATCTACAGAGCGCACTGACTTGGCATTTAGACTATTTAGGGTTTCTGACTCCACTTGCACAAGCTGGTCACTTTTAAGACATTTAAAAGAAAAATAATAACAATAATAAAAGTTATATTCCAGTTAAAACAAAATGTTTATTGCACTTGGCAGAGTGATGAGATCTGAACTATAAATATCAACTAACAAAGAAACCACAAAATGTAGTCACCAGCAGCCTGGTATTAGGAAGTGTTTTGTGCAGTGGCCATAGGTCCACTTTCCAAGGGAAAAAGGGCAGGTGGCTGCCCGGGAGCAGTCAAGCGTGCTCTTTCTAATAACACGCTCCAGTCCTGGGTAGGCTCTCGTATTATTCCACACACCCTCAGGATGGGAAACAGAAACACAAGCAAGAAAGGCCCCATAAAAGCCTGTGACGTGGAAGCTCCTGAAAAGGGGGTCCCTTCTCTGTGGCCTGGGCATTCTGCAGCAGGGACAGAAGCCTGGGAAGTTGAGTCCACGAAGAGGGTTCTCGGACTCCCTTCCCTAAGCGAGTGACTGATGTTTCCTGACTCTGGCCCTGGTTGTGCCGTGAGGCCACAGTGAGGGCAGCTGGAGAGCTCAGGATCTGCCACCTTAGCACACATGGGATGTTAGGCACTTCTCGCTATGCCTCAGTTTCTGTGGTCTCATGAAGGAACATTAGTACTTTCTTCATTAATGCACATAAAATGCTTGGCAGTGCTTGGCATAGAGATAGATGCTCAATAAATGTTGGCCACTATTATTATAGCCCCCTACAAACAAGGAGGATGAGATTGAAAACAATGTTTCCTAAAAATGAGGGTATAATGGGCATCCTATCCATATTTCAGGGGTAGGAAAACAGCCTTCTGAGATCATTTATATGAAGGGTATGGATGGACAAATCCTTATCAGCCTAAAATATTCCTATCTATGATTGCTATGTCATTTCTTTAGGATTAATCAATCCTCTTCATGAGTCATATTTCAATATATTACACATACACATAATTATAAAAGAACCAAGTTGCATAAAATTTATAAAATGGAGACTAGGAAAGGAAAAACCCGCTCATAAAACCCAACAAGAGAGCTTAAAATGAAAGTCTGAAAGTGCAGGTAGGTATTTGTTTAAATACTTGGTAAAAGAAAATGTTCAATTCAGTAGCTGTGACAGACACAATTTTAAGGGGTGTGGGCATAAGAGAAACAGAAAGTCCATCTGTCAAAGGGGTAAATATTTAGTCAAGTCTTAGATAGTATTTCTGTAAACAGAAATTTCAATGGAAAATTTCCAACCTGAGAGCAAATAATTTAAGATGGGTTTAATATAAGAATTAAAGCTCTCGTCTCCATGTCGCTGCCCAGCCTGAGACCCAGCCCTCTGAGTCCTTGTGGCAGTTCGGCTTTTTCTTTCTTGTTCCCTCAACTACAACTGGACACTATAATTTTCTTTCCATTCCAGCAGGAAACTGATATATACTAACGATGACAGCTGGATTCAGAAGAGGAAAAAGAACACAGGGGACAGAGAGTCCTTGTGGGTTTAAAACTCAAAACAAAACCCCCAGATTTGAAAATTTTAAAACCTAGTTAATGGCTGAGGAAACCTCAAATGATTGGGAAGCACTATGATAAAAGTTTGAATTACATAAAACACATCATTATCTTAAGCTTTTCTAATAATCTTCTCTGCCTTTCTCCTTCACTGTTTTTCTCCTTGTTTATGCCCCTAGCCCTTCAACGTGGTTCTAAGACATGTCAGAGGTAGGAACAGCCTTCCAAGGCCATTTACAGAATAGGACTGGAGAGGGGATGAGCAGATGCTCCTCCATCCAAAAAAGTTTCCCTGAAATTGTTATTACTTCATTTCCTTTGGAATAATCAATCCCTTTCAAGATTCATATTTAAATACATTTAATTTAAACATATGTATATACACATAATGAAACAGAATTATGTTTCATAAAATTAGTAAAATAGAAAATAAGAGAAGGAATCTCCCCTGTAATCCCACCATTCTAAAATAATTCCTTTTACCATAGCGCTGGCTTTCATTCTAGTCTGTTCCTCCATTCCCCACTCCCTACCTCCCAAACCCCTAATATTGATTATCAAAATGGCTGGGCAAAAGCAAAGTGAATGCATCTCCAGTTACATTCTTTTTTTTTCTTTTTTTTCTTTTTTTTAGAGACAGGATCTTGCTCTGTCACCCAGGTTGGACTGCAATGGTGTGATCACAGATCACTGCAGCCTTGAACTCCTGGGTTGAAGGGATCCTCCTGCCTCAGCATCCTGAGTATCTGGGACTCTACAGGCACATAACACCATGTCCAGCTAATTAAAAAAAAAATTCTGTAGAGATGGAGTCTTGCTATGTTGCCCAGGCTTATCTCGAACTCCTGGCCTCAGGCAATCCTCCTGCTTTGTCCTCCCAAAGTGCTGGGATTATAGGCGTGAGCCACTGCATCCAGCCAGTTACATTATTTTGGAGTGACACTAGGAACTTGGTTCCATAAGGGTCCTAAAAATCCTGTAAGGATGAGGGCAGAGAAAGAAATGTCACATTGTCTTAAAAACCACACAGTCCTACTCTCTGTCTTAGATCGTCCAATGAACTCCTTTGTCTACAGGGTCAAATTGAGGCTCCTTGGACTTTGGCCTGTGAATGAGGCCTTCCATGACTGAGTTTCTGCCTCCTCAGCCTCACCAGTCACACCTGCCTGGCCTTGAACCCAACACCCCAGTTGCCATGTCCCTAGTGCTCTGAAGGCTGTGCTTGATTTGTGCCCTTACAGCTTTGGCCATGCTTCTACCTCTGTCTGTAATACCTACCTCCACCTTGCCCATCCTGGTGAATCCCTACCCACTGTCAAAACTCTGTTCAACCACTTCCTCTTCAAGGAAGTCTTTCCTGTCCTCTCAAGTAGAAATGATCTTTCTTTAGTGCCTCAAATGTGTCCCATACATACTTCCTTTAATACAGCATCTGAAAAATCCTTCATTGCACCTACTTATAAGACCAAGGCATATTCATCTCTATCTCCAGATACAAGTGCTCAATATATCTCTGAGGCTAGCAGGTCTGATGAATGAAAAAATAAATAAACAAGAAAAAAAATGATCTTTTTCTGGATCAGTCAGAGGGACAGGGGCAACCCTAATCAAGTGGACTCCTGACATTCTAAGCCAGGTATGTTATACTGCAGTGTTTTCCTAGGAAAGCAGGCATTTCTTCTTTCCTGAAGATGTTTAAAAATATGAGAACAGTGAAGGCGAGGAGGTGAACACAATGCTGCACGGCTGGAGGAGACTGGATTAGATGCATAGCTTCCAGCGAATAATAATGATAATAGGCTGGGCACGGTGGCTCACATCTGTAATCCCAGCACTTAGGGAGGCCGAGGCGGGTGGATCACCTGAGGTTGGGAGTTCGAGACCAGCCTGACGAACAAGGAGAAACCCCGTCTCCACTAAGAATACAAAATTAGCCAGGCGTGGTGGCACATGCCTGTAATCCCAGCTACTCGGGAGGCTGAGGCAGAAGAGTTGCTTGAACCCGGGACACGGAAGTTTTGGTAAGCCGAGATTGTGCCATTGTACTCCAGCTTGTGCAACAAGAGTGAAACTCCATGTCAACAAAAAAATATTAATAATAGTTAATATTATTGAGCATTTATTCTGTGCCATGCAAAGCACATTCTTCACAGACAGCTTCACATGTATAAGCTGACAACCACTCTAAGATATAGATCTTACTGTCCCCTTTTACAATGGAAACAACGTGTCTCAAAGCAGCTAAATAACTTGCCTAAGGTCACAAAGTTAGTAAATGGCAGATCTAGGATTCAAACCCAGAGGTTTGGCTTCAGTCTATGTGGTATACTTCCTACTCTGGACTTTGTGAGCTAATAATGGAGGCAGATATATATTTACATACACACATAAACACCTTGCTTGAATTCAGAAAATGAATTCACATCTATTTGATACATGAGTTTAAATAAAATCTGTATTTTGATAACAGCTGTTACTATTCTAAAAACTGAGGAGAACTGCATTTCATCAAACAGTTAATAAATCCATTTAATGAGGGCCTACTATGTGCTTAGACGACAAAGAATCTAAGACATGGTCCATTCTTTCAAGGAGCTTATATGCTAAAACTATAATATCATCACATTATTTTGAAAGCATATTGAAATCTACACATCCAAGTAAGTGATCACCTTATTTGGTGATATATTTATCTATTGCTCAACCTGTTTTGGGGAACAATTTATAAAACACACAAGAATAGACTTCACTACATTAAGCACAGTTTATTTTTATCCCAAACAGTGCTTTCCATCTTAATTGCCATTTTATTTGGTATTTGGTTATTTCTAAAAATCTATTCCATCCTCAAAGAAAGAAAATATGCTCCTACTGTTTGTGTGGATGTATTATATGAACATGAACATTCATACATATACATAAATACAAACACATCTAGCGATTTTATGAGGGCAATTCCCTGAGGACTGAATAAAATTTGTGCTGTCTGATAAAAATGAGTCATATATATGTAATTTAAAATGTAAACAGCCACATTCTTCATCATTAATAATGTTACTGTAATGTACCTTTTGGGTTATGATGTCATTTACAATTCTTCCTATCTCTCCATTTGACAAAGTTAAACACATATATTTCAATGACAGTTTTACTTTGTTATTTTTCCCATTCTAGTTGCCATATTTTATTTTATTTTATTTTATTTTTTTTGAGACAGGGTATCGCTCTGTCGCCCAGGCTGGAAAGCAATGGCATGATCATAGCTCACTGCAGCCTCGAACTCCTGGGTTGAAGTAATCCTCCTGTCTCAGCCTCCCAAGTACCTAGGCCTACAGATGTGTGCTACCACATGTGGCTAATTAAATTTTTTTTTTTTTAGAGATGAGGCCTCACTATGCTGCCAGGCTGGTCTCAAACTTCTGGCCTCAAGCAATCCTCCTGCCTCAACCTCCTAAAGTGCTGAATTATGGGCTTGAGCCACCACATCTGACCTTAGTTGCCACATTTTAAAAAGTAAAAGAAACGGGTAAAATTAATTTTGATAATACATTTTAAATTTAATCCAGTATGTCAAAAACATCATTCCAACACATACATAATTAATACAAAATTATTGAGGAATTTTATTTTTAACTCATACTAAGTCTTTGAAATGTAGTATGTATTTTACACTAACAAAACATCTCATTTTGGACCAACCACATCTCAAGCGCTCAAGATCCACATATGACTAGTGGCTGCAGTATTGGATAGTGCAGGACAAAATTTTTAGAGCTATGGTTGTCATACTAGAATAAAAGCATCCTGTCCTCACATCTTACTCTGTAGAGTAACATCTTTAAGAGTAATATATAGATGCAAGTGAAATACTGTTAAGTTATTAAACACAGCTTGTGAAAACAAGCTGTGATCTGTTTAATTAGGGTATAAACTCTAAATAATGTTAACAGCTTGGAGAAATGGATGGTTCAAAAAAGCTAAAGTCATCTTCAAGGAACCCAGCTCATCAGTAAAGGATGGGTAGTTGGGGAAGAAAGAAGGTATTTTACAACATATAAGGATTAACCATTCTAGACAAAGAATAATGGCACTGAGCCAAGAAAAACTCAGTTCAAATAAACTAATGATTATAGTCAACCATAAACTGCCAGAATCCCAGTGAGTAGATTTGTAAGCAATGAACAAATCTCTTATGGCCAAAGCCCTTTAGATACATAGGCAGGGAAGTATTACAAAGCTATATGGAATTTGGAACTGAAATACAGAAATGGTGGAAATCTAAAGCAATTTACTTGGTAACATTGGATTCATAGTCTCTTTTTAAACTTTAGACTCCAGTTGACTTAAGGGTAAGCTGGAGTAGATGCAACTCTGTGGTCCCTTACAGCCACGGTGACCAGTAATTTATTATGCAAACCTGGTCACTTTCAAGAGTAAAAGGGCGCACTATTAATAATTATGCTGGGATAAGAGGCATAAACTGGGATTGCTTTATAGCTATAAAACCATATGATTTTACACTACAAAGAGGATACAACAGCTACTCCTATCCAGGGATGTGGACTTGATGAGAGTCTAGCACGTTCTTATTACCTCTGCATGGCCACAGGGGTTTTGTGGGCTAATATACATCGATCTGGGTGAGACGGTTTTGCATGCTCCCACCTCCCCGACCTCCCTCCTGCAAAGCATTTTAAATTGGTTTGAATTTGGGAACAGGGTTCCATATGAACAGAGCTGAACATTGACAGCCTGAATGTATTTACCGAAGACAACAAATCATTGACAGACTAAATGTAACAGAGGAAAGGCCTGGTCTGCTTGCACTCAGAATCTGACTTTGTAATTCTAGCCTCCTTTAGACAGGCCTAATCAATTAGAAGAGGCTGATTTTAACCAGTTGCAGACTCATTACCCTGCATTCCAGTTTGTGCTGATGAAAATCAGTTTCAGTCCGTGGCCTGGAATTCATGTACAGCACTTCCTGTAGCCTCTTATATAAACACATCAAAAAAATTTTATTTGGAGTTGCCATTTTCCCTTAAAAAAGAAAAACCACTTTGCAAATCATGATTAAAATAGAGCAACTGTATGTGGATCTGGGGTCCATCCCCAGAAACTTACATGACCAAGAAACATGTGGAAAGTCAGAGTCTGAGGCAGCAACTCATAAGTGCATTGGTGTAGGGGTCGATTTGAGAAGAGAGTCTCAAATACCCAGCATCAAATGAGCCCAGCTCAGTTATCTCCACAGAATGGAACAGAATGAACTCACAGCTATTCAAAATAATGACCTTTCAAAGAAAATACATAAAATAGAAAAAAGCCGGGGTCGTAGATGCAGAGAGGGTATCTGAGTAGAGTTCACTCTTCCCTGAATGACCAACTAGAAAATAAACGGCAAACTTCCAAATAAACAAGAACAAGTTTCCCTGACAAACTTCTATGAGGGAACTATATGACACTGTTTAATTTTGATGTGTGGTTAGTCTTACAAAAGTAGAAGGTGGAGCAGTGTGTGGCAGAGCCACTCAAAACGCCATCCACATTTCAAAGATGTGTAACGATTCCAAAATACAGTATAACTATGAATCATACCTGGCTGGTTGTCCTTTGCAGATCTGTTGAGGCAGCAAGTCAATAGGAAGAGAATATCAATATATACAGCTCTGGTCACCAAACATGGATTTTGCCTAGAAAGGTAAAGAACAGAATATAAATTGAGATTTTCTCTCCCTTAGGTCTGGGTCTCAGGAAGGAGAACATGGGTATTTTCTATGGTATATGATGGGGCTTAAGCAGCTATGGCAAATATTAAGAAATGATGTACAATCATTGATGGCAAGAAAATAAGCAACTAATGTGAGCAAATGAAATCCTTGACCATATGATGGAGGCCAAGGCTATGTGTAGACAAAATAGATAACAACTCTATGCTCTGGCTTCAAATAAAATAAAATGAAAACAAACACCAAGATCCTATCTTAGTTAGTTGAAAATAAGATGGGACAGAAGGGGTGGGGAGATGGTACTCTATTATTCTACATTTTTAAGTATAGAAATTTGGGGGAAAAAAAATCAGTCATGAAAATCAGATTTAGTATTGTGGAGAAGGAAAATTACACTCACATATGAAAAGCTGTATCTGTGGACTTGAAATAACCAGCTGAACAATAGACACATGGCAAGATTAACAAACACTGGAGATGACATTTTCCCCAATAAATGGATTTTTTTCTTCATTCAATATATGGAGCAGCTCTTTGAACAACATAGTAGAAATAGTAAGTGGGCTCAGATTTGGGTATCTATATACAAAAGGATGAAGAAAGACTTTCTTTTTAAGAACAGCACTGAAGGGCCTTGACTCTTGAGTGTCTTTGGCCATGAAAAGGCCAAAACGTCTTTGGTGTACTAATAATACAATGTGAGTAGTAGAGACAGTAGGGACAGACCTACAATTGAGTCCTGGCTTTCCCACTTACAATCTCTGTGACCTGAATCAGATTCCTGACTTGTAAAATGGGAACTGTATTATCACCTCTGCTATGGTTTGACTGCCCCTGCTAAAATTCATGTTGAAATGTAATGCTATTGTAACACTGTTAAGAGGCAGAGCCTTTAAGAGGTGATTGGGTCATGAGGGTACTGTCCTCATGAATGAATGAATGTTGTTATCTTGGGATTGGGCTAGTGATTTGGAGACTGAGTTTGTTATAAAGATGAGTTTGGCTTGATTTCCTCTCTGTCTTGCGTGCTCTTTTCTGCCTTCAGCCTTCCACCATGGGATGACCCTCACCAGATGCCAGTGCCATCTGTTACAATAAATACAATACATACATTCTGTTACAGCAATAGAAAATGGACTAAGACAGACTTACTGTGAGTCACTGTGAGTGTTCAATGTGGCACAGTAAACTTAAAATGCCCACCTCAGTGCCTGGCCATGGCAGATGTTCCAGAACTGTCCATTCCTTGCCCTTCTCTACTTCCAACATGGGATTAGGGGATGGCATTGATATTGGCACAAGTGTTCTGGCTAGTGAGTTTCCATGTGGCTTAATCCTGAAATCCATCCTTCTCATTTCCTATAAACTAAGTTTTACAATTTCCTTAAAGTTTATTCACACCTCTATCCTGAATTGCCTATATCTGGAGCTGGTGTATGTCTAACATGAAAAATATGTATCAGATACTTTTTTTTTTGAGACAGAGTCTCGCTCTGTCCCCTAGGCTGGAGTGTGGTGGTATGATCTCGGCTTACTGCAACCTCCACCTCCTGAATTCGTGATTATCCTGCCTCAGCCTCCCAAGTAGCTGGGATTACAGGGGGTAAGACTGAAAAACAAGAGGCTGGTTAAGAGTGTGCTGGTGGTCCAGGCATGGTGGCTCACGTCTGTAATCCCAGCACTTTGGGAGGCTGAGGTGGGTGGATCACCTGAGGTCAGGAGATCGAGATCAGCATGGCCAACATGGTGAAACCCCATCTCTACTAAAAACACAAAAATGAGCCGGGCAGGGTGGCGGGCGCCTGTATTCCCAGCTACTCAGGAAACTGAGGCAGGAAAATCACTTGAACCTGGAAGGCAGAGGTTGCAGTGAGCTGAGATCATGCCACTGCATGCCAGCCTGGGTGACAGAGTGAGACTCTGTCTCAAAAATAAATAAATAAATAGGTAACACATGCAAAAATAATTGAAAAAGCACAAAAGGACACGCAATGAAAATGAAATCCCTTTTCCACAACCCTACCCCCTGCCCATATACTGTTCTCGAGGCAACCGCTATTACTACTTTCTAGCATATCCTTCCAAGCACATTCTATTCTTTTTTTTTTTTTTTTTTTTTTTTTTTTTGAGACGGAGTCTCTCTCTGTCACCCAGGCTGGAGTGCAGTGGTGCGATCTTGGCTCACTGCAAGCCCCACCTGCCGGGTTCATGCCATTCTCCTGCCTCAGCCTCCGGAGTAGCTGGGACTACAGGCGCCCGCCGCCACGCCCGGCTAATTTTTTGTATGTTTTATTAGAGACGGGGTTTCACCGTGTTAGCCAGGATGGTTTCGATCTCCTGACCTCGTGATCCACCTGCCTCGGCCTCCCAAAGTGCTGGGATTACAGGCGTGAGCCACCGCGCCAGGCTCTATTCTTTTATAAGCATCTATCTGCTACCCACTTGTTTATACAAATGATGGCTTACTATATACTCGGTTCTGATCATCACTCCTTTTCACTAATATGTTTTGGATACCATTCTATTAAGAACATAGAGATTTGCCTCATTTTCTTTTCTTTCTTTTTTGTTTTGTTTTGTTCTGAGACAGGGTCTTTCTCTGTTGCTCAGGCTGAAGTGCAGTGGCATGATCATGGCTCACTGTAGCCTCAACCTCCTGGGCTCAAGCAATCCTCCCACCTCAGCCTCCCAAATACCTGGGACTACAGGTGCATGCCACCACATCCAGCTAATTTTTAAAATTATTTTTGTAGAGATGGGGTCTTGTTATATTGTCTAGCCTGGGGTTCTACTTTTTAACCCTGCCCCTATCTTTTGTCTCTAGTTTACCCTGGGACTCTCAATCGTAACTTTCTGCTGTTACTCTTCCATCCACTATGGAAAGCCCACAGTCTATAAAAACTTCATTGATATCATTCCCAATGGTAAAATTTCTACTAGTTGAGACTGCCCCCTGCTAAAGCAAGAGCCATTCAGGGAGGAAAGCCAGTGGCCTGAGAAAGCAGATAGGATGTCTCCTGTGCATCCAGCCTTGAGCTAGGTGCAGGGAGGACATGCACAGGAGACGGCTACTGACCTGAGAATTTTGACTAGTTTTGGAGACAAAAACAAAGACAAACTTCAGAATAGGATGTAAGGAGTTAACCCAAAAAACCAACCAACCAACCAACCAACCCACCAACCCACCAGGGTGGACTGGAGAAATGAAGTTATACTTCCAACCGGGCCATGTAAGATGGGAAGAATTTAGAGACAAAGTTGATAAGGAAGGGCATTTGGAAAGAGGGTAAGAGATGTGAGAGGGAATTCATTTGGCTTCTCCAGTTCCAAGGAGCGGCAGCTTGGGAAGATAAGAGAATGCGTTGATAAGGTGGAAACAAGAGGAAGGCTGGTCAGGCTTTTAAGTGATGGGATACTTCATGCTAACTGGGTGTTCCTTAGTGTAATAATTGACTGCCTGCTCCCATGTGGCCTCACAGAGTCATAGCTTCTTGCCCCAAATGTTTTTCTGGTTTTCTGTGGAGCCATACAGAACCATAAAGAGAAGTTGTTGAGAAACCGGTTTGACTTTCAAGTCTGATGAGGAGCCTGGTTTCCATGAGATTTTCAGCTAAGTTAGCATATTTTTAAAAATTTCAAAATGAACAGAGGAAAGGTTGACGATCTTTAGAGCCTTCTGCCAGGCTGAAGTGTTCTGCATCTTCCCTAGACCCGGTACAGGCTGGTGACCTTACTGGCCTCCTGGGACACTTCAGGAATCACTGACTGCTCCCACAACTGTGAGGCTTGGGGCCAAGTGTGATGTAGTCAACAAGATCATGGGAGGCTCCCTCAAATGCTGCTGCTTTGGATTCCAGGAAACAGAAGATTTGGGGCCACAAAGGAGTCCATCCATGGCTTCTCCTTTGAGATGACTCTGAGTGAAATTCCAGCCCGGAGCCCACTGTTCATGACTCCACCCTTGAGGACAGCCAAGGCCTTATAACATCCCTGTCTGGAGTCACAGAGTTGGGCTTCACTCTGAACTGGCTTCTAAGTCAGGAAAATAATTTTTTTCATTCTTTTTCTCTTGCTATTACTTGGTGTTTGTTCTGACTTGGAAATGGTGCACTGTAAGTTCAGGGTGAGCCAGAGGTTTGTTCTCAGTCTGTCAAGCCACTTTGATGATGGGAACAAAATCCCGAAGAGCAGCACGCCAGCTGGACAGGAAACTAAGCCACAGGGTTTTGGTGGGCTTGGGGAATTTTTCTACCCCCAAATGGAAAAATCCTGGCATGGAGCACAGCATAATGAAGATTTATAGTGCTCAAAAAAAATCAGAAGTGATCAGCATGTAGCAGATGCACTGAAAAGCAGCATTACTAGTGGCTTTCGAAGGAGGAGAAGGAATCCAGCACTATGCGGACGAAGTTGACATACAGAAGATGAAACGAAGGCCCTGTTAAGAATCCTGTTTTCTTCCACTCTTTTTTACCATTTGTCCTTTTAAATATCCACTTAAGAACTTGATTAATATGTTTTTGCCTTGGGAAATCTCTGAACTTCTTTAAATCTCCTGCCCTCTCTCCTGGAAGTTGGGAGAGGCACAAGGCAGGCAGAGGGCAGGGCTTCCCAGACACGTCCACAAAAGCCCCAGTGTCTAGAGGACAGCAGAAGTCTTGGGGAAGTCTGTGATAAATTATTCACTTTTCCTGTCCCTTCCGGAATCCCAGTGGCTGCAGGTTTTTTTTTTTGGTTTTGTTTTGTTTTTAACTGAGGCCTATTCATTCAGGAAACATTTATTAAGAGGCTACTGAGAGCCAGGAATAGTGGTGGGTTTGGAAATAGGAAGATGAAGTGATTCAGTGACACAGTCACTGCCCTCAAGGAACTTAGAGTCCTGAATAGTGTTTTTCCAAATGTATGTTAGGTTATGAAATCAACTAGTGGGTAGTGACCAGCAATAAAGGAAGGAAAGAAAGAAGGAAGAAGAAAGGAAGGAAGGGAAGGAGGGAGGAAGGGAAGAGGAGAGAGATGGGGGCAGAAGAAGAAGGGAGAAAAGGAGCTAGGAGGAAGACAGAGGGAGAAAGGAGGAAAATATAATCAGAGTGTATCAAAGTAGTGTAGTAAGGACAGAGGGCAGGAGATTTAAAGAAGTTCAGAGATTTCCCAAGGGATTGTTTCACTAAGGTTTTTGTTATGTATCAGCTTTCCATTAAGTCCTTGCTAAGAATAATTTTTAATAAGTTATCTTTAAGATTTAAATAACCATTAAAATGCAACAAGTTTAAGTAAAATAATTGACTGGTCTAGCTTTTTTCTTTTTCTTTTCCAGGTAATAAGCTACCCTACATTATACTGAATGGCATCAATAGGGTTATGCTTTGTATCCAAAATGGCAGTGGATATCTTGAAAGCACACATTCCTGAAATTAAATATGCTCTATCTTGAGCAAATTCCCTCTCTGTTGCATTTTTGGCAATTTATATCTTACGCAGCTACTAAAATTTCCGACTGTGCATGATTTCATGTGTGTGTGCACAGTATATACACACAAACATATGCATTAGGTCATATGTAAAAGCTGTTTCTTGTTGTCAATGTCTGTCAAAAAAAAAAAAAAAAAAACACTTGAAAGCCACTAGTGTAGTTGGGAAAACACACAACCAGTCATGCTAGAGTATGATGGGTGCCCCAAAAGGAGGGATTAACAGAGTAACTGTTTGTCTGGGTGAGTCAGGAAGGGCCTTGGCAGAGAGTTGGAGAATGGGGAGGAGGTAGACCTGGGCAAAGTGACCACAACAGAGGAAGTAGCATGTCCAAAGACTTGGGGACATGACATGTTTAGAGAATAACAAGTGCTAAAAGGGACAATGGTATGGGGGGCGGGAATTGGAATGGCAGAGGTGGGTTATTTTTATTTAATTTATGTTTCCACATTTACATGGCTTAATGTGGCCTCCATCAAAGAAGTACCTCCTAACTCCTATCTACAAGATATAATCAAATATAAGGAGAGGCAGTGTCTGGTCCATGGACAGCTGTTACAATGATGTGAACTGCCAAGACTAGAAAGATGGCCAGTGGGATTAGCAGGAAATGATATGGGATGAGTCAACAGGGGCCCGAAACAGAAGTAGTCTTTCAGAGCTCTAAAAGTTCCAAAGAATGAAGACCCCAGTGGGATCCCATAAGCTCAAGTCACACTGGACAGCTGGGGTCCCCACTCAATATTGTGAAGCCTTGGTGGGCTTCCTGGAAGAGAGAGGGAATTCACTTTGGACTTACCAAGCTCTACCAGAATTCACTGCCATCTTCAGAGGGCTGGAAACTGCTGTTTTGGCTTTAGGTTGCTACTGTCTGTTAAGGTCTCTAAGACACATGGCTTAACTTTATTAATACAGAAACATTTACTGAGCAGTACGGGGGATATCCTACATGGGGTGGGAAGGGGAGGGAGAGGAAAAGGTTATGGCTTTGCAGAGCTTATGATCTTGTTGGGGGAGGGGTATATGTGGAGAAAAAAATACACATAAAAACAGAGGATTGATTTGATTGTCATGATTGTCATGGAGGAAGGCTCTAGAGGCATTGGAGGGGTTTGAGCTGGTGAAAGAGAAGGAATTCCAAAAAATCAAACAGGTGCAGCTGGCAGGCTCATCCCAGCCCATCTGGGGTAGTTCTCTTATCTTAGCTCCTATTTAAGCAGCTCAGATCACTTCTGTTCTCAACCACAATAAGCAAGAAGTACTAGAAGCTTCTTGTCATGGAGCCAGCACTGGAGTTAATGAAGCAATATCCTAGGGACCACCAGCAGGCCCATAACGGGCTGGAAAGAAGGAAACCAGGTTAAGAGGAAAAGTGGGTGAGAGGCAAAGGGAGAGAAGGCAGGTGAGAAGGGGAGTGGGGGGAGAAGTAAAGAGGGGGGGTGGTTAGAAGAATGGGAGAGGGAAAATGGTTGAAAAAGGGGAAATTAGTCTACAACATGTTTCCACATCCCATTATGATCCCTCCACTTGACACATATCTACCCGCCTCCTGCCCTTTATTTAAAATTCACTTCAAGCTGGGTTTAGGTGGCACAGGCACCTATAATCCCAGCTACTCTGGAGGCTGACATGGAAGGATTGCTTGAGATCAGGAGTTCAAGACCAGCCTGGGCAACATAGTGAGATCCTATCTCAAACAGCAATAACAACAACAAACCCCCCTAAAAACCAACTCACTTCAAAGCCCCTCCTCTATTTCTAGAGGATTACTTTTCTAATGATCCAGACAACTACCTCTGAGGATACGCTGAATGGCTGTCTGAACCCAGGATATTTTGTTGAGCTTCCCCTTCTCCCAGAGATCCCACTGGCCATCTTTGTAGTCTTGAGCACTTCACATCATTGTAACAGCTGTCCATGGACCAGATACTGCCTCTCCTTATATTTGGCTATATCCTGTGGATAGGAGTTAGGAGGTACTTCTTTTGATGGAGGCCACATTAAGCCATGTAAATGTGGAAGTATAAATTAAATAAAAAGAACCCACATCTGCCATTCCGATTTCCAATTTTTACCATGGCCCCCAGCCAAGTAACCATCATATGGCACTCTTAGACAAACAATAGGGGACTTGTTTAAATCAAAATGCAAAATGGTGATGAACTGTAGAATATATATATTTAAACAAGTCATTTCCCCCACTGTAACATGGAGAGTTTAGCTGTGCATGCAGGGCCAGCTGGCAGAAGCTTGTAGGGCCTGGCTGGCTACCAGGACTGCTCGTTTACCTTGCCCTCCCTGGGGGAGGTGTGACGGCAGAGTTGCATTTTTATGGTATGCCCCAACATCCATCCTGCCTTTCTTGGTCTGGAGCTTTGTGAGTGTTTATACTCACAGCCATATGTAGATGCTGCCCCACAGCCCTCCTACTTGGATTTTCCTTTTAAAGTGAAGCCATCCTCCATGCCCTGCTCTGGTGGTGGACCAACTTATACGGAATTCTTACTGAGCTACCATGCACAAAGTGAGAGACCGTGAGCTGTTAGTCTGTCCAGAAAGTGACTGAAGGTCCAGCTATGCATTGCAGAGCACAGTGGGCTTTCCCTGGAAGAGCAGGTTTGGATCCTGGGGAATGTAATCTGTGAAAGCAGAGGGCCTTACCCACTCCTACCAGGGTTCTGGGTAGGCATTCAGCAAGGCCCCAGCAGTCTGCAAAAGGTACTGGGGTCCTCTTTTTAGGTTAGGGCCAAAGCCACAGCCTCCTCTGTTTCCCTTAGGATTGCTGCTGCTGGAGGAAGCCCACAGCTTCAATGCCATGCCTTTGCCTTTCCCTCCTAATATTAATCACCTGCCTTTCCAGAGAGCCCCCAGGGAGCCTCCAGAATCCTCATATTTTTCCATCTTTCTATTAGGCATCTTGTTCTCATTACTGTACTAACACTCAAGCTATGTGCGGAGAATGATGAAAAAGAGACCTTGGTGTGGGGCTTGGGATTTGTTCAAAGCCTGGGGAAACTGTTTTAGAGGGTGTATGTTTTTTATTCCTTTTACGAGAGATGCGTGTTTCCCTCCCTCTGTGACTTGTTTAAAAGTAAAGTTTAATATGCTGCCAGAGTAATTGCTGGTTAATAACTTAATAAACTATGTGCTAGGAATTATGGGAGAAAAGTAGTATCCAAGAAAACTTTTATTGTACAGTTTGGGGCTTGGAAGATATATAGCTTCAAATCTTATATAGAATGTTAACACAAGTCCCCTTTCTTTTCAAACCTTACTTTCTCCCTAAAAGCATAAAAAAGGATAAATAGGTGAGGTGGATGAAATCTTCTGGATGCTGCCTGAGCTATGTAAATCACAAGGGGAGAATTTCTAACAGCACCGTCAATAGGACCGTGGTCATGTGAATTTGGCAAGGCACACACTTGGAAATTAGCCCTGGTAAAAATAGTACGAATGATAATAACAATATCAACATCTTATTATATTAAAAGTTTTCTCTTTAAAAAGTATTCTTATTTTATCTTTATAAAATTCTTAAGAAGGAAGAAAAATAGAAATTATCATTCCCATTTTTATAAATCAACAAAGTAGCTCAAGTGACCTAGCCAAGACAAGGGCAGAAACCAAGAATAGAATCAAGGTTTTCTAGAAAACAAATTGTATCTATGTGTCCCAAACACAATCAGGTGAAAAGTGAGACATTGGGCCAAGCAATTAGAAACCACGTAGACTGGTGTTATATCCTGGTAGCCAGTCTGGTGAAAAGCAAGGCTCCAAGTGCAGCTGTTTCTGTGAGGACCAGCATAAAGGCACATTTTCAACGTGGCGATTATGTTGATAGAGACTTCGTTATTTGACAATAGATAGTTCCCGTATCTTCTTAGCACTTTTATGTTTACACTTCCATTACTCACTATGCCCTCCCCTGGTCTCCTCTATTTCACACCTTCATTTTAGAGCTTCCCACTTTACAGATGAAAACTCAGGCCTAAGGAAATTACAGGCCACACCTTGCTGGGCAGTAGTCCAGCAGAGGCCAGACCACTGACTTGCTAACCTTGAGTATTCTCTGCCTCTCCTCAATGGCACTGCACTGTGTTTTCTGGCTAGAGGCTTTCCATTCACCAAGTGCCTCTAGATGTGACTCTCCTTGTGGTTACCCAGGAACGCAGAGCCTGCGGACTGGTGAGGACCCGTCTGGCTTGGGGAGTCCTAGAGTGAGCCCCTGAGCTTGCGTGGGAAGGTGTTATTCCCAGAGGCACCCAGGCCAGTCTAATTGCTGAGGAAGCCTGATCATCACTGGCAGCTGAGGGGAAGGAAAGGCTAGTGAGACTTAGGAGGGCCTCTCTCCAAGATGCTCCCTTGGCCCATTCATGTAAGACCAGCTCATGCTGCCCACAGCCCTTGTGGAGGTGGCCGAAACCCCAGCCACACGGGACAAATGTATCAGGGCTGAGCAGCTTAATATGAGGGCAGATGTGCTCCTGCCAGGCCAGCGCACTGCCGTAAAGCCTGCGTCAGTTACGGACTTCAGTTAAAGGTGCTGTCTCTACCAGGTCACTACTGGAAAACAGCTGTGTGACCCGGGAGAACAAACTTATTTACATATTAAAATTTAGGGACAGCCAGCCAGCTGAGAGTGAGGAAAAGGGATATAGAATAGTTAAGTTTTGATGGCAAGAAGGTCTGGAGCATGAAGCCCTATCCATGGAAGGCAGCTCCTAAGAGAGGGCCCTTGGCAGCCCAAGGACATGGAGTTGTAGAATTTTCCACAAGGATGATCAGGCCTCGGGAGAGGAAGAAAGCAGGTCAAGAGGCAAAAAACAAACTTGCTATTTACATCCCTAATTTGAGCCATCTTCTGAGACAGCCATATCTTTCAAGTAGGAAGAAGTCGCCTGCCCCCGTGTCTATTACCTCTTCTACAAATATCAGCTTAGATTAGATCACTGTTTTGAAATAGGGAGTTAGGGTGCTTCTCTTAGTCCCTTCTGGGGCTACCAACAGGAAGGAAGCCATGCAGGTGGGTCTCCGGGCCCCCACCCCAGTTTAGACCATATTGAAACCATCTCTACTATTTTCAATATCTTGAATTTCCACATAAGCTTGTTTGAAGAATGAATTCCACTGGATTAGACGATCTCTAAATTCCCTTTACTGTTATAAATTCTGTGGTTCTATGGTACTCTTAGCAACATTGGAAAGACAAAACCTATGTGGTCTCAAGTGCATACAGATATCTCTATTCCTATTACTAGCTGCCCAGGCAGGCAACAGGGGCTTCCAGGTGACAAGGACTGCTAATAGAGAGATTTCTGTTAATCCTTAAGAGAGACTAGAAACTCTGATGACCACTAAGCGAGGTTGGAAAGATGTAAAGCATTTAGTGCATTTCATGTGCATATAGACAGCAGCCTACTTACCAGTGTCAGCCAGAGCTCACTAACTTCCTCTTAACTCCTGGATCCAGTCCATATTCCTCTGGCTGACATCTGAGGGTTTCCACAACTGGTCTCTTATCAAATCTTGCACTGCTCTCTAAAGCACAGCAGCTTTCCCTCAGCTTGATCTCCTCACTGGCCCATGATACATCACATGCACTCCCTCCAGTATCCCACTGCACATTTGGTCCACCATCTTGATATGCTCTTTTCCTACCACTTTTTGGTGTTTCCAAATCACACTCTGCTCTACCGCCCATCTCAAATATCTAACTCCTCTGATAAGGCCTTCCTTGACTATCTTAGTCCACATTCTTTTCTGAACTCTTGTACTTACTGTATGTACTTCTATGTATTTCACTGTCTAAATTTTCATTTAGATTCAACCATAACTGAACTCTGACAACAAAGACTCCATTATATATATCTAATACACACACACACACACACACACACACACATTAGGTTCCCACAATGCTGGGCGCTGTACTAAGATACCTTTTGTGTACTTGGGCAATGAGACCTTCACAATTTACTTGGCAACAAAGGTACTATACAAGTGTAACTTTACTCAGTCTCCAATCTGAGACAATTAATCTTATTATTATTATTTTTTTGAGACAGAATCTTGCTCTGTCACCCAGGCCGGAGTGCAGTGGCACGATCTTGGCTCACTGCAACCTCCAACTCCCAGGTTCAAACAATTCTTGTGCCTCAGCCTCCCAAGAAGCTGGGATTACAGGCCCATGCCACCATGCTAAAAAATTAACCTTATCTAATAATTAAACTCACCTATCCTTTAAAGACTTCTCCCTCTTCCTGAAGACTTCCTTGACACCCCTACCCTGACAAGCTGGCATTTATTTCTCCCTTCTCTGCTTCTGCAACACACTTTGACTAATTCTAGCATTGACACAATCTTGTTTATAGTTATTTAAATCCATACTTGTCTTACTTGTGGGGTTTCTGAAACAGAGACAATTATCGTTCATTCATATATTTCCCACTGTGCCTAAACCATTGTCTTGTAATATTTGTGACTCTGAATTGGCTTTAATTGACTGAGAATGGCTCAATGAAGGTAACAAAGGTGTTAATTTATCCAAAAGATGGAAGATGTTACATGCTAAAGGAAAAAACATAACCCACTACATTAGGGCTTTACATAATATTATGAGAATGTGCTGAAGACACTTAAAGCCTGCACTCCCTTGCAAGCTGAGCAATGACAACATTGTCCAAATCTTCCAACAGCAACACCCCAGTAAGCCAACAGCTACAAGTGGAACAAGACAGAGATTTCTGAGCCCTCTATTGAACTAACTGCCATCTCCAGGTTAGGTTTGCAGATTTCTATATTTAAAAAGTAGAAAGCATCAGCAGTTGGGGGTTGAATTCTTGGTGTGTGTGCAGTTGCGTAAAAGGACTATTTTTATTTCTCGCTGCGGTATGAAGAAGCTTTGATCTTGGACGACTTGCTCAAGGGCCCAGGATAATATATTGATCACTTCTGACTGTTTTCACCCAGACTCGTTTCCATAAGCTCAGTCTGTCAACAAGAAATACTTCATATATTTTCAAACTTCACTCTTCCTCAAACAGCTTATTCCTTTAAAACTTGAGGCTGTATTTGTAAAAGGGATATTTAATGAAGAAAATGTTTTGCACCTTGTCCCACTGGCTTGGGTTGAAATACGATAATGTTTCCTTTTGTATTTAAAAAACACAAACAGGATCTCATCCGGAGATATCATGACCTTAGACATTCCTGAGACGTCTGAAAGGGAAGTGAACATATGTCAGCATGCTTGGGTTTAAAATATACCAACTTCATTTCTCTCATCATTCAAATCTGCATGAGGCTCATGTGACTTTGAACAAGCTGTGCTGGAGGATTAAAGACGGGTCCTAATGAGAACCTCTCTCTTCCAGTAAAATCTAGGAATTGAAAAGCAGTTACTACCTCTTCCATTTTTTTCCTAAAAAAAAAAAATAACTTTTTCTAAAATTAAAAAAAGGAGGATCCTTTTTTTTGAAAGAAAAAAAGAAGGAAAGAAAGAAAGAAGAAAAAACGAGAGAAAGAAAAGAAACAAACCAAAAGGCAAAACATAACCCCTAGCAATGCCTGGAAACTTGCTCTGTGGCTAGCGATCCCTGTTAAGACTTGCTTCCCTTAAAGTTTTGGCACGGACCACAAATGATAGCCTTAAAATGCCACATGATCATCTGAATATTTTAACAATCATCCTGGACTGGATTCATTTCAACGGCATGGAAGTGAAACAGCAACTTGCAGCTGTGGCAAAAGGCTGTGGCCTCTTTCTATTTCAAGTCATTGCAAAAGAAGGATCTCTTTCTTCAGGAGGGGACCAGCCCATGAGGGATTTGGGAAGGAGCTAAAGGACAGTGGGAAAATGGAAGCAGACCTAAAACCCAGTATTTCTGCCTGGGAAGTGTAAGTCTCTTGTGTGAATAAATTTGGTGGTGAGAAAATAAATGCTGTTTTCAGCTGTTGTAAAGCAAAATAGAATCCTACACCAGAACTTCTGCAGTTAGCCACAGACCCCCTAGGGAAGAACTGGGATTGCCACACAAAAGCCTCAGCTTTGTCTCTATAAGCATATTTTCCTTAAACACTTAAATCCACAGGCCCTTCAGGAGCACACCACTCAGCTCAGTGGGGTCCAGTAAGTAAGACAGAAAAAGGAGAATAGATGGGAGTATGGATAGGGGGTGACAGGGGAGGAGACAGGAAAGTGACTGGAGTATGGATGAGGGGGATGGAGAAGCAGACGAGGCACACATGAAAGGGCACATGGAGGACTGCATGGGGGTGTGAAGGGCACTTACAGGAAAGCTGGACAGGGAAGTGGATAGATTATTAGAATTAACTTGGGGTAGCAAGTCATTAGGTCTGGTACATTGAGCAGGCTTTCAACAAACATTAGCTCCCTCTACCATCTCTTCCCCTCATCAGCACTGTTTTATGCAAAAAATTTATTCCCAAGGTTGCTTTCCTTGTAACCTTGGAACCTGGTCTTGTATTTCTGAGAGCCTGTTTTTCTCACCAGAATATCAGACTGTTATTTTTAAAAATGATAAACACACTGCATGCCAACAAAGCACTGGTCCCAAAAAATTAGCCAGGCGTGGTGGCGGGCGCCTGTAGTCCCAGCTACTCGGGAGGCTCAGGCAGGAGAATGGCGTGAACCTGGGAGGCGGAGCTTGCAGTGAGCCGAGATCGCGCCACTGCACTCCAGCCTGGGCGACAGAGCGAGACTCCGTCTCAAAACAAAAAAAAAAACAAAAAAAACACTGGTCCCATACAGGGCACTGAGGCCACTGGGATGGCGGCCCAGACAACGGAGTATGGATTTCCCATAGAGAGCCCTGGGGCCATGAAGCCCCTCAACACAGGTGATCCCAGGTGGGTAGGGAGAGAATCTTGGGCTGATCCCTTCAGTAGCCTCAGCCCTCTCCTGTAGCTCCAAGCTCAGCCACAAGCCCTTGAGAATGAGGCAATGGGGATGGGACTGTTTCAAATGGGGGAGTTGGAAGATCACAGAGCCTGGCACTCTGACCCTGGCTCTTCAAGGTACGTACTCTGTCCCCTGGGAGCTGGTCAAAATGGAGGATCTCAGGCTCCACCCAGACCTAGTGAATGAGAGTCTTCATTCTAATAAGATTCCCAGGTGATTCACGTGCACATTTTCTTTCTGAGAATCACTGTTCTAGAGAAGGCTTAAATTACTGCCATGCAAAACCCTCACATAAAAACACTGGATAGATGGAGGCAGTGTGGTCAAGTACAAAGAGCCCAGTAAGGTGCCGGGAGCTAAGCCCTCAACAAATGATAGTAGTTGTCAGGTAGGATGTTAATTCTGGTGAACTGTGTGAAAACGGATAAATCCTCCAGCCTCTGTGGGCTGTAGTACTCCACATGTACAGGGGTGAGAGTAGACTCTTAATACAATAAACTTCATGAGATTCCTTCCAGTTCTAAAATTCTAGGTCAATGATTCGATTTGATAAGACTCTGTTCTGTTGCTCTCTTTACACTGAAGTAGTGGTTTTAATATACAGTTGTAGTATTTGATATGGCCTGGCATACAGCAGGGCTCAATAGGTATTTGTTGAATGAAGTAATACAGGGATAGTTATTCTATTTAAGCTTCAACTTAAAAAAACTGGGCTGAGTGTGGTGGCTCATGTCTGTAATGCCAGCACTTTGGGAGGCCAAGGCAGGAGGATCACTTAAGGCCAGGGGTACTAAACCAGCCTGGGAACAGAGCAAGCCCCTGTCTCTACTTTAAAAAAAAAAAAAAAAAAGGGCCAGGAGTGGTGGCTCACATCTGTAATCTCAGCACTTTGGGAGGCCGAGGCAGGTGGATCATGAGGTCAGGAGATCGAGACCATCCTGGCTAACATGGTGAAATCCCATCTTACTAAAAATACAAAACCTTAGCCGGGTGTGGTGGCGGGCGCCTGCAGTCCCAGCTACTCAGGAGGCTGAGGCAGGAGAATGGCGTGAACCCCAGAGGTGGAGCTTGCAGTGAGCTGAGATCATGCCACTGCACTCCAGCCTGGGTGACAGAGTGAGACTCCATCTCAAAAAAAAAAAAAGTTAGCCAGGTCCAGTGGCACACACCTATAGTCTCAGTTACTTGGGAGCTGAGGTGAGAGGATCACTTGAGCCCAGGAGTTCAAGGCTGCACTGAGCTATGACCATGCCACTGCATTCCAGGCTGGGTGACAGAATGAAACCATGTCTCTCAAAAAAACCATTTTTTTTTGTTTGTTTTTGAGACAGAGTCTCACTCTGTCGCTCAGGCTGGAGTGCAGTGGCGCGATCTCGGCTCACCGTAAACTCCGCCTCCCAGGTTCAAGTGATTCTCCTGCCTCAGCCTCCCGAGTAGCTGGGACTACAGGTGCATGCCACCATGCCTGGCTAATTTTTGTATTTTTAGTAGAGATGGGGTTTCGCCATGTTGGCCAGGCTGGTCTTGAACTCCTGACCTCCGGTGACCCACCTGCCTCAGCCTCCCAAAGTGCTGGGGTAACAAGTATGAGCCACTGCACTCGTCCCCAATTTTTTTTTTTTGAAGTGCCATAAGCCTCCACAACAATCAACCACTAACCACACCACAGTATCAGGTTTAAATGGTACTTCTGAGGGCCAGTGAGATAACTTGAAATATCTGAATCAGAAACTCTGAGGGTAAGGCCTGGCATCACAGGTTTTAAAACCTCTCCAGATGATTCTAAAAACGCAGCCATGAACATTAAGAACTAGCATCAGCCAATCTGCTACTTAATAAATGCCAATAGCAAGGGATACAAACTCCTGTTTCCATGGGAGCTCAGGTAACCTAATGAGAGACGCGGCTGGGCGGGGGCCGTGCAGAAGCACAGAGTATACTCATCAAGGGAGGATGGCTGGGACTTAGCTCTGGCCCATTGTGGCCACGTGGGAATTTGAGCCTGGTGGTGCCAGATCTTCCAGTTTTTCAAAAGAAGCTGTAGATCTTGATTTACTATGAAATTTCCTCAGTTTAAAATGTCAGCAAATTATTTAAAAAAAGAAATGTAAATCCTCCACAAGTCAAACAAAACACAACTATGGCCAATCTGACCCGAATGCACTGTCAGTTTGAGCCCTCTGGCTGACACTGCACAGCAGGCCTGGGCCTGAGCAGCACCCCAGGGAGGGTCCAGGGGAAGACCCCTTTTAAAGAAGACAAAACAAAATGCTAACGCAGGGCCATCTCTGTTTGGTAATATAGAAAGTAAAAACTGAAGAACAATCTGTACCCGTTTGACTTATCTGTTAACTCATGCCAAGCTGAAATGTTAACTAAAATGGCTGTGAGGCATGTGGTGTGTCTCCCCAGTTGTTTTCACTGTAGAAAAGATTTTTTTATATTAAGGCAGTTTTGAGAAGAGTTAATGAAATAATATTTACAAATCTCCTCATACGAAGCTTGGCACAGAGTAAGCATTCAAAACGTAAAAGTTTCCTCAACTGAATTTTTTATATCTTAGTTAAAATTTTGGTGGAGGTCTCTCACGCACTGTTGGTAGGCAGATGGACTTTTTTAGAAAACAATCTGGCAGTGTATACCAAGACTTTTTCCATTTCCCCTTGACCAATTTATTCCACTTCTGGAAATCAAACCTAAGGCAATAACCCACAATCACACACACTCATACACACACACACACACACACACACACCACACTCATGTACAAAGATTTTTCTGAAACATCATCTACGACACTAAACAAATGGGAAACAAACTGTATGCCAGCAATGGTTAGGTAAATTTAATGAGTAATTATTCAGGTGACAAAAATATGCTACCTTCAAAAATGATGTTTTCAAAGTTTTTTTTTCTTAATTGAAAAATAGGCAAAAGTATTTTATTTTTAGAGATGCACAGGTGGTAAAACTAGGAAGAAAAGCAAAGAAATAATTATCATAAAATGTCAAGACAATGATAACTTCAGATGAATGATGGGGTATATTTTCTTTTAAATATTTTCCATTAAAATGTTTTAAATTGTGATGAAATATACATAATATAAACTTTACCATCTTATCCATTTTTGAGTGTACAGTTTGCTAGTGTTAAGCACATCCATATTGTTGTGTAACAAATCACCAGAACTTTTTTTTTTTTTTTTTTTTGAGACAGAGTCTCCCTCTGTTGCCCAGGCTGGAGTGCAGTGGCACGATCTCGGCTCACTGCAACTTCCATCTCCCAGGTTCAAGCGATTCTCCTGCTTCAGCCTCCCAAGTAGCTGGGACTACAGGTGTGCGCAACCACACCTGGCTAATTTTTTGTATTTTTAGTAGAGATGGGTTTCACCATGTTGGCCAGGCTGGTCTTGAACTCCTGACCTCAAGTGATCTGCCCACCTCGGCCTCCCAAAGTGCTGCGATAACAGCTCTAAGCCACTGTACCCAGCCTCCAGAACCCTTTTCATTCTGTAAAATTAAAACACTATATCCATTAAACAATGCCCCATTTCCTCCTCTCTGTAGCCCCTGGCAACCACTATTCTACTTTCTGTCTCTAGGTCTTGACTACTCTATGTACTTTGTATTAGCAGAATCATATAGTATTTGTCTTTTTGTGATTGGCTTATTTCGCTTAGCATAATTTCTCCAAGATTCATCCATGTTGTGGCATATGTTGGAATTTCCTTCCTTTTCCAGGCTAAGTAATATTCTGGTGTATGTATATACCACATTTTGTTTATCCATTCATCATTCATCAATGGACACCTGAGCTGTTTCCATGTTTTAGCTATTGTGCATAATGCTGCTATGGAAACCTCTTTGAGACCCCACTCTCAAGTCTGTTGGGTATGTATTCAAAAGTGGAATTGTTGGATTAACATAGTAATTCTATTTTCAATTTTTTGAGGAAATATCATACTGTTTTCCACAGTAGCTGTATCACAAAGAGTTTGAAATAATAACAAATGCTCTCATGATACTATCGAGTGAAAAAAGGAAGGAAGCTATAACTTACATATACAGTATAGCCTTGACAAAGTTAAAAAAAAGCATAGGAAAAAAGATGAAGGAATTACATACAACTCTTAACCAATAATAGTGATTTATGGATTGTGGTAAGAATAGACTTTTACTCTCTTCCAAATTTTGTACTTGACTAATTTTCTATGATAAGCATATAGCAGCACACAACAATGAAGGGGAAAACGGTGAAAAAATTTTAGTAGGGCACATATTTATTTCTGGTTATCACATCCACTGCATGCATGCATTCATTCATTCATTTTCTTGAGACAGAGTCTTTCTCTGTTGCTCGGGTTGGAATGCAGTGGCATGATCTCAGCTCACTGAAACCTCCGCCTCCCAGGTTCAAGCGATTCTCATGCCTCAGCCTCCCAAGTAGTTGGGACTACAGGCGTGTGCCACCACTCAGCTAATTTTTTGTATTTTTAGTAGAGATTGGGTTTCACCATGTTGGCCAGGCTGGTCTCAAACTCCTGGCCTTATGTGATCCACCCACCTTGGCCTCCCAAAGTGCTAGGGTTACAGGCATGAGCCACCGCACCCAGCCCTGACTAGTCCATTTAGTTCACTAAGTTTACCAAAAGAAACACACATGCAATATATAAACATACACATACACACTTATTTTTTTCCTTTTATAACCAAAGAAGGAGAAACTAGATAGCCAAATTCACTTCTGAAAAGTTTAAGCCTAATATAATACTAATTACAACTCTTAGCCAAAGTAAATAAGCGATCTAGCTGGGACAGCTGAGCTGGAATCTGCAAGCAGCAAGGGTGGCAGGGCATGGGGCTCATGTCTGTAATCCCAGCTTACTTGGAAGACTCTGGTGGGAGGACTGCTTGAGCCCAGGAGTTCAAGTCCAGCATAGGCAACACAGCCAGACCTCATCTCTAAAACTAAAAAATAAATAAATAAATAAAAAACTTAAAAAAAAAAGTTTTTGTAATTAGCATGAGTGTCAGACTGGGTGATTCCTCTCTCATGATGCCCACTGCCATCCTTTCCAGGACAGCAGCAGATCCCTACTAGACGGCTACTCTCATTTCGTTTCTGGTCTAGGTCAGTTTAGTTTTCTTTCAGTAGTTAGTAAACTGCTTTAGACAGTAAACTGGATCAAGAAGGGAGGAGTGGAGGAAAACAGGAAGGAAAGGACTTGAAGGATTAATGAGCTGATTTCCATTAAGGCTTTGACATCCTGGAATGAAAAGCAGCCTGTAAGAGCAGAAGCCCAGTCCTTTCCTGAAGCCATGTTGCCAGCTGACCACTCATCACCAAAAATTCCCCAACAACTCCATGGCTATTGCTTAATCACCTCATATAAATCCCTATTAATCTTGCAAAGTCAAAACACAAATATAGGACAAAAGTCTTCATTTTATGTTCCCTCAATTTCAGAGTCAAAATTTAAAGACTGAATTGGTTATCCAATAGTGCCAATCAATTTTTTAAAAACTTTCTTTGAGAACAAAAGGACAAATACATATCCACTAGCATTTTTGTACTTATGGGACTGAAGAAACTCAGGCTAATGATCAAATAAATTAGGGAAGGAAAAGGGTGTCGGTGTTAAAATTTAAGGCAACATTTTTTTCTTTGCAAAAACATTAATTTTTCATAGCTTATATTCAAAAGATACAGAAAATCCTTAGTAGACTCAAAGGAACATTTATTTTTCTTTCATGTGTAAATTACCAGGGACATAAAAAAGCCTCTTCAGTAGTTGAATTTGGAATACTCTGCACTGTAATATCTTCATGGGAAAGGCAGGTGAGAAAGTAAAGACAGGGGTCTGTTCTGAGAAGGGACCGCTAGGACGAGAGGGGGTGTGTCTGAGCATGGAGTTAACTAGTATAGACAGACAACTCCCAGAACAAGAGGACCTCAGGGACAGGGCAGGCATGTGACACCGAGGCTTCATCACTTATACCCAGTTCTATAATTTGCTATTTAGGAACCTCAAAGTTATCCTGTCAATGATGTGGATAATATAGAAAAACTGATACATAGCTTTGGAATGCATTGTGCTGTCTGGCAGTATGTTTTCCTTCCAAACTCTATTTCAGGCTCTGAACACATTCTGATTAACACTTGTAAAAGTGTGCTGGGGAGCAAAAGGAAGCCTGGTGTTAGGAACCATTTACAGACCACCCACAAAGCGGAAAGTTCACACTTGGATAATAGAGAGTTGACTGTACTGGAAACAGAAAAGTGGCTGTCCTACATTCTGGGCAAGGAAGGTGGAAACCCAGTAAATTGCAGTGATTCATTCCTTTGTCTTCTAGAGCTGGAAAATCATGGAGAAAAATCAGAAGTGGGGTGGGGAGCAGAGGGAATGAGAATGGAAAGCCCAATTAGAAAACAGCAATAGGGACCACAGGACAGGTTTTAAAAGGCCAGGAGGACTTCCCTTCCTCTTAGCTGCAGAGGAAGCTGATGGCAGCTTTGTCAGCCATCTTCAGGCACTGCACAACATGAAGGTCCACTCAATGGCTGGCCTGCCGCTCCATCTCCTCCATCTCATCCAACAAGAGGTAATGGACTCAGGAAGCCAGTGGATAATGACTTTCTACGAGATGCATGAAGGAGTAGCAAGCTAAGGGGGCAGAAACTCCTTCCTTACAGCACTTTAAGAACTAGAGTGTTAGGATACTTGGGACAGTCCTGGCTAGAAGCAGGTTTCAGAGGATAATTTCTGGACAGCTCTGACTTCTTGATCCCCAGAAATAACAGGTAGGAAGAAGTGGCCTATTACCTGGCAAACAGCTGAGGGTACTGATGTGATATGTATCTTTGGGATGCTAAGAGCCACACAGAAGGCAAATGGTACTAGGCGTGGGTAAACACTTCATGGGTAAGCAACTCCTACTCTCTAAATAAAATGGAGAAAACAAGTTGGGTGCAGTGGCTCACATGCCTGTAATCCCAGCACTTTGGGAGGCCGACGCAGGTGGATCACCTGAGCTCAGGAGTTCGAGACCAGCCTGGGCAATCTGTTGAAACTCCTTCTCCACCAAAAAACCCCACAAAAATTAGCCAGGCATAGTGGCGTGTGCCTGTAGTCCCAGCTGCTCAGGGGACTGAGGCGGAGGGATCACTTCAGCCCCAGGAGGTCAAGGCTACAGTGAGCCGTGGTAGCGCCACTGCACTCTAACCTGGGTGACAGAGCATGACCCTGTCTAAAAAAAGGGAGAATAGACTAACAGACTAAAAATGAGAGGCTCCCAATAACTTTACCGGCATTTCAGACACAAGATAATTTCTCCATCAATATCCCTATCCAAAGCTATTAATGTTGAGACAATAATTGAGATACACACATCCACACATTGGGAAATCCACCGCTGGCTCCTTCACCAAAAGGTTTCTTACAGGAGCTTTCACTGTGTGGCCTGGGCATATTTCCTGAGCCCCATTCTCTGCCACTTGTGCCTTACACTTTAGGTTCCAGAGGGCTAACTTCCTTATGGTTCTGCAAACCTACAGTGCCGTTTCATATTGCTGTGTCTCTGCCTATGCCGTTACCTAAGCCTGGAATTCCCCTACCTGTGTTGGCCACTTGGCAAAATTCTGGCTCACTCTTGATGGCCAGTTTGATGTCAGCCCTCTCTCACCCCTCTTCTGGCGTAATGCTGTACCTACTACAGACATTTGTTATAATACTTAATATACCAGATGAAAATTATTTATACACGTCTTTCTCACTTCCTGGAAGTCCCTGGAGCCAGGACTAGCTCTTTTATATTTTTGTATCCCTATATCTCCTAACACAAAGGCTAGCAGGTAGCCTGTGCTCAACAATGCTTTGTTGAATTAAACTGATTTGAGAGCCTCACACAGCCCATTACTTGACTTGCCACAGAAGGTAAGAGCCCAACAAAAGTGACCAAAAGCACACTTTTTGAAAAATAAAAAAGAGAGGCTTCTACTTTAGACAGCCAATATACTTTTTTCTTTTTTTTTCAACTTGTTTGTTTCTCAAACTCTAAGCATCAGAAATTTATTTATTTTTGAAACAAGGTCTCACTCTGTCACCCAGTCTGGAGTGCAGTGGTGCAATCACAGCTCACTAGAGCCTTAAACTCCTGGGCCCAAACCATCCTCCTGCCTTAGCCTCCCAAGTAGTTGGGACTACAGGCATGCACCACCATACCTGGCTAATTTTTGTTGTTGTCGTTGTTTTGTAGAGATGGGGTCTCGTTATGTTGTCCAGGCTGTTCTTGAACTCCTGGGCTCAAGCAATCCTTCTGCCCTAGCCTCCCAAAGTGCTGGGATTACAGACATGAACCACCACACCCGGCCAATAAACTGACTCTTAATTAAATGCGTGTACTATGGCAGGAAAGGTAGTAACACTAACACATGCGCCTCTTCTGGAGCTACTCTGGTGGAACTTACAGAGGACCTACGGAGGGCCTTTGCAGTTAACACTATCCTACCACCACCAGAGTCCTGCAACACAGATTTTGAACATGGCATTACAGAGAGGACTCCCTGTATATTACATGAGAAATTCCTTTTACTCCTTCATCTTTCACACAGTAAATGTTCTAAGTTCCAGGATAAACTAACAATGGCAAGGATGAAAAATATGTTTCTATTCTTTTTTGCCTTGCTTATTCAAGCTACCTTACTACCCACCTAAGAAAGGCAACTTCCATCCCCTCTTGCTATTCACACCCTATCTGTCCCTCAGTGCCTGCTCAAGCCTACAGCAATCTCTAATCTCTGAGTTGCCACGGCACCTAAGAGTCTGTACCACATGATTTAGTCAATTACTGCCTTTCATTGTTATAATATCTAACACAGGACTGGGCACGCAGCAGGTTTCAACAAAAACAAGCTGATTGGTGGGCAGACAAAAAGCCATATTACATGCCCCTCAGTCACTTAGCAGTTTTAGAAAAATTGTCAAGAAAATATTTTTCTTTCTTTACCACAACCCAAAGTTCTAAAAGGATAAATACTCCAATAAGTTTAGAAAACTCATGCCAATGACTTTTAAAACTCCCCACAACTAGAAACAGCAATTCTCAAATGTATTCCTAACCCCTGATAACTCCTTGCTCATGTGGGATTTTAACATACCTCTTGGCCAGCCAGAGTTTGGCTTTGGTACAAACAGTGATGTCAGTCAGCTCGTGCTGGAAGTCTGAATTCGTTCCGTGTTTGGAGTCTGAGTAGGCTTGCAACAAATGAAAAACCTAAACCAAAAAAGAAAAAAAAATCCTGCTGTGAAAATATATTTTTCCTAAATGCTCAGTTCCTCCCTTTTAAGTTTCCTTAAAATGTTCCCCTCAAAGAAAACAGACACCTGCAGAATGTAGCTCTGGTCTCTTTGCAGAAAGGCATGTTGGTTTTGGAGGATGTAGCAGTGCCGAGAAACCCAAGTCCTTAATCCATACTTTGCTATGGGTTTCTCACACAATCCCCAAAACTGATGACTGTGGCCCAACAATCATCTGCCACAAGAGTTTATTAGTTACAAACAACCTATACACTGATTTCAGCAAAGAAATGCAAACATCTTTATGTTAGCTGTCGCACATGAAAATAAAATGTGCCTTTTAAAGTCAAAGTCTTAAATTTAAAGAAAAATACATTGTTTGAGAGTCTAAACTGGTTTACATGTCTGAGTTCATTAGAACAGTCGTGGCTAAAGAAGTAGGTCAAACTAATTCTTGCCTTAGCAAATACTGGGCAGTGATGTTTGTAACTATTTAGGGTTTTTTTTGTTTTTTTTTTTTAGCAGATCTTCCCTTCGATGTCAGGAGTGAATGCAGCAATGCAGACGTGCCCCACTTATACAAGGATACTCGTGTATATGCATGTATGCACGTATGTATGTACTGGATTCAGCAATGACATCCGCAAAGCCTCTGTGAGGAGTACAAATCTATAGCAGACAAAGAATAAGGACAAGGGCATAAATGAGATCTTTTGACCTTGGCTAGTGCCAAGGAGAGAAATGCAAGTCAAGAGAAATCCTTCAGTCTCCAGCCTCCTTATCTAAATCAAGAGGAAGAGGTGGGTGTGGCAAAGTAAGCATAGATAAACACACTAAGAACTCTGAAAGTCTATTTTAATAACATCTGTTTTCTTTCCCTATTATATCCTTCTCTAGAGCTGTGAATGATTCTTTCTGTGTAACCAGATTCAACGTTTTCCTCTCTTTCTCTCCTATCAACAATGGGCTGACAATAGTGAAATAATTGAGAGTTAGATACGGAAGGGGGTAATGAGAAACAGAAAAGGCCAGATAAAATCAATCCAGAGTCATCAGACCCTAAATGGGTAGACTGGCAGGTTTTACTGGGTCAGACGTCTGCAATCACCAACAACAAATACATGCCAAGCACCTTCTGTTTAGAGAATCAAAATAAATTTCTTCTAAACAGAAGTAACTGTACAGGAGAGTGCACACAAGTCCCAATGTGGAGACTGAAAATGCTTTGTCTAATAATGGATCTGTTATTTCAGAAGCAACAGATCAAATGTCATGCCTTCACCACACCCCCGCAGGGACCCAAACCACCCGACGTGGAGTCTGGAGCAATGGGTCTGGCTGGAGCTTCTGTTCTTATGTGGTGACTGCCAGAGGGAAAAAATACCTTCCTCAGCCTGAATCCCCACTGTCCTGAAAGAGCTGGCAAAGTCACTGGGCTTTGCTTTACTTTTCTCTACAGCTGCACAAAACCAACCACCAGGGCTTTTCATGGTGTCACAGGATCGCAATTAATCAGCAGACACCAGCAAAATGCATGACTTCGGAATTTACTTGTAAAGAAACCTGTGAGATTTTCAAATGCTTCTCATTTAGAAGCAATCACTTCAAAAATAACTCCTGATGGATGTTTAAACTTAGTCCTATATTTGCTCACCTTACTTGGCAAAAACAAGACTGTTTTTGAAACGCTTGGTAGCTCTGGTTTATGAAAATCAGCCTACAATTCTGTCACATTGGGTACAAACCAGACAATTGTGACCCTGGTTATTCACCAGGAATGGAGAGCGATCTATTTACACGAGACAAATGGAGAGCCAGGTACGCTGAAAAGAACTGTGGCGGAAATAAGCATGTCAAAGGGCCAGGGTCAGAGAAGTCATGGAAAAAAATGGGGCAGGGAAGGAGAGGGAGAAGAGAAGACAGGGGAAAGAGAAAGGAAAGAAAGTTTTATAAGCAATTGTATGAAACAGGTTAGTGTTTTTGAGATATTTTTCTTTAAGAAAATAAAAATATTTGAATACACAACTAACCTCATAGACATTTAGTGTGTTGGGTTCAAGAAAAATGAGACCATCCTTTGGCATGAGGTCCAGGTATAAGGCCAGGCCCTTTGAAACTAAGATTTGATCAAGGTCAGACTCAGGAGCTCCGGCAGCTCCCAAGAAGGGCAATTTGTCCACCAGCTCTTAAAGGATGGCAAGTAGCAAGGCAACTCTTTCTTCCTCACTTTCCTAAAGTTCTGGTCCCAAAGAATTCTGAGGCTAAGAAAGCAGTCAGACCCAGGCCTGTACTGAACCAAGCACAGAGAAACCAAAGCTGCCAGAACCAAGGAGGATGATTAACTGCCAACACACATGAGAACTCAGAAGTTCAGTGTCATTTTATGTGTCCTAAATTGGCAAACATTGTCAACAAATATTTATTAAACAACTCTTATTACCAGGCACTGTCCAAGGGGCTGCAGCAGAGACCAGATAGTTCCTTGCTTTCCTGTAGCTTACATTCTAGTCATGGAGACATGAAAAATCAATAGCTTTCCTGACTCTGCCTGGTCATGATTTACAACCTGCATGGCAGCATCGTCATCACTTTTGTTTGTATGCTTGACCTCCCCCTCCAACAAGTCTGATGCACTGTAGGAATTCAACAAGCATTTGCCAAATAAAAACGATGTTGGTGTTTGGTGCTTCTTCCTATATTCACTCCTTTAGGACACATTCCCTTGGGTTTTGTGAGCTATCGTAGTGCCGACTTCTGTGTCTGGAGTGGAACGGAGAGCTGAATCACGCCGTACTCCTCATCCCAGTGGATGCCTCATCTGATGGTGGAGGCAGGAAGGCTAGATTAGTGCTAAGAATCCAGCCTCATGGGAAAGTGGAAGAGCATGGATTTTGAAGCCGGGCAGAGATAGGTGTAAACCAGTTATCAGTTTTGCGGCTTTGGGCAACTTAACCTCTGTTTCTCCATGGTAAATGGCGTATAATAATATCTAACTTGTAGGACTGTAGAGAGATTTAAAAGAATATATATACTACTAGGCACGCACTAGGGAAGTGATAACAATGTTGATTCTTTTCCATGTTCTGTCTGCTCCCTCTCTTCCAGCCCCATTCCAAAAATAAACAGTCAGAGAAGACTTTGCAGAAAGAGTGATATGCATACGTGGCCTTAAAAACAGTCTTGCCAGAATCGAGGGAAGGGTATGCAAGCAGTGAAAACAATTAAAACACATTTTAAGGGTATTAAAATATTGGTAATGCCAACAAAAAGAGTGAATCTTAAACTATGGACTTTAGTTAATAATAATGTGTAAATACTGCTTCATTAATTGTAACAAATGCACCACATAAATACAAGATATTCATAGTAGGAGAAAATTGGGGGAAAGAGGTGGGGAGGAGAAAAATATTTGGGAACTTTCTGTATTACCAGTTCAATTTTTCCCTAAATCTAATGGTTCTAAAAATAGTCTCTTAATTTTTAAAAATATTGGTACTACTCAGGGGACAACAAGTGGTCCTGTGTGCGCAGAGAACAGCCAGGGTGTGCACAGGGTGGTGGCAGACACAGCTGGAGAAAGGAGTCGGGTCTAGTCAGACAAAGACCTTAAAGGCAATGTCATGGAATGTGTACTTTATTCTGCAGACGGCAAAGATTTCTTCAGAGAGTGCTGTTGGGTGATGAGATCTGTAACTTGGAGAAAAAAGCCAGGGGCAGTGTGGAGGTCATAGCAGAAGGGGTGGAATGCCCAGGACTACTGTAGTAGTCTAGACAAGAGGAGGGGAGGGTTGAAACCAGCGGCTCAAAACCAATAGCCTTTGGGCCAAAAGTGGCTGCAGATGTTTTATTTAGCCCATACAGTACTTTTAAATCAACCTTTATGAATTGGGATATTTCACATTAAAGTCATCCTGATTTCCATTTTGAAAAATTAGATCTGGCTATAGCGGCCCACCTTCCTGTAGGGCAAACAGTCACCTGGCCGGAGCTGAGCAGCAGGAGCTGGCCCCGGAGATGAGAACTGCACTCTCTAGACCACCGCTGTCACCACTATTACTATTGCCTGTTACTCTAGTCACTAAGACGGAGGGTCAATGCCATTTATCAAAGCTCTTAGGCTTTTTTGTTTGTTTGTTTTAAACTTTCGGAGAATCAAGAAAAAAATAAAATACTTACTGAACCCAAATCTCTACTAAAAGTTTGAAAACAAAGAATGGGCAGAGAGCCCCTGTGTTTATACTCATCCCCCTTTGGTTCACTTACCTGCCTGGCACGGGTAGGATTCTGATTTTGTGACATCTCCACCCCACCCCAATCTAAACTAAAACAGCAATGGAAGGAGAGGAAAGGATACATCTGAGAGAGCTTCTGCGGGCTGCAGAGGCAGGGCTTGGCAACTGCTTTAGACATGGAGTTAAGGCGCAGGAAAGAGCCTCTTAACTTGGGCAGCTGGTGAACAAGGGGCATCTTTCAAGATGGAGATTATAAGAGAATCTACAGCAGGCTTGGGAATGAGGGAGGGGAATTAATGAGTTTGGTTGGGAATATCCGTGTGATGACTGCTTTACTTAGGATAATTTATGTCGCAAAAAAGAATTCTTCAGGGACAAAAGGGAGCTCTATTAATAATCACACTGGGAAAAACAGAGGACAGATGCTTACCCCTAGCTGTAATAGGTCCCTTGGAGAAGGGTTAGAGGTGGACATAGGGGTCATCAGCACAAGAAACAGGAGAAAGCTTTGTTGCCCTAAGATGGTTATGACCCAATCAGAAAAAGACTGAAAGCACATTATGAAACAAACAAGTACAAGCCAACAGCATCATCCATGACTATCATAGGCATGGAACTGCCAAGAGATGGGACTGTCAGCCCTGCCCTGAGGAGGGGGTGGTCATGGAAGCAGCTGGGAGGAGCAGGGAATGCACTGCAGGAGGGTGTCAGTGAGTAGGCTGATTTCTTGCCCCTGAGATGCAAGCCTTAATGAAAGTTTGAGGGGAACTGAGAAGTCTGGAGAACCTGGAAGCAGTTACCCTCTGTCCCTCACCCCTCCACTCTAAACACAGAGAGACTCAGGGGAGCCCCAGGCATCTGTGCAAAGCATGGGGTCCATTTTGGCAGCTTTGAAATGCTCTTTGAATAAATGCCATGGGCCTAAAAAGAGACATGAGGCAGTTCCCTGAAAAAACTTGCACTGCACCAGTAAAATATGTCTAGTTTATGCTGCTGGACTAAAATAGCAACTTGTGTTAGACAAGATCAAGATGATATATGGTTGTTTGGGAATGCAACGCTGAGATGGGTTTTCCTCTTCACCAAGCATGGCTTCCAGGCAATTTTCCCCCTTATAAAATCAACAGCAGCTGAGCTCCAGAAACCAGCAGGATCCAGCAATAACAGGACAAGGTTAGACAGGCTATGAAAAAAGACAACTCTAATAAGAAAAGAGATGCTCATTTCAAAGGTCAGATATAAATGGGGGAAATGTATCGTAATCATTAAAAACCTCAAATTCTGAAGATTAAAAAACCTGTCCACTTTTGCAACTGTATTTTCTTAAAAGCAAATGCTATGTTTTTCCCTTGCTGCATGCAGACTGCAGGTGAATATTTTTGACCCTATCACCTTCAGCCAAGTATAAAATTTCTGTATCTGCCATTTTGCCTAGTTTTCTCCCTGCACTGCTTCAACCCCCAAAGCTAAGTCAGTGCCACATTTTCCTTAGTGTTTACACAGGATTTTATTTCGACTGGTAAAACATCTGTATTTTTTCAGGGACTTAAATAAATGATCTATGCTGGGAATGTACAGTATAGGGTGATGTCAGGCCCCCTTTTTTTCTCGACTCACTGGGTAGAACAGGCAAACATTGTTTCAGCCTGTAGTTGGGAATGTGAATATTTATCCTGTCGACTTAATTCATACAAACAGAACTGCAGGCAGGCAGGCAGAAGTATTTTATGGCTCTAGGTCAGATTGAAAGGGGGTAAAAGGGTAAAAGGGAGATGACTGAGGGAGGAATCTAAACTTTCTAATTCACAGAAACAAGCCCAATCACATCACTGCTGGGAAACAGATACAGCAAAAATTATTCAAAATGCAGATTGTGTTTGTATGTGAGTGGAGGGCAAGGTGGGAAGGCAAGAGAGAGAAAGGTCTCTAACAATACAGTATGTCATTTGCAGTCATTCCAGTGTGGGCTAGGATTTGTTTTCCGCTTCAGGCATATTAACTGAACCCCAACTAGGCCGTAGGCCTCTCAGGAGCACCCCTCTTGCCTCTGACTTCCACAATGCAGGGTGCCATGCTTACTGGGTATAAGTACCTACTTATATCATCTGTTCAGAGCTCAACATGTTGTTTTTTATTCACAGCCCAACTGGGCTAGAGCCGGAACCTTGGGATACCTGAATTCCTCAACCTGGTCATTCCCCAGAAGAAAGTGCTTGGTGGGCACTTGCTGTCCACATGAATCCACCAATCTGCTAGAGGGCCAGCCAGGAAGCATTTCATGTGGTTGCTTCCCTAAACTTCAACCTGTTTATTGGGTAAGAATACATCCTTAGGATGGTCTTGCTAAGTCCCCAAAACATGACACCTTACTGTGTTGTGTGTTGCTGCCAGGAAAAGGATGCTAAGTACAAAGTGTAATTACTTCCTAGCTGATTCTAGTTTGGGGAGAGAATCACAGGAAACAGGCCGTGAATATCTTTAAGGACTACAGTGTACAAAAACACAAAGCCTGCTGGGGACTGGAAATTCACTTTGGGCCTCAAATCCATCCCCTCCTTTCTATTAACACTCCCACTATTTTAGTTCAGGAGCAAGAAGACTTTGCACCCAGATGCTAAAAACAACTTAACTGCCTGGTCTCTGCCTCCAGCACTTATTTTACAAATGGCCAGCAAAGAAATATTCCTAAAGCCAAGCTCTGAGGACATCACTCTCAAGTTCAAAATCCATCAATGACTTTCAACCTCCTAAAGAATGTGCTGGCACTAAAGGCTCAATCTACCTTTCCAGATTTAATTTCTGTTTCCTCCACTTTACGAACCTATTCTGTGGCCACAAAGAACAATTTCCCATTCGTAACAACTTACAAATGCTTTCCTGGCCAGGACGTTCCATCATTTGTCTCCCCACCTTCTCCAACTCCACCTACTGAAATTCCATTAATAAAGTAAGGCCCAGCTTAAACGTCACCTTCCCCATAAAACTCTCCCCAGCTTTCCTCAACTACCCCCACTCCCACCCTAAAACTCACTGTTTTTCTCTTCAGTGCTCCAACATCTCCTTTAATTTGATGATTTTAAAAAACTGTTTAATCCCATCATCATGGTTATCAATCTATACTATCCTTTTCTAGAGTATAGAGCTCTTTATCTGGCAGGGAGAGGGGCTGAAAACAGAGGATTCATTGATTCGGAATTCTACCACGGTCTTGCTAGGGGTGGCAGAACAGAAGCTGCATTTGCAGCAGCAGCTGGGGTGCTAAAAGTCACCTCTGTAAACTCTGGTCACACCAAGGTGTTGGGGGAAATAGTATTGACAAGAGAGAAAGTATACATTTGTCTTGGATAATCTCTCACCTATTGTTCTAAATTCTATAAAGTAATTATGAGTTCCTTCACAGGGGAGACTTGTCAAGGGCCCCCAACAAGGGCCCCCAAGCTGTTCGTAAGGGCAAGGTTTGGACAGTGGTGTCAGATAGTCAACCTTAACCCAACATACAAATGAAGGCCTGCATATGAAGAATTTAAAATTAACTAAACACTAACATAATACCTGCTCTAACTAAAAAGCTTCTAATTTTAGAACACAGATACATTTCTGAAAATCTAGTTATAAAATTATTTGTAAAATAAATCTGTCTAAATTCTTTAGGAAGAGCTGTTTATATTTGATAATTTATCTTGCTTATATATCTGGATCTTCAACTACCGAGTTTTCTGAAAGAGAGAGTATCAAGATCAACAAGAAACTCTTAATGTAGTAAAACTTACTAATGAAAAATAATACATGGCGCAGTGGCTCATGCCTGTAATCCCAGCACTTTGGGAGGCCGAGGTAAGTGGATCACCTGATGTCAGGAGTTCGAGACCAGCCTGGCCAACATGGCGAAACCCCATCTCTACTAAAAATACAAAAATTAGCTGGGTGTGGTGGCTTGTGCCTGTAATCTCAGCTACTTGGGAGACTGAGGCAGGAGAATCACTTGAACCTGGGAGGTGGAGGTTGCGGTGAGCAGAGATCGCGCCACTGCACTCCAACCTGGGTGACAGAGTGAGACTAAAAAAAAAATAATAATAATAATAAAAAAATGCAGATGATTTGTTCAGTCAAGACAAAGTTAATTTTTTAAAATAAATTTTATTGTGTATATTTAAGGTATAGAACATGTTATGAGGAGAGGGAGAGGGGGAGAGAGAAAGAGAAAGAGAGAGAGAGGGTTACTATAGTGAAACAAATTAGCATACTCATTATTTCACATAGTAACTAGCATCCCTACCACCACCTTCCAGGGCAAGAGTGGGTTATTAACTATAGTCCTAATACTGTACTTAGATCTTTCAACTTGTTCATCCCGCGTAATTGCTACTTTGTATCCTTTGACCTACATCTGATTTCCTATCCTATACTCCAACCCTGGTAACCACTAACCATGAGTTTATTCTCCCGTTCTATATATTTGACTTTTATTATTTTTTTAAAGATTCCACATATAATTAAGATCATGCGACACTTTTCTGTGTCTGGCTTATTTCTCTCAGCAAAGTGTCCTCCTGGTCCATTCATGTAGCAAATGGCAAGATCTCCTCCTTTTTAAAGGCTGAATAATATTCTACTGCACATAATCTATCTATCTCAGTTTCTTTATTCATTCATCCATTTATGGATACCCAGGTTATTTCACTTTCTCTGGATACACACCCAGAAGCAGGATTTGCTGGGTCTTATGATGGTTCTATTTGTAATTTCTTTAGGAATCTTCACACTGTTTTCCATCATGGAGGCATCAATCTGCGTGCCCACTCACAGGATGCAAGGGTTCCCTTTTCTGCACACCCTCACCAACGCTTATCTCTTGTTTTTTGATAACAGCTATCCTAAGAGGAGTGAGGTGGCATCACATAATGGTTTTGATTTCATCTGAATGCAAATCAAATGATTAGTGATGTTGAGCACTATTTTATATACCTGTTGGACATTTTCATGTCATCTTTTTTGAGATATAAAAGAGATGGGTATTCAAGTTCGTTGCCCATTTTTAAATTGGGTTATATATTTTCCTGCTGAGTTGTATGAGTTACTCATAAATCTTAGATAATAACCCCTTATCTGATACATGGCTTGCAAATACTTTTTCCCAATCTGTAGGTTGCCTTTTTTCACATTTTATTTTATTTATTTATTGAGATGGAGTCTTGCTCTGTCGCCCATGCTGGAGTGTGGTGGCACAATCTTGGCTCACTGCAACCTCTGCCTCCCAGGTTCAAGTGATTCTACTGCCTCAGCCTCCCAAGTAGCTGGGACTACAGGCATGGGCCACCAAGCTCAGCTAATTTTTTTTTTTTTGAGATGTAGTCTCGCTCTGTTGCCCAGGCTGGAGTGCAGTGGTGCGTTCTTGGCTCACTGCAAGCTCCGCCTCCCAGGTTCACGCCATTCTCCTGCCTCAGCCTCCCGAGTAGCTAGGACTACAGGTGCCTGCCACCATGCCCGGCTAATTTTTTGTATTTTTAGTAGAGATGGGGTTTCACCGTGTTAGCCAGGCTGGTCTCAATCTCCTGACCTCGTGATCCGCCCGCCTCAGCCTACCAAAGTGCTGGGATTACAGGCGGGAGTGAGCCACTGCGCCCGGCCAATTTTTGTATTTTTAGTAGAGACAGGGTTTTGCCATGTTGACCAGGCTGGTCTTGAACTCCTGACCTCAAGTGATCCACCCGCCTTGGCCTCCCAAAGTGTTGGAATTACAGGCATGAGCCACCATGCCTGGCTACATTTTATTTTTTATGGGTATATGGTAGCTGTATATATTTATAGGGTACATAAGATATTTTGATATAGGCATACGATGTGTACTGACCATTTATCATTTCTCTGTTATGAACATTCCAATTATATTTTTAGTTATTTTTAAATGTACAATAAATTATTGTTGACTGTAGTTACCCTATTGTGCTATCACATACTAGATATTATTCATTCTATCTAATTAACTATATTTTTGTACCCATTAACTATCCCCCTTTCCTTTCCTCCCCAGCCTCTGATAACTATCATTTTACTCTCTATCTCCATGAGTTCAATTGTTTTAATTTTTGGCTCCTACAAATGAGTGAAAACATGAAATTTGTCTTTCTGTGCCTGGCTTATTTCACTTAACATGGAACCTCTAGTTCTATTTATATTTTTGCAAATGTCAGGATCTCATTCTTTTTTATGCCTGAACAGTACTGCATTGTGTATATGGACTACATTTTCTTTACCATTTGATATTGTTTGGCTGTGTCCCTACCCAAATCTCATCTTGTGGTTCCCATAAACCCATGTATTGAGGGAGGGACCCAGAGGGAGGTAATTGAATCATGGGGGTGGTTATCCTCATGCTGTTCTCATGATAGAGAGTGAGTTCTCACGAGACCTGATGGTTTTACAAGGGGTTTTTCCCCCTTTTCCTTGGCACTTCTCCTTGCTGCCACCACGAAAAGGATGTATTTGCTTCCTTTTCCGCCATGATTGTTAAGTTTCCTGAGGTCTCCTCAGCCATGCTGAACTGTGAGTCAGTTAAACCTCTTTCCTTTAAAATTACCCAGTCCTGGGTATGTCTTTATTAGCAGCTTGAGAACAAACTAATACACCATTCATCTGCTGATGGACACTTAGGCCTTAGGTTGATTCTAAATCTTGGATATTATGAACAGTGCTGTAATAAACAAGAGAGTGCAAATATCTCTTTGATATACTGATTTCCTTCCTTTTGAATATATACCTAGTAGTGGGATTGCTGGATCATATGGTATTCTAGTTTTGCTTTTTGAGGAACCTCCAAACTGTTCTCCACAGTGATTGTACTAATTTACATTCCCACCAACAGTGTACAAAGGTTCCCCTTTCTCCGTATCTTCGCCAGCACTCATTATTGCCGGTGTCTTGGTTAAAAATCATTTTAACAGAGGTAAGATAATTATAGGCTGCCTTTTCAACTTGTTTATTGTTTCCTTTGCTCGCAGAAGCTTTTTAGTTTGATATCATCCTTTTATCCATATTTGCTTTTGTAGACTGACCTTCTGGTGTGACAGCCAAGAAATCACTGCCAAGGCCAACGTCAAGGTTTCCCCTGTGTTTTCTTCTTAGAGTTTTGTATCTTAGGTCTTATGTTTACATCTTTTATCTATTTTGAGTTGACTTTTGTGTAAGGTATAAGGGTCCAATGTCATTCTTTTGCATGTGGAAATCCAGTTTTCCCAGCACCATTTACTGAAAAAACTATCCCTTTCCCACTGCAGACACAGTTAATTTTAATGCAATAAAGGAGAAGGGGAACTGATAGTGGCATAAATGAAACAAAATTAGCCATCGATTGATAATGTTTGAAGCTGAGTGATGGATACATGGGGATTCATTATATTATTTGTGTATATCTAAAAATTTCTATAATATAAAAATGTGAAAAAGATTTAGTGAGGGAGGAAGAATGGAAAGATAAAATAGCTTAGTGTATAGGACACAAAAATAACCAATATAGGAAGAGCTTATGATGTAGTGCAGAAAGTAAGATGTACATACTGAAATTTAAGACAGAAAACGGTTAAGGGCTATAAGAGAAATAGAGAACAGAAGGCCAAGAAATAAACTCATTAGAAATTCTGCACGTGGAAGCTAAGTAGATGATAAAGGTGACATTTGAACAGTAGTGAAAACATTGATTCATTCAATAAACAGTATTAAGACAATCAACCAGTCCTTTGGGAAATGATATAGTTGGATTCCTATCTAAAGCCTTAAACTAAGATAAATTCCAGACGGAGAAAAGAATCAAATGTAAAAAAGAAACTATAAAAATGCTAGAAGGGAATGAAATATGTTTCATATCATGTTTTATAATCAGCAGGTAAAAGTGTTTTTTAAAAGAATAAACAAAAAGCCATGAATAGGGGAAAATAAGATGTATAAATATGTCAACATAAAAACTGAAAACTTTTATATAGCAAAAACTACTATGAAGATTAAAAAGTAAAGGGAAACCAGGGGTAAAATATCTGCTAATTCCCCTAAGGAACAAAATTTGCAAATCAATAACAAAAATGAAAGTAACTGAATGAAATATGGCAGGAATTCTCAAACTTTCTCAATTCAAAGCACCTTTAGTACCTCACTAATTTTTTCAGGGTGCCCTAAGGCCAAAGGAAATAGCTAAGAGTTCCATTTATTAAGTAGTTAGGTCCAAACAATCCAATAAGTATTTATGCCTTAATAACTTAGTGGCTGTGTGAAAAAATAAACATAAGTTGAAAGAAAAAATATTTTCCTTTCATTCTTAAATAACCACAATTACTCACTAATGGGATGTATGTGCCTACTGGATACTTCATGGCTTCCCCAGCTTTGGACTCCACCACTCATTCTTGTTCCACATGGATTTTCTCAGGGCACTTGCTTTTTTATCACAGCAACTACCAAATGCTCAACTTTGCAAAAAGATACAGCATCATCAAAAGGAATGTAGTATGAGCTAATGCTAAAAACTATAAATTACTTTGTGCTAGTAATTCACATAATGTCTGACAGATGGCAAGTGTCACTGTGCTTATCCCTAAAATTGAAAATATCCCATGCCTTGCCACATACTTTGGGAACTGCAAGTATTTAGCAAAGAACATAAACAAACAATTCACAGATGAAATCCAAATAGCCAATAAATGTATCAGAAAATGTTTAATTTCATTAGTGTTTGATGAAGTGTAATAAAACAATGAGGGTTTTTTTTAACCTATGGATTTGGCACATACTTTTTTTTTAAAAAGAGTAAGACCCAACTGATAGATGGACAAGAAAATAAGATACTCTCAGTCATCACTGGTGGAAGTATAAATTGTCACAACCTTTTTGGAGGGTAATCAGCAGAGTCATGTTGTATACATAACATATTCTACACAAATGGTACCCAATGGAGTTGGGCAAAACCACGACTTGAAAGTCCGGCATTTGCTATCAAAATGGAAGACACGCACTTTCTTTAATTTTGTTATGCCCACTTCTAGGAGTTTATTTTACAGACAAACAGATATGAGCAAAGGTGTAGATGCTCAAGGATCATCTTCAGCAGCACTGGTTGTATGGAATAGGAAAGTTTAGAAATGACCAATACGGGACCAGTTGAAAAGAGTAAGGGATAGTCCTACATATATCCTGTCATGTACAGCCAAACTGTACAGTCATTATAAAGAAGTTGTAGATTTATATAGACTCAACTGGAAAGATCTCCAAGTCATACTGTAAAGTGAAAAAGGAAGCTGCAAAAATATTATGATCCCATTTTTATTAATGCCAAGTTGTTAATTGGGGGAGTGGGATTTTTACATTCAATGTTGTATACTTCTGTAATTTAGAAAGTTTTACAGTAGAAATGCATTACTTTTCAATTTTTTTCAAGTTTTGAAATTGTAGACTCATAGCAAATTGCAAAAACAGCATAGTCAGTGTACCTTTCACTCAGCTTCCTCCAATGGTGATACCTTATGTAACTATAGTTCTATGTCAGAACCAGAAAACTGACATAGGCACAGTATTATTAACCAGACTGCATACCTGATTCAGCTGTCACCATTTTCTACACACGTCCACTTGGTGGGGGAGGACGGTGCCATTTTATCCCATGTATGAATCTGTATAATGACTACCACAATCAAGATACAGGACTGTCCTATCACCACAAAGTACATTACTTTTAGAGTCAGAAACAATAAAAGCTAAAATATATTCTTTTTTTGTCATATATTCTCTAACTCCCTACTTATTGTGAAAATTCACATACTAATTATTGGGACAGGTAGGTGTGTGGTATTTTCACCGAGAGAGAAATCAAAGATAAGAAACTTTGACATTCCCAAGGCTCTTCCTCTCTGGTCTCCTCCTTTGACTTTTCAGTTCTGTGCCCAATGTGGCTGAAGAGCAGGTCAGAGGAGAAACCCACTGGGGGCAGAGAAGGCTGTTCATGGGGGAGATAGGTGGCAGCCTTCTTAAGAGCCAGAACTGTATCTCTAATGTTGCCTCCTCTGCAAATGAGGCCAAAAGAAATGTAAAGTTATATTAATTTGCATTTTCCAGATTTTAGAGAGGCTATAAAATTTGCCTTGTAAAGAGAGACTGGCTTTCAGAAAACTGTTTGGCACCCAGCATCTGGTAATGCACGTTACTCTGAGCTGCCCAGTGAAGGGGTTTGAGGCAACTGGACTTAACTGTACCTAAAGGCCCCAAAACCTGAGTGGGCCTGAGACAGCCTCAGGAGTTTGCTGGCTTCCAATGCACTGTGGGAACAGACAGACTCCTCTTTTAGAAAAATAAAGATGGAATTTTTTTCCCCTCTTTCGGTTGCAGCTTATTTCAAAGGTCATCAAAGTAAACAAAAGGAAAAGACTGTGAATCTTTAAAAGTCAAAAAGTGACAACTGTTTACAAAGTGGCTGTTTATAAGGGAAAAAATGATTCCTCTAAGCCCCTAGGAATGGAGATTTGGGTGGTTGCCCTTCCCCCTCCATCTAGTTTGTTTGTTCATTTGCCACTCAAAATCTCCAGCAGTGAGGTCCAGGAACATCTGTTGCATCCATTTTATGCATAATTATTAAAGTCTACTAGACAGCTGGTGTTTGTGGAATAAACCAGGCAGTGTCTTAAGCAAAAGCCTCTGTAGCCCTTATTGATAACTATGCCTCCCACAGTCCTGCAATTATGTGTAATAACCAAAGTCATAGAGAAAGGATGCAGTAAGGCCTCTCCAAATCTTGAGCCCCATTTCCTAAGAGGGCACCTTTGTTCAGAGAATGGTGATTCTGTGAGATCTAACTGAACCAAGGGGCCTGTGATATCAGTCCTTATGAGCCTCCTCGGATCCCTGAGAGTCATCAAAAAACCTTTTCATGGCTGGGTGTGGTGGCTCATGCCGGTAATCCCAGGACTTTGGGAGGCTGAGGCGGGCAGATCACTTGAGGTCAGGAGTTTGAGACCAGCCTGGTCAACATGGTGAAACCCCGTCTCTACTAAAAATACAAAAATTAGCCAGGCATGCTGGCGGGTGCCTGTAATCCCAGCTTCTTGAGAGGCTGAGGCAGAAGAATTGCTTGAACCTGGGAGGCGGAGGTTGCAGTGAGCGAAGATTGCGCCACTGCACTCCAGCCTAGGTGATGGAGCAAGACTAAAAACAAACCAACAAACAAACAAAACCAAACAACCCCTTTTACTCTTAGGCATTTTCTTGGCTGATCTGACAATAAACTCTGGACAATCATCATGGATAAGCTGTTAACTGGATTTTTTTTTTTTTCTTTTTAAGAGATGGCATCTCCCTGTGTTGCCCAGGCTGGACTCAAACTCCTAGGCTCAAGGGATCCTCCTTCCTCAGCTTCCCAAGTAGTTGGGACTACAGGCATGTGCTACTGGCCCCAGCTCCAACGGGCTTTTTTTTTTTTCTATTATTAGATATATTCCAAGATAATGAGATGTAGGTGGTATTAAAATAATCAACCTAAAAGGTACCTTCTAACATGGTGTGCTGGGCAAATTAATCAAAGTGCAATTATCAGTCTATTACAAAGATTTCATATTATTTCTACTCATCCATTCAGGCTCAGCTCACCAATTTCCTTTGCAAAGTTCTCTCTGACAATTCCAGGTCATGGCAATCATTCCATCCTCTCATGCCATAGCACTTATCTGAACCACTCATTTGGCACCTAGGATATGTTATCTTAATTACTATGTATCTTTTTATGTAAACCATGTCGTTTTATCTCCTATAGAGCCTTGCTGGAGTGCAAACGTTTGTTGATTTGATTTGAAATTTAAGGCAATTACCATGTGGGCTGAGATAAACAGTACTTGTAAGGCAACAGTTAACTCAACAGTGAAAGTAAACAGCAAGACTGCTTGCAAATGGTTTGGCATACAAAGTAAGATGACCAATGACTACAGGTCCTCAAGACTGGAATATGTTTGTGTCGTGGGCCACCAGCCTTTTAAGTCCTAGCCTACTGACATGTCAGGTTATTTACATGTTCATCTTTCCCCAAGCTCATCTTGAGGAAACTAATAATCTTCCTTCTAAACCTACTTCAGCTCAAACACTGATGCCACTATGAAACCATTCCCAGGAACTGTTAAGTTTATTTGTTGAGTCGATAGCTGAATGAAACAATGACTCTCTCTAAGCAACCAGTCACCCACCCATCTGTCCATAAACCATTTTGGCCTTTCCCTTTCACTATATTGCTGGAAGGCTATGAGGATCGTTTGGGAAAGTTCAAAGAGAAGTTGTTATGGATTTTCCACCTAAAGAAGTCCTTTTAGCCAATTATTGGGACTGAGGACAGTGGGACAACAGGATATTTCTCTTGGTGCTCACTAGACTCATACTAATACTAGACTGATACTTTAATCCTCAGGCTAGGAGTTCTAAACGTGGAATGAGTTCATCCCCAGGAGACATCTGACAATATCTACAACATTTTTAGTTGTCACAACTGAAAGGGGGTGCTACCAGCATCTACCACAACTGAAAGGGGGTGCTACCAGCATCTACCACAACTGAAAGGGGGTGCTACCAGTAGACAGAGGCCAGGGACGCTGCTAAACATCCTACAAGGCACAGGACAACTTCTTACAACCAAGAATCCAGCCCAAAATGTCAATTGTGCTGAGGGTGAGAAACCCTGGCCTACTATCATATCACGGGCTTTGTAGTCAAGACATAGCTGGTAGCCTTAGAAAATTATTTAATCTCTTTGAGTCCTAAGTTCCTCATCTATAAAATAAAGCTAATAATACAACTCCTCTCATATCCCATGAGGTTGCCATGAAGTCTAAAAGATAATTGATGTACAAAGTGCTTTGTAATTTCTCTTTAAAAAATTAGTCACTCTTATTAATGAATGGCATAGCCTACATGTGGTTTCAATTCTGTGGTGCAACTGACGGCATCTCTCAGTGCTGATGTGAAAAGGAGACTCACTTCACTCCTCTCCAGCCATCTGGTTCTCCTGTTCTCCTAGCTCTGCATTATCAGTAGCTTTCTTGACTCCTCTGTGCTTCCTGCTTATGTTCTTTTTTGGCAGGTGTTTTGACTTGACCACTGGACTTCTGCCTTTGGCAGTATCGTTCCTTGGCACTATTTTTCTTAGTGGTCTGTGGTGATTGTCCCAGAAACTGTGCTTTCTGACGAATCATCTTACTACAGCTCATCACAATGACAAATGTATGGCAAGGATAAATTATGATTATCCCTCAGGTGCTTTAAGAAATACATTATTTGTTATCAAGGTTGCCCTTTTTATCATAAGTTAAATTTTCTGTATTTGTGATGTACATCTAAGAATAAGTTGTACCACTCAGTGTCTTAGAAAAAAATAATCTGGTGACCCTTGAAGGTATTAACTCTATTAGTTATGACCCTCAAGAGGTTTATTCTTGATATTCTTTCCAACTGAGACTGCTCCATAAATTCACATATCCAGAGGTATAATTTCTAGCCCTTTTGGACTGCTCTGAGAGAGGAAAACTCTTTAAAATAGGCTAAGAAAGCACATTCTTATTTTCTTTAGTATTTCCCAAATGACCCAAATCAGGTAACACTGGAACAAATACTTTAGCTCCCAACGTAGGTCATTTCCTGGGTGAATCTGGCCAGTTTGCTTTTACCTTATTCAAAGGAAGCAAAGCGTCTTTCCTGTGTGTATTAGTCTCACAAAATAGATATCTGGATGTTCACATAATGAAGCATGATGATCTTACATTTGCAGTCCTACTTCAAAGGGTATGAATTATGGGTGCATGTGTTTAAAATTCCATAATTTTTGATTTACAAGAAAAGGCAATACACAGTCACATATTATTTAATGACAGGCATACATTCTGAGAAACGTGTTGTTAGGCGATTTCATCATGTTACTGTACTGAATACGGTAGACAACTATAACACAATGGTAAGTATTTGTGTATCTAAACATAGAAAAGGTATGGTAAAAATATGCTATTAATATAAAGGATTTTAAACGGTGCACCTGTATAGAGCACTCATCATGAGTGGAGCTTGCAGGACTAGAAGTTGCTCTGGGTGAGTCAGTGAGTGAGTGGTGAGTGAATGTGAAGGCCTAGGACATCATTGTACACCACCGTAGACTTTACGAATACTGTATACTTAGGCTACACTAAATGTATTTTAAAAATTTTCTTCAATAATACATTAACCTTAGTTTGCTCTAACATTTTTACCTTATCAACTTTAAATTTTTAAAAACTGTTTGTTTTGTAATAACACAGCTTAAAATGCAAACACCTGTGCAGCTATAAAAAATAATTTCTTTATATCCTTATTTTTTAAGCTTTTTCCTATTTTTTCTATTTTAAATTTTATGTTTTTACTTTTTTAACTTTTTTGCTAAAAACTAAGACACAAACACACACATTAGCCCAGGACTACACAGGGTCAGGATCATCAAAATCACCATCTTCCACTTCCACATCCTGGTCCACTGGAAAGTCTTCAGAGGCAATAACACGCATGGAGCAGTCACCGTATATAATCACAATGCCTGAGACTGTTTTACAGTTAACAATTTTTTAGGTAGTCACCTCCTATGATAACAATGCCTAAATCAGGAATATACTCTAAAGTAACAATAAAAAGCATAGTAAATACATAAACCAGGAACATAGTCATCTGCTGTCATTATCGAGTATTATGTGTTGTATATAATTATATGTGCTATACTTTTATTTGACTGGCAGCGGAACAGGTTTGTTTACACCAGCATCACCACAAACACATGAGTAATGCATTGTGCTACATCATTAGGCAATAAAAATTTTTTAGCCCCATTATAATCTTATGGGACCACTGTCACATATGCAGTCTGTGGTTGACTGAAATGCTGTTATGTGATGCATGACCGTAGTTAATCCCAATCTTCTTGAAATTAATGGTGAACTCTATGTAGAACGAATCATATCTCCATAACAGGGAGTTTCCTGGCTATCATGAAAACTTTGTTTATTCAAAAGCCTTTGAAGTGGCAGAAGAGAAAGAGGGAGATTTCTCATCTGATCCAGAGGGATGTCTTCAACTTTGGTTATCACTGGTCATTTTTATTATTGGAAAAACAAATGGAAAGACTGAGTTCAGCTTAGCATTATGAGGAAGTGAGCAAGATACCCACCAACAGGAGTAGTTCATGAGTCTGTGGAGCAGTGGCATTTACCCTTATGGAAATAACACACAGTTCCTGAGGATGAGAAAGCAGTCTCCAAACACGAGGATTCGTTCTAGTATTTAAATAAGCCAGCCACTCGGGAGGCTGAGGTGGAAGGATCACTTGTACCCAGGAGTTCAAAGCTGCAGTGAGCCATGATGGCACCATTGCACTCAAGCCTCATAGAGCAAGATCTTCTCTCTATAAAAATAAAAAAATTAGGCCAGGCATGGTGGCTCACACCTGTAATCCCAGGACTTTGGGAGGCCAAGGCGGGCAGATTGCTTGAGCTCACAAGTTGGAGACCAGCCTGGGCAACATGGTGAAACCCTGTTATCTACCAAAATTACAAAAAATTATATGGGTGTGACGGTGTGCACCTTTAGTTCCAGCTACCAGGGAGGCTGAGGAGGGAGGATGGCTCGAGCTGGGGAGGCAAAGGATGCAGTGAGCCGAGATCTGCTGCTGCACTCCAGCCTGTGCAACAGGACCAGACCTTGTCTCAAAAATAAAAGAAAATAAAATAGAAAATAAAAAAATTTTAAAAGCTGTTTAGGTAATATGACAGACTTGAAGGGCCAGCACTGCTATTAAAATTGACTTCTCCTAACTCAAATGTATTACTCTAAAACGATTTTTCAACCCCAGCACTACTAACGTTCCCCAAATGTTAGTTCTTTGTTGTCAGGTAATTCTTTGCTGTGGGAGTTGTCCTGCATGCTACAGGATGTTTCCTAGCCCTTAGCTTCTACCCATCTTATGCTGACAGCACACCACCAGTAGTGACAACCAATGGTATCTTCAGACATTGCCAATGCCCCCGTGGAGAAAAATGGCTCACAATGGAGAATCACTGCACTAGGCATTCTATTATATATACTGACACCATGTACTGCATTTACTTTTGGGAGATGACAGTTAGTATAGTCTACATCCTTATGACGCGCCTGACTTGTTTATTCACTCAGCAAATGTTTGTTGACATCTGCTTATATGCCTTCCAAGTAGAATGAACAGCACATATCAAGGCCCTAGGGCAGGACAAGGCCTGGTTATTAGAGGAAGGTCCATGGAGTTAGAGATGAATGAAAGGAGGAAAGCAGCATGAGATGAGGTTGGAGAGGTAGGCTGGGTCAGGTCATTTTGGTGTTTATAAGCAACTGTAAGAGATTTAGATTATTGTAATTGTGATGGTAACTGACTAATGGGTTTTAAGTAGGGAATTAAGTTAATCTCATCTTTTTTTTTTTTTTTTTGAGACGGAGTTTCGCTCTTGTTGCCCAGGCTGGAGTGCGGTGGCATGATCTCTGCTGACTGCAACCTCCGCCTCCCGAGTAGCTGGGATTACAGGCATGCACCACTATGCCTGGCTAATTTTGTATTTTTAGTAGAGATGGGGTTTCACCATGTTGGCCAGGCTGGTTTCGAACTCCTGACCTCAGGTGATCCACCCGCCTTGGCCTCCCAATGTGTTGGGATTACAGGTGTGAGCCACTGCGCCTGGCCTCATCTGTGTTTTTAAAAGATCCTTCTCCCTATATAGAGTACAGATTAAAGGGCGCAAGAATATACGCAGATTCGGTGGCTTACACCTATAATCCCTGCACTTTGGAAGGCTGAGGCAGGCAGATCACTTGAGGTCACGAGTTTGAGACCAGCGTGGCCAATAGAGTGAAACCCCGTCTCCACTAAAAATACAAAAATTAGCTGGGCGTGGTGGCAGGCGCCTGTAGTCCCAGCTACTAGGGAGGCTGAGGCAGGAGAATTACTCAAACCTGGGAGGTGGAGGCTGCAGCGAGCTGAGATCACGCCACCGCACTCCAGCCCAGGTGACAGAGCAAGACTCTGACACACACACACACACACACACACACACACACGCACAAAATGCAGACAGGTCAGATATGAGGCAAATGCAGTTGTCCAAGCAAAAGATGAGGCTGGCTTGCACAAGGATAGCAGTGTAGAGAATAAGGGTACAGAAGTAGATGATACCAGTAGATTAGAAGGCAAGTTAAAAAAAAGGTGGGTTCCTTGATCCCCAGGTTCCTCTTGAGAAACTGGGTGAATGGTAGTCTCATTTGCTGAAGATGGAAAGGCCAGGACTGTGGATAGGCCAGGGGGTAAAATTAAGAGTTTATAATTGCTCAGATGGGAAGACACTGTCTCCCAATCTAATGAGGGGTGCAAGGGAGATAATCTCAACTTCCTAGAAGTTTATGATTTATTTGAGGCAATAACATATAATATGTGGGAGCAGGGTCTAAAGCAAGTGACTAACGTGAATATTGTGTACAGTAAAAAATGACCCTTGAATTATGTTGAGCATAGAGATACTAAAGAGACAGTATCTTTGTGTCACCACTAAACAGTGGGACACCATTTCACTGTTCACTGCAGGGCAGGTGCTTATTGAGAAAAAGGCAACATTTGAATTGCTAATAGTTTCTCTCTCTTTTATTTCTTAACTTGGCACATACATATTTAGCAAGTTAAATGGGTTCTATGCAATGAAATGAAATTAATTTCACTTAAAAAGTAAAATACCGACCAATAAAAATTACTGTCTAATGAACTGTACACAGATGCATAGGGATTCAGTCAATTAAAGACCTAAGTAAGGTGGAGTGAAGAAGAAAAAGCTCACTGTCTGAAGAATGTGGAGTTTTCACAGGAAGAGGTCACAGATAAAGAGGTCAGAGTGATCTATGATCACCTTGATCTCCAATCTCCAATTTCTCAGATCTTAAAAACAATTCAGTGAAAAAAGCAGAATATTTAACTGCTTCAAAAGGATCGAGATATGAAGGTGGGGAAGAGAGGAGGAGGTAGCCAAAACACAGTGGAGGAATATAAATAGGAAAGCAAAAGTTTACATACAACATTTCTTAATAGTGGAGGAAACCTAGGCCAACAAGCAAATCAGCAAGGTTCCCAATGAAGTTACCATCTAAGTAAAACAAAAAATCAAGATTCCCTACATTTTTATGGAAAACAGTATGGTAGCTCCTCAAAACATTAAAAATTGATTACCAAGTAACCTTGCAATACTACATCTAGGGATATATCCCAAAGAATTGAAAGTAGGGTCTCAAAGAGATATTTGTACAGCCATGTTCAATGTACAGCATTGATCATGTACAGCAGATTGTACAGCCATGTTCAATGTACAGCAAATAATGTACAGCAGCATTATTCACAATAGCCAAAGGCGGAAGTAAATCAAAAGTTCACTGACAGAAGAATAAACAAAATATGGTATATCATGCAAAGGAATATTATTCAGCATTAAAAAGAAAATTCTGACACATGCCAAAACACAGATGAACCTTGAGACATAATACAAAGTGAAGCTAGTCACAAAAAAGATAAATACTGTATGATTTCCCTTATATGAGGTACCAAAGTAGTCAAACTCACAGACACAAGAAAATAGAATGGTAGTTGCTAGGGGCTGAGAGAAAGGAGAAATAGGGCGCTGTTGTTTAATGGGTATAGAGTTTCAGTTCTGCAAGATGAAAATGTTCTGGAGACTGGCTGCACAACAATGTGACCACACAACATTACTAAACTGTGCACTTAAAAATGGTTAAGATAGTAAATTTTATGTTATGTGTCTTTTTTTAAAAAAATTTAATTAAAAAATTCCCTACACTCAAGTCAGTATTATTCAATATTGTAGACTGTATTCAGTAATATTTTTGGGTCATGTTTTGAATTTTCTGACTACAGGATTCTTCATCTATTAAAAAGCCTTGTGGGTGAACTACACGTTTACCTAACATTACCAACTGGTATTGTGAGCCTGCATTAATTAAATGTTCTGAGAAATCCACTTTGACTTCTTTTAATCCTTTATCAAAACAAAAAACAAAAATCTAGCAACAGGTGCTGATTTGAAATACCAAGGTCTGTCATTAGAGGCAAGGTACAAGATTGTAGTAACTGTGGGGAAAGGAACAATTATTGAGTGACGCTGCAACAATGGGATGGTAAAGACCTACTTTACCACTTTTCTAAAGTTCACTGCTTTTCCAGTCTCTCTACTGTTATGTTGGAGAGAAAAAAGCCCACAGACCAAAATCCTAGGCAAAGTTTAATTTTTAAAAACACTTTCTGGCCAGGAGCGGTGGCTCACGCCTGTAATCCCAGCACTTCGGGAGGCCAAGGTGGGTGGATCACGAGGTCAAGAGATCGAGACCATCCTGGCCAATATGGTGAAACCCTGTCTCTACTAAAAATACAAAAAATTAGCCAGGCGTGGTGGCAAGCACCTGTAATCCCAGCTACTTGGGAGGCTGAGGCAGGAGAATCACTTGAACCCGGGACGCAGAGGTTGCAGTGAGCCGAGATCACGCCATTGCACTCCAGCCTGGGCAAAAAGAGCAAAACTCTATCTCACAAAAACAAACAAACAAAGAAACAAACAAACAAAAACACCTTTCTCCATTGCAGACTACTTTAAAAAGTAGGCTTACCAGAAAAGATATGGTTAAGATGTGGATAATAATTATCAGTGTGTCATCTATCAGTCATCTTAAGGAGGTACAAAAGTTCATTTTATATCATATACTTGTGCTGAACCATCAACTTTACTTGCCATACAAATCTAGTTTCTCTTTGCTCAAAGCTAAAAGCCCTCTCAACATCGTTAGCCCCTTATCTTCATCATCTCCACTCCATACCACTTTGTTTTGAAAGAGGGTCTTGCTCTGTCGCCCGGGCTGGAGTGCAGTGGTGTGATCATAGCTCACTGCAGCCTTGATCTCCTGGACTCAAGTGATCCTCCCACCTCAGCCTCCCCAGTAGCTGGAACTGCAGGTGTGTGCCAGCCACCATGTCCGGCTATTTTTTTTTTTTGTGGAGACAGGGTCTCACTATGTTTCCCAGGTTGGTCTGGAACTCCTGGCCTCAAGTGATCCTCTTGTCTCAGGCTCCCAAAGTGCTGCTGGGGTTAAAGGCATGAGTCACTGTGCTCGGCCCACAGCACTTTTTAAATCTGTTGATAACTTCCTTTTAATTTACCTATACTGAAACCCACTTAAAATTTAACAATTAGACTCACCACCTCAACTCAAACATAGTTTTTTCTCTTCTCCAGTCCCCCAACATCTATCCAACCTAACATCACAAGTTAGAAAACCTACTGGCTCAAATTCTCTGACTTTTTTCTCTAGTTCACTGTCTATAGCAATGACACCTCTCCTAACACTAGCTTTCAAGCTGTAAAACTGAAGTAGTACCACCACCCTGCCCCTATCTTTTAGGATGAGGATGTCATGAGGCCCAAGAGTTTACACATACTGCTGACCTACTTGATCTTCATAAGATGTATCACGTGCAACTAAAATTATTATTGTTATCTCTGCCCTCGTTTCCCACAACTCTTACTTCATGCCCCTTGATCTTGACCACCAAACATTGTTACTAAATTGCTCAGTCTCCTGCTTCCTTCAGTCCTGCCTTTGAGCAGTCTTGGAAGAGTCTCCCGTTGTGTCTGCCAAGCTAATACCATGAGCTATTTCAAATGTGTCCTCCTTACTCATGTCTTCCTGCCCACTTCTCCACATGAATGACCAGGATCACCCTTCCTAGAGTGGAACAAGTGATAAAATGAAATCCAGAACACCTTTTGTCCATTAAATATTTGAGCTTAGAAATTTCAGGGTTTTCTTAGTGCTCTTCATGGTCCTTTAATCTCAAAAGCAGATTACTTTGTGACATATAATATCTATCACTTGGGGGATACACCTTCTTATCCTTTAGATCTAAAAACAATAACTTATCTCTTATATTAACTAGGTTTTGTACATTACGTCCCTCTCTTCCACACTTAAACCAGTATTTTTCAAGTTTGTCTGATCACAAGAATCAGTTAGGTTGCTCATTAAGAAGGCAGATTCTGAGGTCCTACCTCAGGCCTTCATGACCAAAATCTCCAGGACAGGCACTTGGGAATCCATATCCTCATCAGTGCCCCAAGTTACTCTCATGTCAGGTAAAGCTGGGAAACACTGACAGCCTATAAAATCTTCCTGTTTTTGTCAGTGTCCTAACAACCAGAGATCTGAAGACATATAGCCAAATGACTTAACTCTTTAGAATTTAGTCATGAAATTTCTACATCCTCCAGCCATGCTGTGAGTATGGACTGAAAATTAATTTGGACTTAAAATTAACACTATGTGATTCTTGTACTCCAATGTTTCTACTTCAGGTTTGTTGGTTGTGTCTCCCCAACCATGCTGTAAGATCCCAGTGAAGAATTTATACTGCTTTACATCCATTCAGTGCTTAATTAGCACAGTACTGAGCATTTAATTGAAACTCAATGAAAACCTTACTGATTAATCAGTAAAGCCACCACTCAGTTCAAAAAAACTCCACGTCTTAAAGCCTACCTGAATAGCACTGAATCCTTCCCACACCATCAGTTAATGAGGAGAATGAGAATGCAAACTTAGGGTTTGCCTCTTGGCCTGAAAGAGCAAAGCAATTATTTGGCGATTTGGCCAGATTTCTAGAAACTTTTGTTATACTTTGACTGCCTAGATTTCTCATAATAGAGTCAACTTCCTTTCATCCCTCATGGATTACTGCTTTGACCCTGTGTTCTTTCCACCATCATGCTGGAGAGATCTCAGAGTTAATGATTTGCATCTGATAGTGCACCATAAAAATTCAAGTGGCAGGCCGCTTTCGGGAAAGGACATACAGCAACACCGTTCTCACAAACAAACAGAAGTTTCATGTTGAACACTGCAAATGTTCAAGGATGCTTATTTGAAAACATTTGAAACATAAAGATCATTCTAGATTAAAATATAAATTATATAAAACAGAATGGAATATAGGCCCCTTTCTAAAACAGTGGAAGATCATCACTTATATAATATCCAAAAAAATAAAGTTAAGCAAATGATAGGAAGCTAATTTACTCAAGAAGTTAATACTGAACACAAAAGTTTCAACAAGGGTGTATCACAGCTATGTTCAATATTACATTTTTCTAAAGGATGAAACTACTCTCTGTGAAATAAAAAGCTTCAAATGTAAGTAATGAATGGTCTGAATAATGAGATTCATCCCTGAAACTCAGTAGATTTCAAAATCAATGCACAGGGGCAAGGCTATTTATAAACTCTACTTCCCATCAACCTCAGCAAGATGTCAACTAACAATAACAAGTTAATGTTTTCCAGTAATCTTCACTGTGCTATTTAATTGCCAGCACTCAGGCCAAGGTAAACTCCACAGTAACAAAAGAGCTAACATCACAATCAAAGAACAAGATTAATGAATATTACATTTCTGCTTTGAAGTGAACACTGAAAAACATGCCCACAACATTTTCTTTTTCAGCCTCTGGAGTTTGAGTTGTGCCAAATAATTAACATAGTAACTTGAAGGTAGATTTTTATATTTATTCTATTTTTAATTAACCATAAGCTTCAGTCCTTGGGGAACCTTTTTAGATAAAGAATATCCTCTTCATAGTACTATGAAGTATATAATTCCTTAAATTATCAAATATAATTCTTAAACTCTGACCACCACTCCTAATGCAAAAATTTTTTAAAAGTAGCAATACAACTTGAAGTTCCAAATCTGAAATGTATAGCTTGATGAGTTTTTACATATGTCTAATGACATATTATAACATTCTTTTGCAATGGTGGTTAAATGGTAGAATTTCTACACTGATTAGAATGTTAATAGTAGATACTGATTTTTCATAATATAAGAAAGAGCAATGCTCAGTTTTTGTTGAGAGGGGAATGAACTTTCACAAGTAAATTGTCTCTTTATGTTAAACAATATTCAGTAAGAAAGTGCTCTTATAAAAATAAAGACAAAGAAAAAAAACAAAACATGCATTCTTTTCTTTTTCACAAAGGGGAGAGATCACTGACTTGATTTTCAAACTCTTTGATTCTTTTGTTAACTCACCCCTGAATGCATCAACTCCTTGGCAAACAAAATAAATTAAACCTTCACAGTTTCTTCAACTAAAACTATTTTGCTGTCCATGGACTGAATTACTTTGGTCTGTTTGCCAAACCTCCACACGCAATTTGGCCACTTAATTGCTTAGAGGGTCCGCTATTTCCCTTTTCTGGTGCACTAAAAAAAAAAATCACTTGCCATTTTAGCAGCTAGGTTTATGTGCTAACTTTCCCCACTGTTTAAATATCTACTCCCCAAGTCAGTGATGGATTATAAAACCCAGGCCCCAGGATATTCACCTCATGCTGGATTTCTGATGGTTGGGATAACTCGTTCCTGGGCGTTGAGTTTTTGTCATCATTCATCCAAACATATTCTCCCATCTTTGGGCTGCCTGTTGTCACCTCCTCACAATATAAACTTCTTTCTTAGTAGTCTCCAAAGACTGTGTGGTCAGCTAAACAATTTTTAAACATCAGTGGCAAATGTCTAAGAACGTGCATACAACAAACTAACTGGGAAAAGACTAATCTGAACACACGAGAAATCTATTCAAACAAAAAATAAGTTTTAAAGAGCTGCTAGTTTTATTACTTAAATATGATGAGTAATGTGAACTAAAACACACAAGTACTGTTTCTGTTCTGAACCTGATACATTCAGAGGACACATTAATAATAAACATCACGGAGGAAGGTACATTTTTGTAGTACATGTGTCAGAATTACACAAATAAAACAAAACCCTAAAATAGTGAAATTCAAATTAATGAGATTTCTTCTTTATTCTAGAAAAATCTCACTCTTTTTTAATGATGAAGTGACAGGTGAAGTGGCCATTAAACTTGGAGTTCTAGGGTCAGGAGTTTCTAACCCCTCTGGGAACTTTGCATTGCAGAGTGTGAAGGTCCTCAAATCCCCACCCACTCAACACAGCCAACAGAGGGGGTTTCTACAACATGAGTTTTCTTGTTCTGCTATGCAGCATGCCTGTTTCATGTCACCAAAAAGGAAACAGGCCATATAAACTGCATTTCAAAGTGGCTCGACTTCCATTGTGACAAGTGTAGAGCATTAGTCTAATAAGTATTTATTTATTTTTTGAGACAGATTCTCACTCTGTCACTTAGGCTACAGTGCAGTGGCGCGGTCTCAATCTCCGCAGTAGCTGGGGTTACAGGTGTGCGCCACCACACCTTCGCTAATTTTTTGTATCTTTAGTAGAGACGAGGTTTCACTATGTTAGCCAGGCTGCTCTTGGACTCCTGGCCTCAAGTGATCTGCCCAAAGTGCAGGGATTACAGGCATGAGCCACCACGCCCAGCCAAGTCTAGTAAGTATTTAAACTCTCCATTGGAATACCCCCCCAAAAAACTTATTTCTAATGCTACCAATAGGAAAACAAAGAGGAAAAAAAGAAAAGAAAATACTATCACCATCACACCCTTTGAATTACTCAAAAACAGCATTACTCTTATTCATTCATTTAACAAACATGTATTGGGTGTTTAAGGTTAAATGTTAGGGGAGTGTACAAAATAATGACAAGTTTACATGTTTATTTAAAATACAATATATAACACACAGTTTAAATCATAAATGATGTTCAAGAATTAAAACAAAAAGCCCAACATTTTCACTATCTCTATGAAAACTGTCAACTTTAAAAGACTACTAGAACTGCTTATTCTCTTGATGCAAGTTATTATTGGCATCCAATAATTTCTATTTTCTGTCTAAAATAATTTGTGTTAGTACATGACTAGGTTCTCTTAAGGAAAAAAATTAATAGCTTGTAATAAATCTCAGTTGTTAACTTTTTTTTTTTTGAGACAGGGTCTCACTCTGTCTCCCAGGCTTGGAGTACAGTGGCACGATTTTGGCTCACTGCAACCTCCACCTCCCGGGTTCAAGCGATTCTCCTACCTCAGCCTCCCAAGTAGCTGGGATTACAGGTGCACACCATCAGGCCTGGCTAATTTTTGTATTTTTAGTAGAGATGGGGTTTCACCATGTTGGCCAGGCTGGTCTCGAACTCCTTGGCCTCATGTGATCTGTCCACCTCGGCCTCCCAAAGTGCTAGGATTACAGGCATGAGCCAATGAGCCTGCCCAAGTCTAATAAGTATTTAAACTCTCTATTGGAATACACCAGGAAAACTCATTTCTAATATTACCAACAGATGTTCTTTGTATTGATCACAACATCTTTCTAGTTCCCTTATTAATTAATGAGTTAAATAAAATCTTACATGCATGTTCATTTTATATTTGCCTGAGAGTGATTTTACCTTTATGAAATTATACTTTAACAATGTCAGTTTTCCCCAAATTGCTTGACAGATGCAACACAATCTCAATCAAAAAACATTTCATTGATCCTTACTATTTATTGTTGCACATCAATTTTGGAATTTTGGAATTACACTATCAAGTGAAAGTTTAAAAAGTTAAAATTTTTATTGGACATGCATTAAGCCTATGTTTGGAGAAAACTGACATCTTTATAATATTCAGCCCAATCAAAAACATGTAATATTCTTGGGGAAAGCCCAAGAGAATCAACGGAAAACATATTAGTGCACAAAAGATCTTTACAAATAATACAGCAAATGAGAGTTAGGTGACACGGTACAGTATGGTACTGAAGTTAGGAATACAGGTTCTGAACTCTGGATCTGCCACTTTCTAGCTATATGAGCCTCAGTTTCTTCACTGTAAAATAGTATTCACTTTCTAGAACCGTTATGAGGATTCAATCAGCAAATATATGTAAGTGCATCTAAGTGTTTGACCCAGAGTTAGTGCAATAGAAGTGAGGACTAATAGTATTATTACAAAGCAAATATACAGAAGTCAATCATTTTCAAAAGTAAAATAGCACTATCAAAAGATATAACCAATAAAAGTACCCACTGATAACAGCAATAAGAAATATTTTTAAAATGCATTCTATACGAAGGAACCTTTAAAATGTAATGCTGTTGATGACATATAAGGATACAAACAAATGGAATGGCATAAACCACTAAATAACACATAATTAAATATGTTATATATAGTTAATAAGTTAACATATTAGTTTAGTGTGATCCTAATTTTAAAAATGACAATAAAAGGTAGGCGACTATACAAATTGATTTAAAGTTCATAAAATATTGAAAAAATAATACTGAAGGGGAATTAGTCTACACCAAATTGTAAAACACATATTGTAAAGCTACTATGAGCAACTGGTGTATGAATAAACAAATTGTTCAAAGGAAAAGACCAAAAATCTGGAAAATAAGAGCAACTATATACTGAAACTCAGTGTATGACAAAGACAGCTTTCAGTCTGGGGAGGTAAGATTTATTTTCTAATAAATGGTCGTGGACCAAAAAGAAAAAAAAAACCAGAAAAACTATGCAAATGATAGTTACCATTTATTAAGAAACTATATCATGCCAGCCACTATACTGGGAATTTGTACATGTAACATCTCTATTCCTTACAGCATCGTTGCCAATTATGCGTTATTATTTTGCAGATGGGTAAGCTTCAGTTCAGAGTTTAAGTGACTTGCCCTAGCAAGTATCTAGAAAATGGGGAAAGAGAATATCAAGTCCAGGACTGTCTGCCTGGATCCAAAACTTCTTTCTATTATATCATCCTCTAGCCACCACATAATCCAGTTTGTCAATGAAACTATCAATGGAGCAATAAACACTGCAAGATCACAAACTGTATACCAAGTAGGAATGAAGTAAGTATAATATAACACAGTATTTTCTCTCTATTCTTCTTAATTTTAAAATGATAAGTATACTTGGGGTCCCTGTCTGATTTATACTTCATCATTGTAGCTTCTTAGCTTTTCAATTACTGGATGACATCTAAGATGAATGCACCTTACACAAAATTCTTTCCAAAAGAGTAGCGTTAAAGTGAAGCTAGCATGCACTTCAAAATAATTTTACACAGAGGAAAATTTTGTAAATGTTTTCTTTTTCTAAATACAAGGTCACAATTTTAGGAAACTGAAAAATCTGTAGGCCAAAAGAATATAACGCTGGTTATTCTGACTTTCCTCTGCTGGGCAGTAAACCTCCTGAACTTCTATTTTTGAAAACTGAGGTATCCCTTTAATCTTGTTACAGAACTGCTGACAGTGTTAAGACAGCAAAGGAAAATCAGCCCAGGGCCTGCACTATGAAGGTCTCCAAGAAAAGGAATAAAACAAAGCACAAACATGCAAAAGCATTTTGCAAGAGAATTTCGTGAAATCAGTGTCAGTGTTCACAACCCAACACAAGAAACACCACCCACCTGCAAGCTGTTTCAGACTAAAAGGGGCCCCTGAAGCCAGATAAACATTGTGAAACCCTCAGAGCCAATATTTACAGCATGGTTAAAGTTGTACCTGTAGAAAACAGAACATCCCTCCTCTCTGGCCTCTCCAAGGATTCTACACATAACCAGTAATGCTCTCTTCTATTTTATTAGGTGTATATAAAGATACAGTTCAGAATGTACATGGCTTCCCCTGTCTTACTACATTCAGACAGTCAAGACACAAGGACACTCTGCTGTATGCACTCCTGAAGTAATACCCTCTTTATGATTATTTGTTTTCTACAAACACCTAAGACAATTGAGCCAACATTTTTAAAACAGAGAACCATCTGCTCTTCAAAAAATGGTCTCCATTTGGCTTAAGTCATTTTCAAAACTTTCTTTAATTCTATAGCTGAAAATACACAGAAGCAATGTCCCTTTCCCAAACTACATGTGATGTTAGAGATTTACTAGGATGCCCTCAGACAACGATAAAGATCTGTATTCTAAACATTCCGTCTCAGTTACTGAAGGCCACATGTTAAATGAATGAAGCCTATTTCTGTCTCACTTAGAAGCAAAACACTTAACACCTGCTTGGAATCAACAGCAAAGACTCTTACTAGGTTTCTGAGCCCCAAATACCACACTCGAATTAAGTCAAATGTCAGTAATGACTGACATTCAGAAGGGCTTCGCAGAGGCTCTGGCAACCTAGATACATTACAACACACTTATCTCTACCCATCACTACTCTGAGGCAAACAAAATCTGTTTCTTTATGTGAGATGACTAGAAAGTAGGGTGGCCTAGAATGAGTTTGTCCAGGGAATTAAGATTCATGGGGTCTGGCTCCTAAATGACTGTGTGACTTCATATGCAGCCAACATTTCAAGAGCCCCTACTATGTGCTGGAGCCAGTGTCAGACACTGGGAGTTTTAAGTGGTGAGTAAGGCACGGTCCTCAGCCTCAAAAAATTCAGGTCACCTCCTCAGGTCTGTTTTCCCATTCATGGAGTACACGGCTCACAGGCCACCCACAGGTTTAAAATTCTATGACTCAACACGACCTATTCTTGGGCAGAACATAGCCCCGGGAGTGGCACAATATCGTGGAAAGAGAAGGCGGCTGTGGGGAGTTGGGATAAACAATAGCATCTCCTCTGAGCTACCTGTGGAGGAGTCTGCAAATGCCTTTGGCAAAATTATAAATTGTTTAGAATTGTTTAGAGTTTAGATAACGGTCCTTTCCTACTTGAATAATTAATATGCTCTTATATGTGCCATTACCACAGGCCTGGAAGGGGGATCAACCTGATAACTAATTCACAACAAGGGATTTGAAAATTCAGTCAATGCTTGACTGAGGTGACATATGATGTTTCCCCCTCCTCTTTAGACATAGATTTTTTTTTTAAGGAAAAAATGTGTTAAATATACCAAGCTCAATGGCAAGAAAGGGAATCTCCAAATGCCAGATATAAAGAAGGAACTTAGAGCCAGGGTGATAGATGAGGTGCAGTGACCCACAGGGGAATTAGATGCTGAGCTGAGAGCACTGTGCAAAGCTTACAGCGATGAAAAACTGTTCTACTCACTAGAAAGCTCCATCATCTGATCGGGGATATGGCAAAGAATCTAGTTACCTTGCGGCCAGAGGTGAAAAATTTGTTCCTTATGAGCAATCAAAATTTCAGGTTTGAGAGAGGCTTATGCAGTATAGGAACAAGAAATTTACATAATGCTGGGTCTTGACCTATGAAATCTATAGAAAGGGCCCTAAAAGGTTAAACACAAAACTACCAGAGACAACTGCCTCTACCATCCAGTGCACAGGGGACTGCCAGGAAAAACTGTTCCTGAAGATGAGCTAAAAAAGAATTACAACCCTTGGGAAAGGCACCAGACACCGCAAAAGGCAGAATTCACATTCCAGGAACTACAGAAAACCAGTAACTTGAAAAAGACTAAGGTAAACAGATACCTTGTAGAATGTCCCTCAATTTGGGTTTGTATAGTATTTTCACATGATTAGACTGAGGTCATAGATTTTGGAGAAAATATTGCAGAGGTGATGTTGGGCATTTAAGAAAAAATTAATAGAAAACAATCAAAGAGATAATGAAAAGACTAAAAGACAGAAGTAAACATAATTACCATGAGAAAATAAGAGGCAGATCTCAGGGTGGGATGGGGAAGAGACACCTTCATTGAAGTAGAAAATTCCATGACAGAATGAAGTACTTATTTCACCTGTGTCACTAGACATAAGCAACTGAAAATGGAATCAGTGAACTAGAAAATACATCTGAGGAAATAATCAAGAATCAAGCCCAGAGATAAAAATTGGACAGAACTGTGAAATGGCAATATTCAAAGAAACGGAGATAAAGAATATTCTGGAATTTAATAAAGATATTAGTTCATATTAAAGGACTTCACCAAGTCTTGAGTATAGTTAATATAACTAATGATCACCTAGGAACATCATAATAAAACTGTAAGCCATCAATAACAGAAAAATCTTAAATGCCACAAAAACTAGATAATCTACAAAGGAATGACAATCAAACTGATGATAGCTGTCTTATTATAATAACAGATGTCATAGACAATATAATAGTATCTTCTTTTTTCTTTTTGAGATGGAGTCTTGCTTTGTTGCCCAGGCTGGAGTGCAGTGGCATGATCTGGGCTCACTGCAACCTCCACTTCCAGGGTTCAAGCGATTTTCCTGCCTCAGCCTCCTGAATAGCTGGGATTACAGGCACCCAACACCATGCCTGGCTAATTTTTGTATTTTTATTAGAGACGGGGTTTCTCTATGTTGGCCAGGCTGGTCTCAAACTCCTGACCTCAGGTGATCCACCTGCCCTGGCCTCCCAAAGTGCTGGGATTGCAGACGTGAGCCATCGCACCAGCCTAATAATATCTTCAAAGTGCTGAAGGAAGTAAGTGTCAACCTGGACAACCTCAACTGGAGGATAAGACAGAAATTGAGTAAGACAGAAATCAAAATCAGAAGAAAGGAGTGGGATGCAAGAAAAAATAATGAACAGAGAAATTGGTTAAATATGTTAGCAAGCATAAATACTGAGTGTAAAATAATAAAAATAATGACGGATTAAAACTAAGGTAGGTCCAGTAGACAATAATAATGTGGAAGACAGGAAAAGCAAACTCAGTTACAGTATTCTAATGTCCGTATCTTCTGGAGAGGAGAAAATAAGGATAATATCTTTAAGATTTTATGGACAACCTCTTAAAAAGATAGAGATGGAGTCTATAACTTCCAACAGAATAAGGTAAAAATGAAGAGCGAGTTAAAAAAACACACAACTATTTAATACAATTGTAAAAGGAAAGAAAACAAGAAGCAAAGAGAAATGTGATAAATAGAAAATGTGAAATAATAGAACCAAAAAAGTTCAATGACATCAGGAATCATAATTAATGTAAATGGATTAAGATAGCCTACTAAAAGACAAGAACTATAAAAACCACAATGAGCTACTGTAATACTACACACTTACTAGAACAGCTAAAACCCAACAAGCTGGTGACTCCAAGTGCTGACAAGGACTGAGAGCAACAGGAACTCTCATTCACTGCTGGTGGGAATGCAAAATGGTAAAGCCATTTTGGAAGATAGCCAGTTTCTTAAAAAGTTAAACACAGACTTACCACATGACCCAGCAATCCGCTAGGTACTTACCCAACTGCTTTAAAAACTTATGTTCACATAAAAACCAACTTACAAATATGTATAGTACCTTTGTTCATAACTGCCCCAAAGTGGAAACAATCAAGATGTCCTTCAACAGGTGAACAGGGTAAACAAACTTGGTATATCCATAAAATGAAACAGTATTCAGCAATAAAAAGAAGCTGTGGCTTCAATATGGATGAATATTAAATGTATTTTGCTAACTGAAAGAAGCCAGAATGAAAAAGTTACACATATTTTGTGATTTCAGTCACATGACATTCTAGAAAGGGCAAAACCACTGGATGGAAAAATCAGTGGTTGCCAGAGTTTTGTGGAGATAGGAATGCTTAGGGGAACCACAGGAAAGTTTTTAGGGTGTGGAACTAATCTATATGATATTATAGTGGTGGGTACTGGATTCTACATACTAGTCAAAATGCACAGAACTTTATAGTGCAAAGACTAAAGTTTAATGTACGCAAATGTTTAAAAAATCAACCAGGAGATCAGGACAAAAGAACCCAACTGTGGTGAAAGAATCTAACTGTACTCTACAGATAACTTTGGAAAATGATGTTCTGACTAGAAACCGTAAGACTAAAGACAAAAGAAATGTATATACAGTATTCTAGTAGGTAAGGTTTTTTTCTCCCACTAGTATGGGTTAAAAATTCTGAAACATCTGTGCAACTATACTGGGATTGAGGAAATAAATAAATGAGTAGTAGATGACAGGAGCTAGGTTTCTCACTGTTGGACAAAGTTTACAGATATGCAAGGGAGAAAGCTAAAATGAACCACATAATACTGGAGTAGAGTCAAAGACGTCAGTATGAACTCTTGTTTAGCTTAAATACAGTTGCAGAAGGACAGAAACAGAAATAGACATGTGTGCATAAATGGGTTAGTATACATATATGTATTTCCTAGCTCTGTCCATTGAGAGGGCCTAGAAACGGTAACACCCTAGTAGCCATGAGCATACCCAGTGCCCCAATCTTGGTTTCGAATACCATTCTCCAATAAAAGAAACCAGGTCTCCTTGGAGAAATGACTAATTCTATACCTAGAAAAGGGAACATACAAGGTGAGACTAGAACATCTTGTTCCAGAAAGGAAGAAAAATGGCTGGATGCGGTGGCTCACGCCTGTAATCCCAGCACTTTGGGAGGCTGAGGTGGGTGGATCACCTGAGGTTAGGAGTTCGAGACCAGCCTGGCCAACATGCTGAAACCCCGTCTCTACGAAAAATACAAAATTAGCTGGGTATGGTGGCACATGCCTATAGTCCCAGCTACTCAGGAGGCTAAGACAGAAGAATCACTTGAACCTGGGAGGCAGAGGCTGCAGTGAGCCAAGATCGTGCCACTACACTCCAGCCCGGGCGAGACAGAGCGAGACTTTGTCAAAAAAAAAAAAAAAAAAAAAAAAGGAAGAAAAACAAACAAACTGAAAGGATGAAGGCATGTCAAAGGCACCCAGGAGCCAACCTGAAAGAGCTCCCAATAGCTAAAACTGAAGCTGAAACAACTGGAGCAACAAAATAAATAATGTAATACTGGATTATAACCCGAAGTACAAAATAAATATCTGTGAGTCCATACTGATTGAAATAAATGATTGAACAAATAAATAAATGGGAGAGAAGAGACAAATTTCCCACACAGAAGAATTCAAAATAAGTAATGTCAATACTCCCCCCACCCAGCCTCAGGAGGTGAAGCTCAACTTCCTTCTCCCAAGCCCCTGAGTGTGGGCTACACTTAGTGATTTGATTCCAAAGAGTAGAGTATGGAAAAAAGACAGAAGAGGAGAGAAGCTCTATAGTGGAGAAACCTGGCAAACACGACTTCTAAGCCATGTGATTAATGTTAACATCAACAGTGATAAGTCTTTTTTTTTTTTTTTCCGACGGAGTCTCACTCTGTCCCCCAGGCTGGATTGCAGTGGCATCATCTTGGCTCACTGGAACCTCCACCTCCTGGATTCAAGCGATTCTTCTGTCAGCCTCCTGAGTGGCTGAGATTACAGGTGTGTGCCACCACGCCCAGCTAATTTTTGCATTTTTAGTGGAGACGGGGTTTCACCATGGCCCCGTTGGCCATGCTGGTCTCAAACTCCTGACCTCAAGTGATCTGCCTGCCTCGGCCTCCCAAAGTGCTGGGATTATGACATGAGCCACTGTGCCCAGCCAGTGATAAGTCATATTGATAGCATGTGATAGCATGTACCCTGGATACGACATGATGAGAATGGCAAATCACCTCAGTGGTCTTTCTCCCAAAAACCCATAATCCTAGTCCAACCATTAAAAAAGAACAAACAGATAAGCCCAAATTGAGGAACTTTCTACAAAATATCTGACCAGTAGTTCTCAAAACTGTTAACACCATCAAAAACATGAAAAAAAGCAGGAGAAACTGTCACAGACCAGAAGAGTCTAAGGAGATACGACATCTAAATGTAATGTGGTAACCTGGATGGGATCCTGGAACAGAAAAAAGACAGTAGGTGAAAACTTGTGAAATCTGAATAAAACGTGTGGCGTTAACAGTAATGTACCAATTTCTTCCTTAGCCATGACAAATGTTGCATACTAACGTAAGATAGTAACAATAGGAGAAACTAGGTGAGGGGTGTACAGAAACTTTCTGTACTATCTTAGTAACTTTTCAGTATATATAAAACTATTCTTAAGTAAGAAGTTTATTTAAAATGAGACAGTGACTATCAGATTGCATACTGAAACAAAATCAGATATATGTTCTTTATGAGAGACAACTAAAACTTGGAGAGACAAAGAATGAACATAAAAGATAAAAAAGATATTCAAGAAATACCAAGCAAAAGAGAGTTGGTGTCACCATGTCAATACCAGACAAAATTAGAATTTAAGCCAAAAGGCATTAACAGTTATAAAAGAGGAAAATACTTAACGATAAAAGGAACAATTCTCCTGAAAAGCATAACAATCATAAAGATTCTAGCCACTTCATGGATACTGCTTCTAACTGCTGCACTAAAATGTATAGAATTAAAGAAGAAATAAGACAAATTCACATATAGGAGCTTTTGACACACTGCTTATAAAGTGACAGATTAAGCAGGTTTTAAAAATCAGTTAAGAGTTTAGAAGATTTAAGTAACACAACACAGTCTTCCAAGCACACAATTTACAAACTACCACATTACTATACCACAAAAATGGCCTCAAAAAATTCTCAAAGAAGGAATATAATTATAAATTATGTTCTCTGACCACAAAATAACATTTTAAGAAAATTTAACAATAAAATCTCAATATCAATGTTTTAATTTCAAAAAATAATCAATGGGTTAAAGAATAAATTATGAAAATGTTCAGATATTTAAAAGTGGACAACAAAGAAAGCACCATGTATGAACACTTATGGGATGGGACTAAAATGGCATTAAATGAGCATGTATGGCTCTAAATGTACATTTTGAAAAAGAAGAAATAATATTAATAAAAGATGCATCTAACCACACAGAGATGATTGACAGTATCAAAATTGGTTGTTGGAAAAGCGAATCAAACCAATCAACCTAGGCTCACTATATGCTTAGTAATAGGTGTTTTGGAGACAGTGCATAAGTAAGGCACAATCCCTGCCGTCCATGAGTTCACCATCTTCTTGGTAAAATAAAGAATTACGTGACAGCTAGAACACAAAGCTATATATGAGTTACAGTATTAAGGGTTCTCATCAGCAGTTTAAGCTAACATACCAGATAATTAGCATCACACCCATCTCCCTGTTGGTCATGGAAACAAAGGCATAACCAATCACCGAATGTTAGGTTCAGCTGGTCCAACCATCTAGCTACTAGCTGGGAGCCCCAGTACAGCATCCTGAAAAACGTTCATCTGAATTAGTACTTAAACATAATGAACATAGGAGTTTAACTGGGGATCTTGTGAAAATGCAGATTCTAATTCAAGAGGGTTGAGGTGGCCCAAGATTCTGCATTTCTAACCAGTTCTAAGCAATGCTGATTCTGTGGTCCAGAACCACACTTTGAGTGACAAGGTTCTCTAAACTGTGCCTGACCTCAGGAAATGAGTGCTTACTAACACTCCACAGCAACCTATTGCATCTGTGAAAGGTCAATCATTAAAAAAAGTGAAAAACGTTGTCAATTCTTAAATTTATACAAAAATACCAAAACATATTCACTTGAACATAAATTCTTGGGCAGACTTTTTGGTGGTATTTTGTTTCTTTTATTAACTGAAATTTTAGATGTTTTTAGGCTTCTACCATCACTCCTGGTCTAACATACACACACAGGCTACCCCCCTACCCCAGCTTCTCTATATGAATTTTAAAATGACCAAACTTACTATGATCAGTGCAGTGATAGTAAGAGTTAACTTCTGAAATGGACAGACAACTGAAAATTATGCACCTCTACTCATGCTCTCATTCGGGAGGGAGAAGTAAAAATTTAGAGAAACAACAAAGGAGGAAAAGCTAGGACAAGGGGAGAGTAACAAAGTAAATCACACATTTTTCCAGAATAGAAGAAGTGATGATCTTCAAGACACATTTACTGAACAATATAGTCCTCCTTCTCTAATGAGGCTGTTGAGCTCTTGGGGAGGGGCGAGGGGTGTGAGTAAGAGCTTACCACTGCTTGGGGATTACAGGCTAGGGTACACTGGTATTCATTTTCTTCAGAAACCTACCCAACTCAGTACCCTTTTGAGTTGGTGGGTGTGGATTGTAATTACATTTCTAATTTACTCTAAGAGTTTCCTTTGAAGAACATCAACTCAAATTTCTAGCATGTTCTTCCTAAATGTACATACTGAACACACATATTTGTACGCTCAATCATGAATTTTAATAAATTACTGCCTTGTATCTCTGTTCTCTATATGCACATCTAAAAATCAGACCTGATGACTATTTCAATTTTCTCTCAATCTGATCAATGCATACTTCTTTTCAGTATAAGAAAAATTTGGGGCTGGATGCAGTGGAACATGCCTGTAATCCCAGCACTTTGGGAGGCTGAGGCGGGAGAATTGCTTCAGCCCAAGAGTTCAAGACCAGCCTAGGCAACATAGTGTGACTCTATCTCTACAAAAAATTAAATTAAAATAAATAACTAAATAAACAAACTTAAAAAACAATTTGGAGGCCAGGTGCAGTGGCTCACGCCTGTAATTCCAGCACTTTGGGAGGCCGAAGACATGCAGATCACCTGAGGTCAGGAGTTCTAGATAAGCCGGGCTAACATGGTGAAACACCATCTCTACTAAAAATACAAAAATTAGCCAGGTGTGGTGGTGCACGCCTGTAGTCCCTGCTATTTGGGAGGTTGAGGCAGGAGAATCGCTTGAACCTGGGAGGCAGAGTTTGCAGTGAGCCAACATCTCACTACTGCTCTCTAGCCCGGGCGACAAAGTGAGACTCTGTCTCAAAAAACACAAAAAACAAAAACAAAAAAACCCACAAAAAAACAAAAAACAATTTGGTAATTGGACAAGTAAATGTCTCACATATTTGAAAAAATCAGTTATAAAGCAGGAAACTGAAACTGCATTTCAGAAACAAGTTAGATATAAAAATGACTATACATCCTGTAATCTAAGAAGAAAGGGCAAGCTGGGTGCGGTGGCTCATGCCTGTAATCCCAGCACTTTGGGAGGCCGAGGCAGGCGGATCACGAGGTCAGGAGATCGAGACCATCCTGGCTAACATGGTGAAACCCCGTCTCTACTAAAAATACAAAAAAATTAGCCGGGTGTGGTGGCGGATGCCTGCAGTCCCAGTTACTCGGAAGTCTGAGGCAGGAGAATGGCGTGAACCCGGAAGGCGGAGCTTGCCGTGAGCGGAGATCAAGCCACTGCACTCCAGCCTGGGCAACAGAGCGAGACTCCGTCTCAAAAAAAAAAAAAAAAAAAAAAAAGAAGAAGGGGCAAGCATAAAGTCTATCTGCTATAAATGGACTAAAATTTACATGTAAAACTCATCTGTCTAAAGATTTTTTTAAAGGCTTAAGAAGTTAATAAGAAAAAAGTGTCAAACAGCACATGTAAGATGTTAATTATACTGATCTCTTTGAAGATTAACAAAGGTGATAGAATTTGCTGGCACTTGTAAACTCTTCGAAATCACAACTTTTAAAAAACCTCTTAAATCCATTTGATATTAAAAAAAAAAAACTCCAAACAAATAATCTTAGACCTTTTTAGAAATATGATTCTCAGGAAGCTAATGAAAAATGTCCCCCTCACCAGAAATTTTACTTTATAAAGATTAAAAAGGCATCCCAAATAGGAAAATGACCAAGATTCTAAATACCTATTCCATATGAACATGGGCCCATCAGTAAAACATCTGATATCTGATGCCCATACATACCTCAACAACTGCTTCAGAGTGGTACCAGTTCAAGACTATAACACACAACCCACTAATTAATAAGGAAAAAAAAAGTGGAGGATGAAGCAGGAAGGCAACAATTGGCCAAAAAGGTGAACATTTGCAAGTACAAATTCATACCTCAATTAATAATCCCATTCACTTGATGTAGAAAAGGCACAAAATATGCATGCTATTGACAGTAACAAGAGAAATTCAAGTAAGATTTAACTTATGTTTTTTTTTTCAAACATATGCCTTTGTCCAAAACAGAGAGCCTTCATTTTAATATAATAGATGTAGTTTTCCTTTTTTTCCCCAAATAGACAAAGAAAAACATGTATAAGAATTATTTGACAATTTCTAAAAGCAATAATAAGGATATGCTTTTAAAGGTCTTATTTGTATGCATCATACTACTTTGAGAGTCAAGTGACAGATTTACTACTGACTTTCTAGACATTTACATATATGAGGCATGTATAATATTTAAGGTCCTTTAAAAAATAATATTAACATAATTACGGGCTGGGCACAGTGGCTCACGCCTGTAATCCTAGCACTTTAGGAGGCTGAGACGGGTAGATTACCTGAGGTTGGGGGTTCAAGACCAGCCTGGCCAACATGGTGAAACCCCATCTCTACTAAAACATACAAAAAATTAGCCAGGTGCCAGTGGCGCGTGCCTGTAATTCCAGCTACTCGGGAGGCTGAGGCAGGAGAATTTGCTTGAACCCGGGAGGCAGAGGTTGCAGTGAGCCGAGAGCATGCCACTGCACTCTCGCCTGGGCTACAGAGTGAGATTTCCTCTCAAAAAAAAAAAAAAAAAGCATAATTACTATCTCCGTCATGTATGTTCAGTACCCGTTAGATTTATCCACGAGTTTCCTTTCTGAGGTCTGAATCTGGGAATATGGACAAAGCTTTATGCTTAACTCAAAGAAAACATTTTTATGTTCTGGGTTAAGTTTTCAGTAGAACCTCTGTTTTTAGAGAAGATTCATTCACACAGCCTCTTGTCCCCCACCCAAGAGAGGATCAATGAAACAGACAGCAACTGTACCTAGCAATTCATCAGTGTTTCAAGTAAAGAAGTGAGAAAATTTTAATTATGTGTCATTTTCCGAAGCTTCCTTAGGTAAACAGAAACTAGAATGTTATGCTCTCTGACTCTGAGGAGGGCAGAATTCAGTTTCAACTATACATTATGAAAGTGGATGAGAGGCAGGTTGGAACAAGGACATGAAGCAAGCTATAAGAAGCTAGGATTTTAAAAGTGAGCTGGCTTATATGTTCATAACACTTTTCCAGTAGAAAGACAGAAAGAGAGGAAGGAAAGTGCCTCCTTAGTGACTCCAGTCTGAGTTTTGTATCCCCCTACCTTTTCATTAATGCCTATGCACAGCTCACTGTAGTATGCTGAGCCACAACTTCTGCCCGGGTCAGGAATGGTTTCTTTGGTGGTTGCTGGTATTTAAGAGCTGTATCACACCTTGTCCCACAGGATGATGGGGAAAATCCATAGGTACCATGGAACAAAGGTTCTCAACTAGGGGCAATTTTGCCCCCGCCTCCGCCCCCTGCCTCCCTAGGGGACATAGGGAAATGTCTAGAGACATTTTTGGTTGTTGTTGTCACAAATGAAGGAGGGGTGCTACCAAACACACCACATTGCACAACGCACACACCCACAACAAAGAATGTCAAGAGTGCCGAGGCTGAGAAGCCCTGCCACAAAAGCAAAGGGTGAAGTGGGTAGCAATACAGAGAAATGCAAGAATGTCATGAACAACAATATGGTCTAAAATAGGAAAAGAGTTTTATTACTTATTTAAACTTTCCTTTAAGCCTGTGTGTCAATTTTACTTCAGGCATCTGGGGTGGCTGCCAAATTGGCTATACTCAACCACAGTGCTTTTAAATGGTCAGCTGTGTCCTTAGTAACTCAAATACGTTGGGTGCCATAAATATATCTAAGAGCTATAGCACAAGTACATAAACGTGCAATCTCAAATATGCTATCCCAATAAAAACAAAGGTCTTACTTTTGGCCTATTCCATTTGCATATACTAAAAACAAATAACAACAAATAATACTATTTTTATTGGTTGGGAACCACCAAACAAATCCCTTCACATTATGGGACCACATACCATCAGATATTTTACAGGGATTCTAGGAAATGACAAAAGCCTGACAGTGTACCCACGGTGAGATGTTTTGTTGTGTTGCATAATTTTTAAAGTATATTCAGAATTATCGTCAGTCATATGAAGTCTCAGACAGTAAGAGTGGAATGGCTCGCAGGGGATGGAAAGCATATCTTCCAAGATGAAAAAAAAACTTGGAATGTGCTAGATTAATCTATCTAGGAGGATCCTGTATCTCCTTTCACTTTATGAACTTCAAATTTCTCCCTTCCCATGATAAAAGAGTCCTTTGTCTCAGACAGTGTGAGACACTGATTCCTCAAGTTTCCAGTGGGATCTGAGGGAGAGGATGTAATTCAAAACAAAACAGGTGCAAGGAATAACAACCTGATAGGCAAGAACTCTGCCCTTAAAAATTTGAGCTAATCTCAGCTCTTATAATCTTTAACATGATCTACAGGAAGGCAGAGAACACAGTGACTGACCGGAGGAACCTCTCTGTGAAATATGATAACACATAAAGTCAAAATTGCTGAAAATGGACTTATTTGTCTCATGCACTCACACATCAATAGGAATCCTCATGTTTTACAGTATTATTTCAATGTACAACATTAATTTTTTTAAACACATTTTTCTTTAGCTCAAGGTCTTTTACTCACCATCTACACCAGTGATTCTTACATTTTTAATCATAACCCCCTCACCCCCCGCCCGTAGCAGTGGTGGTGGCAGTAGCAGCAAGTATTAATAATAGCAACTAACATTTACTGAGCATTTACTATATACCAGAGACCTTGCTACCCACTTCCCGCATATTAACTCATTTAATCTTCGCAGCCACCCTATGAGGTCATTTTATTTTCCCATTTACAGAAGAAGTGGAGGCACAGAAATTAAGTAACTCACCCAAAATAACACAGCTAGTAAGCAGCAGAGCTAGGATCCAGAGGGAGACAAGCTGGCTCCAGAGTCCACTCTTACCTACTACCTGAAAGGACCTTTCTGAGCACATGCTCCCAGCTTTTGTGTACTTATTAACTTAGAAATTATATATTATTCTATTAATACATTATGTACATTACATATCAAATGTAAAATAATAGCTAAAAGCCAGGTACACCTGTAGTCCCATCTACTCTGGAGGCTGAGGCAGGGGGACCACTTGAGCCTAGGAGCTCAAGGCCAGCCTATGCACCATAGCGATACCCTAGTCTCTAACAATAACCATAATAATAATAAAACAGGATGCGATAAAAGAAATAACACACTAACGTATTCTTCCACATATATTATTGTCTTGCAAACCCCACTTTGAAGGCTACAGGCCTACAGAGCCCAAACTGCTTGGCCCGGCATTTGTGGTCTCTCACATGCTGACCTGCACCCACCCTGCCATTCACACATCCTCTCTCCTTGACACAACAGGCTGGTTTACTCACTGCCTCCTGCAAACACTTTCTGATGCCCTCCTCCATGCCTGGGCTCATACCATGTCCCTTGCCTCAAAAACAGAAAGCTAGTTTCAAGGTTTATCCCAAGGCCCAATGTTCCCCTGAAGCCTTCTCTCATGTCTCCAGTCCATCCTGGTCTTGCCTCTCAGATGTGTGATCTCGGCCACATGCTTGGTGCACATAACATGTAGCCACGTATTTCTGTGTAATTGTCTGCAGTGTCAATGGTTTATTTTCCAGGTAGCTCATAAGCTTCTTGAGAGCAGAGAATATGCTATAAATTTTCTTTGTATCCTCCACAGTACCTGACATAGTATGTACTTAACTTCTCAATAAATATTTGCTAAGCAGAAGAATAAACATTCTCCACATTTACTCTACATCTCTAAGGCCCAGGTCCAGAGGGTTAAGGTAAAGGTCATACCAGAAAGCAGAGGAAGTAATATGATGGATACTTTGCTCTTTGCCTAAGCTCATCAGAACCATGACAGACTGACGGTATTCACGGTGATTCCAGAAGAAAAGGGTTTCAGAGTCCCCAGCAGTCCTGGCATCTATAGTATGACCACCTCGCTTTAGGGAGCTCTTAAGTTTCTAAAGTAATGGCATCCTTCCTGGCCTTGTTTATCCACTACTGCCCACTCTGTTGGCACTTTCCTATGGGTAAAGATAGTCTCAAACATGCAGTTGGTATACCTGCTTACAAATGTCTGCAGCCAGCACAGTTTCAGAAGAAAATATGTCTACCCTTTACCTTTATTCAAAAAATAAGAAAGTTTTCCCATGTCTTGTGATAGAATTTTGCTCAAACGTTTCCAATGACGACTATTCTGACATGCCAACTGCCCTCCTCTCCTATCTATTCCTGATTCCCCTTAGCCTACTCTACTTGTTCCTTTGTCCGCAGCAACGATTACCTTCTAACAAACTATCTAATTTACCTATTATATTTACTATAATAAGTTCTGATATGTTTTATTGAATGTTTATTTCTTGAACATTTCTTACTGTCTCCCTGCTGCTGGAATATAAGTACACTGAGAGCAGTAATCTTGGAGGGCAAGGATGTGTCTCTTCTGTTCTCTGATATAGTCCAAGCACCCAGAACAGTGCCTGGCACGTAGCTGGTGTTCAATTAGCAGTTGTCGAATGAATAAATAGATGACATCAAATCCCATTTTACCCACAACCCGAAGGCCCCAGATAGAATCCTTCTCCCCTGACAATATTCCTTTTCCTCATCCAGAGAAGCAGTATACTACAGTGGCTAACTGCACAAGCTCAAAAGCTTCAAACGATCCTGGGCTTGAATCTCAGTTTTGCTTTTTACCATTTAATCTTGCATAACTTTAGTGAAATCGCACAACCCCTCTTGTTTTCAGTTTTCTCACCAGTAGGATGGGAATAACACCTATCCTCCAGAAGAGGCTCTGTAGGAACTCAGTGACTGGTACATCACACTCACACACATACATCACATACACACACACTCTATCTCTCACTGAAAAAAATATATATTTTTCCTCTTTTTGCTATTAATTCCCCTACTCTGATCCTGAACAGTTACAAACACCTGAGGACACATCAAATGGCAAATCTCTAAGTTTCACTTGCCCCTGACTGATACTCTGAGTTCTGAGCACTTCAAAACAGCAGTACATTGCTTGGGGAACAACCACACAGTGCAGTACAGTCAATGCTCCAGAACCTGGCAGCTAAAAGCTGTCTCCAACACCCAGCAAAAGCTCCCTAAGTAACAGACACCAAATAAAAGCTTTTGGATGTTTATAAGGAAGGGATTAATTCATCTTCAAAAGTAGCATTTTAATTAAAAATGACTTTTTTGGGCTTATATCCAGAAAGGAATATATTGCCAAAAGGTAAGATTTAACAAGGTTTAGTCCTTTCTTTAGTTTTTTTTTTAAGAGCCCAATGCTTCCCAATCCTTTTCACATCAAGGCACACATAGAAAGTAATCTTTCTTTGGCACTCTGGGATAAAACCAACGATGCTGCTCCCAGCTGCAGGTGACTGCCTAGAGGCTCCAGCCCTGCCAGGCCACACTCAAGACTCCCTGAGAGCTGAAGGAATCAATAAATACCTTGGCACATCCATAGCCACGCCACTGGAGAAACTCTGCCTTAACCCTTCTTGGACTAGGGACCTTTCTAGCAACTTAAGATTTTTCTCCTTTCACACTAACACAAGTCTTCAAAAAGAAAGAATAAATCTGGCCACCTGACAAGAGTGAGCATTTTCTTTAAATTATGACTCATTCCAGAAAAAAAGCACACAGACCAGAAATCCATTTATAACTTACAGCATCAGCATAGTTTCATGCTTTTGTTTTTGATTTTCCATTCTGAAATAATATTTTCGAGGCATAAAACAAACAACAATGGAGACGGCCAACATCTTAGGTCGCCAAATGGAATCTATCAAGAAATGTTCCATTTCTGGACAGCTGGACCGTTTTATGTTTCACAATTTTGTAGTTTTAAGAAATATAAATGACATTAAAATTCTTAAAGCACTAAGACATTGACTCATATGGTTACATTTTTAAAAGATGGAAATAATTCTTTTATATTTAATCACAAGTTTTGATGTAACAGTAATATTAACAGAAATATATATACATATCTTTTCTATAAATGTTCATTTGCTTCCTTATTTAAGAAACTCCAGTAGAGTTGACACTTAAGGTTACCTCTATCACTGATTTTCTACTTGCTTCCACTGCTCCTGTCTGTAGAATAGAGTGAAGGATGGTTGGTTCCATCCCTGCTTCTTGCACAGTGATTCCTTCATACAACTAGCTGGCCGAACTAGCCTACCTTTACTTCTTTCTTTGTTTTCTGGTTTTCTTCCCGTAAAGGTAATGCTAAAGTCTACTCCAGTTTCGGTCTTCATGTGTCCCATCCAGCCCAACACTACTGTTCCCATCACGTAAAGATTCTGGCTCTACAGTAAACACAGAATCTATTGGGGTGCTCCAGACTCAAGCAGAAATGGCCTCAGTTTCAGTCTCCTTTTATGCCTGATGCCCTGTCTGGCATTGTATCTTCTGTCTCCTCTTCATTTCTGTTACTCATATGATCCCTGGTCCCCGAGGGCTCACTTGGCTTCTAATCCACAGCTCTCTTTAAGTTTGCATCAAAGGCAAACTCCTTGTGTTTTCACCAGTGCCTAGGACAGGGTAAGCAAGCTACAGTGTCTGCTGAATTAAATTCAGTCTTGACCACCTTCTCATGGTCCTATCAGTTCCTAGATCTAGGATCCATAACTCCTATGGTTACCCAAGTTTGAGAGGTTTTGTCAAACCCTTAAGGATGACAGAAGGTGGGGCAACTATGGACTTGGCTATAGCCTAGGTCCCAAGGGAGGATCTGTATTTCCAGATACAGATTTAGTAGCATTAAATGGAAGACCAAAGAGAAATGATGACAGAGAGATGAGTAGAGAGGGGAGGGTACAATATACCTTTCACGGGTCGCAGCTTCCCTGGGTTTCACTGACTTCTTCTGTCTCAATAACACAAATAGATTTACTTTGTTTCCACTGTATCATAACATACCCAATTAGATTTAAGGAGAGCAACTGAGTGATAAAGTATATCTTTAGATGGATCCTTGGTTTATTTTCCTTAGCCATAAAAAGCTGTTATTCACATCAGAGGCAGCACATTCTAAAGAAAATAGGAACACAGGCTTTAGAGTTTAATATGTTATCTCAGCCGGGTGCGGTGGCTCACGCCCGTAATCCCAACACTTTGGGAGGCCGAGGTTGGGGGGATCACTTGAAGTCAGGAGTTCAAGACCAGTCTGGCCAACATGGTGAAACCCAGTCTCTACTAAAAATACAAAAATTGGCCAGCCGTGGTGGCAGGCGCCTGTAATCCAAGCTACTCGGGAGGCTAAGGCAGGAGAATTGCTTAAACCCAGAAGGCAGAGGTTGCAGTGAGCCAAGATGGTGCCACTGCATTCCAGCCTAGGCAACAGAGCGAGACTCCGTCTTAAAAAAAAAAAAAAAAGAGCTAAATTAAGAGCAACAGATCACCTTTTATTTGTACATAACAACAACAACAACAACAAAAGACCCAAAATAGACAAGAAATGAAAAAACTGAAAATTCAAACTCTTATTTCAAATGGTATACATTTTCTTATGAATCACCCAAAATGTGAGTTAAGTACCCAAGAATCAGAATAAACCCTTCCTCATGATTGGTGGCCAAGCTCCTCCTCAATATAAGATTTTCTGAACTCCAATATGATTTCTTGAGAGTGATAAGTAACCTAGTAATAATGTTAAGTCCCCAACATGAAGAGTTCTGGCAACAAAAACAGAAGGTTAAATCTACTTAAAAGACAGAGCAGCCCTGCTAGTGATGTTCCCAAATGAGGTAATGTCCATGGCTCTTATCTAGCCTTTATTGAGATTTAATGTCATTTACCCCTGGCTCTCATGAATCTGCCGCATAACCTCACCTTTTCTAATGTGTGTTACTTATAACCATCTCAACACAGCAATTATGAACCTCTGGTTTTTAAAACGATTAAGAAATGAATCCCACATGTTCTTTTTTGCATGTGCTATAATTTGAGTCTTTCTTCCATAGTCCCAGAAAATTCAGAGATCAGCATATTTCTTGTTTTCAAGGTATACTATAGAAATACTCTGAGATTTGATATATTTATGTAAACATTTTCAAAGCAGTCAAAATGTATAATTCAAGAAAATGTTCTGTGAAAGAATTTGTTTTCTGATTATGAAATGATTTCCTGCTTTTGAAAAAAATAACAACTTTATATTTATTTAGCTGGCTCTGGAGGTCCCATGGAGATGACCATTCCTTTCAATCCCTAACACCTCTTTTCCAGGTGCAGGCTTTTTAATGATTTCAAAGGTAGCTTTATGTGGAGAGGAATCTATAAGCTGTAGAAAGGAAAAAGAAAGAGCCCTTCCCAACTTAACCCTTTATGCTTTCCCCATAAAGAACCACAGGATGGACAGAACTAGGACAACACAGGTGTGACACCCAAATGGACATGCCAGAAAGACTTTCCACATCCCTTTGACTTCTTTTTCTCAACCAGGGTAAACCAACCTTGATAAAGGTAGGAATCTGTCTGACAAACATGAATATGATACCCAACAACCACATTTGCTGGCTTTTATTCAACAAGCCCTTCATCCCACCAACACTTAGGAACAAGAGCAACAGCCACAACAACCCCAGGGTTCTAGGGTTTTAACCTTTCCACAGGATTTCACATTTTATCTAGCAGAAGAAGTAAACTTGAGACTATCAAAAGTAGCCCAGACACAGAGCAAAAGACCATGTTTTGTTGCTGGGCAGACTGGTGAAACCCAGCCAGACCTGCCAGTAGCACGTGTGGGAAACAAGGCTGGGAGGCTCATTTGCACAACTGGTGAGAGAGCCCAAGAAGCAACTCCAACCAAACTACTTGGATAAAGTTCAGCCAAGAGTGGATCTTCAGTAAAGAAAATCTGATGGCTGATCCCCTTGACAAGCTAGGCCTTCCTTCTAACTCAGATACAGTTCACACTTTGAAAAGGCTGTTCTATATTCCTCATCATTCCAGCCCTGCTCTTTTGAAGAAGCAGCAGAGTCTGACACAATCAAGAGATGTAAATTTTGAGGCAGAGCAAATGATAATTTTTGAGCCACAATGGTCCATCTTTAAGACCAAGACAATAACCCCTGTCCCTCTCCTAATCACAGGGATGTAGTGGAAACTCAAGGGAGATGAGTGCTCAAGAGTTTATATTAAAGAAACCACCTAAGACCCATAATGTATGTAACACAGACTAGATTATCTGAAACTGCAGTCTGGGGCTGTGCAATCTTTTCAAGAGGTCCACAAGACAAATTATTTTCAAGTGATGCCAAGAAAATAGTTTCCTCTTTTACTCTCATTCTCTCATGAGTGTACAGTGGAGTTTGCCAGAGGCTACAAGGTGTGTGATGATATCATTATATTGATAACTAATGCAATATGTGCTTGGAAGTCCTCGTGTTTTAATATTTTCTCAAGTTTACTTTTTTCTTTTTTGAGACAGAGTCTCACTCTGCTGCCCAGGCTGGAGGGCAGTGGCATGATCTTGGCTCACTGCAACCTCTGCCTCTGGGGTTCAAGCAATTCTCGTGCCTCAGCCTTCCAAGTTGAGTAGCTGGGACTACAGGCGTGCACCACCACACACAGTTAATTTATGTAATTTTAGTGGAGATGGAGTTTCGCCATGTTGGCCAGGCTGGTCTTGAACTCCTGGCCTCAAGTGATCTGTCCAGCTCAGCCTCCCAAAGTGCTGGGATTATAGGCATGAGCCCCCACACCAGCCTGTCTCAAGTTTACTTTCTAACTGAATATTGATAGACAAAACTCTCTGGGAGCCGCAACCCCTTTTAAGAGTGTAAAGAGGTCCTGAGACAAATTTGAAAACTGCCAACCTAGAACTTCAGTCCCACCCAAACCAGCAGTTCCCACTTGGGGGCTACCCACTGGGAGCCTTTATGTTGCTCTCTTTGCATGGGAGACTCCTTCCCTTTCTTTACTTGGCTAACTTCTTCAGTCTCTGCTTAGAGGTCACTTCCTCTGGGACATTTTCCCCGATTTCCTAGACAAGTCTGGTGGCCCTGCTATGTGTTCAGCCAGCACTTAGCACACTACATCATGACTGCCTATTTTCTGGTCCTTTTTTGTCCTTGGCTCCTTCAAGGCAAAAACTGACTTAGCTGCTATTGCGACTGTGACACAGTGAAATGTAGTAGGCATTTGTTGAATATAGAAAACAACCAAGGAACGGCCAGGCACAGTGACTCATGTCCATAATCCCAGCACTTTGGGAGGCTGAGGTGGGCGGATCACTTGAGGTCAGGAGTTCGAGACCAGCTTGGCCAACATGATGAAACCCCATCTCTACTAAAAATACAAAAATTAGTGACTGTGGGGACAGGGGGGTGCAGGCTGCTTGTAATCCCAGCTTCTCGGGAGGCTGAGGCACGAGAATGGCTTGAACGCAGGAGGCGGAGTTTGCAGTGAGCCGAGACTGCACCACTGCACTCCTGCCTGGGAAACAGTGTAAGACCCTGTCTCAAAAAAAAAGAAGAAAGAAAAAAGAAAAAGATAGTTCTATCTTGCATTCTTATTACCTAGGGGGAATTAGTTATGAAATAATTAGTTTTCATTATAGTATAGGTTTATTAAAATTAATGATAATAATAACAATAATGACTGTCTATATATCTTGTGGTGTACCCGGCACTATTCTAAGCATGTTGTATGTATTAATTTCCTTAGGGTTCACAAAGTCCCTATGAGGTATATGCTACTATTATCCTTATTTCAAAAATGAAGACATGGATGTATAAGTAATGCGGGGTAGATCTGAGATTCACACCCAGGCAGTCTGGCTCCAGAGTTTCACCTTGTTAATCACTCCACACACTGCCTGCCATGTCAGCAGTGTCGATCTCAGGCTTATAACATGTATTGAGATCTCAAGGCCATCTCTCAACTCTGTTCATAAACCAGGAACATGACCTGACATTTATTTTCCACCCCTAACCGCATGCCTATATGAGCACTATAGCAGCCATTTGAACAGGAGACCTCACCAATACTACCTGTCCTCAAGTTAGGGTTGAAATAGGGCAGTTTCAGTAAAAAGTCTCTTTCTCATTTATTTTTTGTATGTTATTCTTTTCTAGAAGAAATGTTAGGTTAAAAACAATAAACTTGTACATTTATTCAAAGTAATAAGTTTTTTTTGGTAGCACAGAGAAAACAGGAAAGGTTCAATACTTCCACGTACTAAGGTGCTGTGCCACAGGGCAAACTCTCCCTGATGTGTACAGCTCTTCCTGTGCCTCTCAGGCTAACCTCTCTCAAGGAATGCTTTCAGTTTCACTCGGAATAGGTAGTAGCCCAGAATGTTTTGCAGGCATACTTGATGGAAAAGACAAAGTTTTATCTGGTTCAGAGAGGTGAGGCCAAGTGGGAGAAAGTATACTGCAGAAAACACAGGATGTATTGCAAAAGATAATATAAGAGAATCACAATGTAACACTGTAGTGATATTTGGGATGAAAAAAGTATAACTAGGAGATACCTGATCTTTCGGAAGTAGAAAAAAAAAAGTTCTACAGATAAAGTTAAGAGGCTGTGTATCAAATCTTCACCAGCTAACAGTACATAAGAAACCAAAGTTCATCTTATGGTGTTTGACAGAAGTCACACAAAGCAACTTTACTTACCTGGAGAAGTGTCCCATGAATGTGGTTTTGCCGGAAACACTGGTCAGTGCAGCTGGGGAGTGTGGACAACAGAGTTCGAATGGTATTAGGAATGTGATCTATCATAACAAATGGGACCAAGGCACGAGCTGCCATTTCACGGGAGTGGTAGACAGGTGAGTGACCACACCTGGGGAGAAATAAAAACACAAGACCATTCAATAGTCATCTCCACATCTGTGACTTTGTATATACTTACATTCTATCTAGCATGGCCTGGAACATCCAGGGGTTAGGGGGAGACAGGAGCTGCTCCTTATCCCAAATGATGTTTTGTATCTGCACTAGTTCTACAGGTGACTTTGCTTTGGTTAAAAACATTGCTAGCATCTATAATTCTTTATCATGGAGATTAAATGTAGACAGGCTTGGGAATAAGACAATAAACAGGTAGTAGCAAAAAACAACTTACTTGTTAACTATTTATTGGGTATTTATGATAAGCAAAAGCACCATGATAAGTGCCATAAAAAATAAGACAGTCACCATTGTCTTTGAAGAGCCCATACTTTGGTTGGCCAGAGGAAAAGTACATTTGAAAAAATGACCAAAAGTACGAGACAGTATAGGAAAAGTGAGAAGCAAGTGACCTTGACATTATGACTATAGAAACTCAGAAGAAGGATGGAACTCAGGAAAGCAAGCATGATTCAAGTAGGCCAAGAAAGATCTGAAGCCATTTCAACCAGGGGCAAAGTGGTATAAAGCAAGGCTAAAAATACTCAAGGTCTAGGTAGATGTGTTTGAATAACGCAGAGGTTCATGAATAACAGTAGAAGTTAAGGCTGAGAAGTGGGTCAGGCCATACTGGGGAGTGCTACGAATAGCATAGTACATGGTCTGAACTTACTGTTAAGAGAACAAGAGATGGACCTTCAAATCACCAAATCCTTGACTCTGGGCTGACTCATACCCAAAGAGCGGGAATAAAAGCCAGTTCTTAAATAGTGAAAGTCCTGGACAAGTTATTTTGAGATTCTAGAAAGGTCATTGTAAAGGCAGGTCATCTAAAGGCCTCTCAACTTCACAAACAATCAGAAACTTAAAGGCCATAACCATTTTGCTGAAACTGTGCACTTTAAAGCCTTCACAGATAGGAGATTGATTGAGAGGAAAGTCCAATATGCTAAGTACCAGCTTAACTAAGTTCTTTACTAGAACGCTCAAGACTTCATGATTTTTCATCCAATTAAAAAGGTAACTCAACTTACAGAAATATCTTAGATCACAAGAATAGGGAAGGTCAGAAGACGGTAGACTCTGTAGGGGAAAAGAGATGGCCTCTTGACTGTTTTCAAAACTAATCTGTGTTTACAAAGGAATTACTTGGTAAGAATTAGGCCATTAGGGCTACATGGCCATGTTGGCTCAGTAAGTAGAGGGACAGGGCCCTACAATAGCAATGTTTCTAACACCCTAGAGGTTATCACCAACATTTATTCTAATATGCCAACAGAAATACAGATACAATTTCTGTACAAATAGAATAGCCTGAGCAGAATTTCATCATGGTGTTGGGGGAGGCAGGGGAAGAGGAAAAAGAAGTATGGGGTGTTTAAAAAAAATGTGTCTTTTTCCCCCAAGACAGTTACGTCTATTGGGTAGGTCCAGCAGCACATAGTTTCAGGATGGAGAAGAGGTCACCTCACATTATCTGTGGGAAAGCAGAGAGCTATGGTTACAGTAGGTAGCTGGACAGTTCCCACAACTCATCCTGGACAGTTCCCAAAACTCATCCATTTTCTCACTTATTCTTTTTAAGTGATTAAATGTTTAATCTGTAATTGGCAAATGCAGAAAAATGTTTGCTTTGGCCTATAGGAAATGGTAAGGGTGGGGGTCGGGGAGAAACTTCATTTGACCAAAAAACAAAAAAACAAAAAAACAAAAAACAACTCTGAAAATGTTTTGAAATTTAATTAGCAAATGACCTCACTTAGTAAGGCAGTCATTTGTTGGAAGCTTCCCCTTCTGTCTGTCCCCGACCTCTCCAACACACACACTTTGTGTTACACTGTGTTTTATGTTACCGAAAGGGCTCTTGTATATAAATGTTTCTTTTCAAATACAAATAACTCTGACATGGTTACAGATGTTTAGTTTCCAATTAGCAGTGACTGTACACTAAAGAATGCCCCTCCTTTTGCTCCTGACTTTTGTAAATGATGATTTCCCAAAGGATTCTGGCATCCATACAAGAGGAAGGATGGAAAGGGGGAAAAGTGCCAGTATTTTCTGCTTTTGGATACCCTGTGTTAGGGTGGTTTCCAAATGCACACAACCAGGTTAAAAAGCAAAACAAAACCTCTCCTCAAAAAAGTAATGCAATTACCAAAAAAGAAGCCAATTCTTGAAGTAATATTTAATTAAGTAACATTCATTATAAAGCAATGGTTAAATATTCTATCGCAAATTCTTTAGGTGGAAAGATTAGATCATAGACAAATTTATATATATATATATATATAAATATATACACTAAGAAAAAAAATTTCTAGGTTACTGTTTTGTCGCCTACTGGCGGCAGGGAGGGGGTCTGATGAGAACATTTAGAATCTAACGGTTAAGAGAATAGAAAATTAGAACACCTGAATTTTCATTCTGCTTTGGACACTGAGTTCTGTGACTTGGACAAGTCACAGTAACCTCTCTGAGTCTCAGTACAGTTAAGAATGGTGGCAATGCTTTCCACCTAGTGGTCTGACATGATGTCTAAGAGAACACTCCAAGAAGGAAGGGCTCCAGAAATTCCAAGTTTTTACAGTGCACTGTGCCAGTGTCCAGTAATAGCATCAGTATACTCCAGAATTACAGGCCTGTGAGTAGCCCCAAAAAGAGAATTAAGACCATGTGGTGAATTCTGTGCTGTTTTAAAAAGGTAAGACAACATGTTGATAATATGAAGGCAAAGAGGGTCTTTTTTTGGCCACTATTAAAAGTGATGAGGAAGAGTCTCAAGCCCTTCTGAAATAAATCGGATAGCCTCTGTCTCTCTAAGTCTCAGTGTCTTCCATAAAATAAAACAAATACACTTAAGGTCTCGAAGGTCATTTCTACTTTTAACATTCCTTGAAAATCAGTTCCTCTAATAGCCCTAAGCTATGTTCTAGGCCTGAATACTAGGTTCTCCACAGAATCTGCAAGGTACACAGACACCAGTGTCTTAAAACCTCTAGCCCTCTCACTTCAATAAACCCTTTCCATGTTCATTTTAATCACTTATTTATTGACTGCCTACCATGTCCTCAATACTGTGTGACATGAGACATGACACTTTTTCTTTTTTTGAGACAGAGTCTCGCTCTGTCACCCAGGCTGGAGTGCAGTGGTGTGATCTCGGCTCACTGCAAGCTCTGCCTCTCAGGTTCACGCCATTCTCCTGCCTCAGCCTCCCGAGTAGCTGGGATTACAGGCGCCTGCCACCACGCCCAGCTAATTTTTTTTATTTGTAGTAGAGACGGCCTTTCACCGTGTTAGCCAGGATGGTCTCGATCTCCTGACCTCGTGATCCACTCGCCTCAGCCTCCCAAAGTGTTGGGATTATAGGCGTGAGCCACCATGCCCAGCTGAGACATGATACATTTTTAATAGGAATACTTGCATCACACAATTGTACAGCACTTGACAGTTGATAAAACACCTGCACACCTGTGATCTCTTTACTATGCAACATTCCTGTAGACAAAAGGGCATTATAAACCTAAATTAACAGAAGAAAAATAAAATGAAGCTCAGAAGGATTCAGTGAAAACTCTGAGGGCTAAGTGTAAGCAATGCTCACGGCAGACTGTGATCCAGAGCTCTCTGGCTACCCAACCTGTAGCTCACACCTGGAAATCAAGGGAGCATAAAAATATCTCCTAGCTAACAAAAACACAAACTGTAATTTACACATATTTGGAAAATTTCTAAATGAGTGGTTTTTTGTTGTTTTTTTTTTTAAAAAAAATTTTAAGGATCATGAAAATATTTCAGAAACTAATGTAAACTATGGACTCTCTCACAAGAGGAATATATTTATGAACATATGCACACAATTTCCCACACAGTTTCAGGTTCGTGACACACATCCAAAACCCTTGTGGGGGGAGTTTCCCAGACCCAGGTGGAGAACCTCCTGCTGCTCCTTTGCATACATCAATGACCACACGATGTGGCTGTCAGGTTTGTGTTCTGCTGCATGTGACACAGCAGTGAAGAACACTGCTCACAGGGAACCACCAGCTTAGAGGCGATATACAGCCTGCTCATCACAAATCGGTGGTACCCATGCAGACATTCACAGCCGAAGAGTGGCACAGAAAAGTGAAGTGGGAGGCAGAGCTGAGACAATTTTCTGCAACAGATGAAGGATCTTCAAATGAGGGTGAAATACACACTTGGACTTAACACTTGAGGAACCAAGAAGAGTTCAGAATGCACTATTCTCAGCAAAAAAAGGACCATTCTGCTGAGATCATGCTAACTTTACCACCTTTAACAGAGTGGGGGCTAAGCTTTTTCTAAGTGTTCTCCTCTCATATCTACTCTCACAATCTGTTCTTTTTTTCTGAAAGGTTTCAAAGGTAAGTGGCTATACATCACCAAAACTGTCTCTGCCCACACACATCCGTAGGGACATCTACTGAGTACCTAGCACAGCACACACTTGGTCAGGTACCAGAGAACTGGAGAGAAAATCACTGCCTAGGCCACAAGCAACCTACAGTCTAGTGTGGAAGACAGAAGAACCAGCCAATGATTCTCAGGCCATGAGAAGTAAACACAAGCTGCTGCTGCTGTGTAAGTGTGACTCCTGTGTGTGGGAGTACTAGTCTAGGTGATCATGCCCAGCTCTGCCTAAGTGGGGAGAGGCGGCGGAGAGGCAGAGAGCGCTTGGGTTTGGCAAGAAAGAAGTCCTTTCCCAGGCCTGTGCCTTTCCCTGTGTGAACCCAAACTGCCCCTCAGGGCACCCAGACAAAAGGAAGGAAACTGAGATTAAGTCACTAGTATGTGCCAGGACTGGCTATGTGCTTTTGATACACTATTTTAATTATTTCATTAATCTTCATTCCAAGGTCAGTGTCATTAACCTTATTTTAAGATGAACAGAGTGAGGTGTCCCAGCATACTTTGGGTCATAAAACTAGCATAAAGCCTGCATTTTAATTAGGGTCTGTCTACCTACAAAATTCAGTCTTTCTAAGACTTTACAACGCAGTTGCCTCAAAATCCCCAGAGCCTTGGAAAAGCCGAATGTTTCCAAACATTCAACCTAATCACACTGAGGTATGAACAACTTAGAGAACCAATCAGTCTCTAATTTGTAGACCGTGAAGCAGAACAACGAAGATGATGCTGATAATAGCTAACATCTCCTGAACACTTATTAAAGACCAGGCTCTATATGTGGTACCTCATTTAAATCTGACAAGCCAGAGTGGCTGAAAGAAACTTTGTAGGCAATGTTGGGGAGGTATTTTTGAACTGAGGGAACTTTAAGGCTCAGTAGCACTGGGCGAGTCCCTGCATGTCACAGGAACCAGAGGCTTCAAAGTCTCCAAATGGCTTCAGGATCCAGCCAATATCCCCTTCCATCCTACCTCATTAACATAATTAACATTCCCCCAGTTCCTCCCCATTTCCTGGCCCACCTCCAGCCCTGATTCTTATTTTTCAGGTGAGGCTATACCATATGCAAAACAGAGGCCCCAAACTTCTGTCAATGATGAAAAGGACCATCCACTTGCTCTAGATGCCCCTACTTAACCAAGCGGTTTGCATCTTCAGAGCTGGTATGAGTTCAAAAAAGCTATGTCTGACCCTGACCCCACACCCCCAACACACCCCCTAAAACCTCTCACTAAAGTTACTCAAGAATGCCAGCCATGCCATTATGGTCTGTTTGTCCTACAGCACAGCTGTCAGCTCCTGGGAAATGGTCATCTACTGACAACCCAAAGTTGAGACAACCCTATTTAATAGGCCATCTCTAAAGGCTGGGTGACACACAGCAGGCTGAAGCTCTGGATTATACTACCTTCAAAAAATCTTTTTTCTATGTATGTTTTGGCAAGCCAACTAGTGCCTTTGCACATTTCAGTTCATTCTCACTAGAGTAATGTCCTTTTACTCTTGTACTTTTACTCCTGTACTCTTGTAATGAAGAGGGGAACTCCTCTTCATCTTCTGAACTATGCTAAGGTATTACATTTTTGTTTAGAGACAGGGTCTCGCTCTGTCACTCAGGCTGGAGTTCAGTGGTTTGATCATAGCTCACTGCAGCCTTGAATTCCTGGGCTCCAGTGATCCTCCCACCTCAGCCTCCTGAATAGCTGGGATTACGGTTGGGTGCCACCAGGCCTAGCTAATTTTCTTTTTCTTTTCTTTTTTTTTTTTTTTTTTAAAGTAGAGACAGGGTCTCATACACCTGGCCTGAAGTGCTCCTCCCACTCTGGCATCCCAGAGTGCTGGGATTATAAGCATGAGCCACCATGCCTGGCCTCTGCTAAGGTACTACCTTTTTTGTGAAACTTTACTGTACCTTCTGTGATCAGAATCAATCACTTCCTTCCCTCTGCCTACTCCAATTGCATATTTAGCTCTCCCATAGCAGCCAGTGCATCTCACTTACCTTCCCCACAGTAGCTCTCAGGCATCATCATGTCTGCTAGACTGAAATGACATTGAGAACAGAAACAGGGTCTTCATAGTTCTTTATCACAGAGCGCATAGGACAGGGACTTAAGAACATGCTCTGGAATCCAGCAGACCTAAGTTTACATCTGAGTTCTGACACTTACTAGTGTGTGACTTTAGATAAGTCAGTAAACCTAGGTTTGTACCTTCTATAAATGGGGAAAAGGAAGAGTGCTCATTTCATAGGGCTGTTGTGAAGTTTAAATGAAATAATGCATGAAAATAAAATGCCTAGAAGACAGGCAGGTGGAATAATTTGAAAATAAAACCTTTATACACATTTACAAATTGTTTTTCTCTAGTGTTCTTTGTCTCAACAACTGGCTGAGGAAACAGAGCCTGGCCTGTACCAAACAGGCTCCAAGTGCTCACAGAGGCCTACCCTCCTCCTTCCCCTCTAAATGAGCTGGAAAGGAGAGGAGGCTTGAGTTTCTCTGGGGCCTATTCACTTGTTTATGTGAAGCCCATTGGCTTTATTCTCCAGGTCCAGGGCCCAAGTCTATTTTCTGTCGACTCTACCGCTATTATACTAAGATTTCTTTTTCCTTTTTAATTCTGTGTGGTTCGTAGTTTCAAATCTTGCCTTCAGGAAAACATATATGTGTGGGTACGTGTGCATGCATAAAAGAGAGAAACCACACACACACACCAAGTTTGTATCCAGTGAGTTGGAAAAAGCAGATATTTCTGCACGACCTGTAAGTATTAAATATGTTTTTGTTATAAATGTGGCATTCCTGAAGCCCTTTTCCACATTCTCAGGTGAGTTCAGTGATGGCCAAGGTTGCCAGATTCTCTACTTGTTCTTCCTATGCCAATATTCCATTCATCAAAGGATCTACCACCACCACCCGAACTAGTTGCTCCTTTTCCTGCAATTCAAACCACTAGCACATAAAAATTGCATTGACTGTAATCTTGCCCTCTGCATAGCTCAGGGATTTCTTTATTCAAATATATTTCTTGGAAGAGTAATGAGTTCGGAGCTTTTAAAGTTTGATTTTTTAAAAATCCTTGGTTTGGGTAGTAAGGAGAAAATAAGAGCTGTAGACAGTAGCTAAGCTAAAAACTGCACATTTCCAGACACACAAAGTAACTTCAGGTAGAATGTTTACATACGTTACCTATCGGGCAGCTCAAAGCTCTTTGCAAATTAATTCTAAGCAACACATTAAACCCTTAAAAAAAATTATGAAGAAAGGCCAACAATAAGCCACAACAGAACATCTGAAAACTGTAGTGTGTGACCCCTTGAGACAAGCCCAACCACAGAGTCTAAGCCTCAGAAAAGCATGCTTTTGAGGTCACCTTCACATTGCCTCCCAGTGACCCAGGCTGACAGGCCACAGGCTATTAATTCCAGGCTGTGAAATGTCAGCTGCTGGGAGCTAGAAATCAGCCTCCATCATCTGGACATCCCTCCACTTGCCCCTGCAAGAAATAGGCACAGCACTCAGCAACCTGACGTGGCAGAAACACAGTCCCAGGTGCAATGGCTATGGCTACTTGATTCATACCATCCCTTTCAGTGCCAGGAAATAAGGCAAGGAGATTTTCCAACAGGGAGGGGTGAAGGTACACAATGCAGTTGTTACTTTAAAAGCTCTCTAAACAATATGCTTTAATTGTTCAGAATTAGAAATATTCTTAAATAAATGAAAAGATGCATAATTTCTGAACGCTAATTTCTGGTCACTTGCTGATCAAAATGTAGAGATGAAGCATGAAAATTACATTTCATTTGAAATTTCATTTAAATGTTTCATCATTTTTTGAGACAACAACAAATACAATTTGAAACTGAATTTTTCAGATTCCAACCAAATGTTTTAGACAGCTGAGAAGAAGATTCTCCTCAGGGGCACTGAAATGTGCTATACCTTAGCAATAATTCTTTCCTGACTCTGGGAAAAATATGGAAAAGACTTTATAGCAAAGTACATACAAAGACATTGGGAGCCCTAGAAAATAAAAGGGAATCATCTTTCCTAAGCAAGTAAAAATAACCACTACACTTAGTTTGAAATTTTGGCATAATCTTCCCTCCCAGCCTATCTGAGGGGTTTCTCTCTGACCCTGTACCAATGAGCCACACTCTGGTCTACTGTTCTCCTCATGCAACAGCTGGAAAAGCATTCCGGATCTACCCTCGGGGTTCTTGGGCTGGGATGAGCTGCATGTAAGGCAGGAGCTGGGCTGCAGCATATGCAGAATGAATGAAAGAGTTGCACATTCCTCCCAATCGCAAAACCCTTCACAATGTTTCTGCTCGGGCTACACAAACAACCAAGAAATGAGCACGTTCAGGCAGCCACTGACTCTTTAAAGGGGGCTGAACATAATAACACTTGGCCCCTCAGCATGTCGCCTTTCCTTGCAGGCAGTGGATGGGTCTGAGAAATCAGTAACAGGCTGGCTTTCCTTTGGTGTTGACTGCTCAAAGGCCAAGTTCTCAAAGTGATTTAATACAGTTGAAACTCACACCATTATCCTTTAGAGCAAGAGATTCCATATTTACAGTGATTGATTTTTCAGTTCACAAACACAGGAATGGGTAGTCATTTTAAGACACTACACAAAGGAATAGAGAGAATTTACCATCTTATTTTTTAAACCCTATTATATATAACCCTACTATATATAGATAGAAGGTTTAGAAAGGAATGCTTTTATTGACATTAAAAAACTTTTTTTTAGCTTTCAAATTTTCTAGAACCTATGATAGCTCTCTATTGTCACATTAAATACATATTCTTATTCTGGTATTCAAAGTACTCTAATTCTAGTCCAAGGTTGACTGCACAAATCATAGGTGCTGAGTAAATTTTTCTTTGACCAGTTTAATTTTTCAGGTGATTATCTCTGAAATGATATTAAAATCTTAGACAATCTAAACATCCTGTGAGTCAAGGGAATGCTCAACATACACCAATTCTATTAACTTCCCTTTTTGACAATAATCTGTTACATTTATAAAAGATTCTGATATCCACGCTAAAAAGAAGGAAGGAAAAAAGGAAGTGAAGGTAGGAATATTTACTGAGTGCCTGCTAGATGCCAGGTACTTTAAAATATTTTCTCTCATTTTTAGTACTTAGATAAACCCTTTAAAATAAAGTATATAATATTATATAAATATATGTGGGTTTTCACTCTAGATAGTCTATGGGAACATAAAAAGAATGATGGATTCCCAAATAAAATGTAACCACAACCAAATAAAATGTCCTGTGCCAATTTTTTTGTTGTGATAATGAATGAGGAAACCTTTGTAGGCAATTTATCCCACTAATTTCAATGGCTGGAATGCATATTTGCAGGTCTCATACATAAGGAATTGGTAGTCTAAATATGTTTCCTACTGCTCTAACTAGTGTTAAACAAAACAAAGCCTAAAGCTTTATTCAATATTATCTTTAAGGAAGGCAAATTAGTCACCAGGACTTTGAAGCAAGTCATCCACCAAGTTGCAGCCATCAACCAACAGTTTATGAAGAACCCCACAGCAGACTGCGACAGGTTCCACAAATGCTGTGGCAGTGTCCCCTGGTATCCTCTCTCAGTACTGATCACCTCAGGTCAAATCACTTACAGTCATTCAAAGTATAGTATTGATTTTGTGCTTGCCTCGGCAGCACATATACTAAAATTGGAACGATACTGAGAAGATTAGGTTGCCTCTGAGCAAAGTATAGTATTTATTTAAAGACAAGTTTGAACTGCCCAAGAATAAAAATCTTCAACATTACTAATGACAAGAAAAGACACATACATGTCAGCACATTGGCAGAATTTTCTTGGGTGTAGAAGAAATACACAGTCATCAGCTTTAAGTGACTTTTTTGGTGAAGTGAAACCTACTGTGAAGCAGAAGCACTTACATGGTTTCCTTCGAGTCTCTTACGCAAGGCTACTTTTAAGACATCCTCAAATTAAAATATGAGTATCTAACAATGTGGCCACAGCAAGTTACATAATGTCCTTTCACATCCTCATCTATAAAAGCTTATTAGAGTAAATGATCTCCAAAGTCCCCTTCAAAAACAAAATTCAATCATGGACATTTAAACATTCCAGGCAGATAGCTATCTTTTTTATTTTAAAATATCATTATGACCTCTCTTGTTCCATTGTTTAATCTCATAATATTGATGCTAATAATAAAAGTTTTATGTCTAACACTAACCATACTCAATCTTTCTATAGTTGGAGCCAATCTTCTCTAGTTTGAGCCTCTGTGGAGTTGGAGAACAAATGACCAGTGTTTTCTACACAGAGGAAAACCCTTCATTAACTCTACTGGAATCCCATCATGAAAGCACCCTTTACTCTTCTGAGGGCTACAACCACTCCAACTCCTTTCATCATGTAGAACCTCTTCTCTAGAATCTCATTAATTATTTTGCATCTACAGAGGGTTAAATGAATCTTCCCAGTGCCATCAGCTAAAACAATGATTGGTGCTACTGCTGTATGAAAGAAATTTGAGTATTTCTTTTAATTTGATTACTTTGCAGAGACTGCATTTTGTTTTTGCTGAAGCTAATTAATGCCCCTGAATGACCCTCCTCATGTTTCACAGAAACACTTCAAGCTAAAACCAGAAAGAATGAATTTTTAAAAATAATAAAGTACAAGGAAAGTTTTGAAAAATTCCAAAAAATTGCTTTTTTTTTTTGGCCTGGAAAAATGACACAAAAGAGCAACAGATATTGAGATATTAGCAACAGACTCATTCAAGGTATCTTTTCTCAAATGAAAATTGCAATTAGGTAAGTTGAGTCATATTTCAGCATGCCTACAGTATCCCAAATAGACTACTGCCAGTCAGTTTTTAAATACCCCTGAGAAAGTCTGACATCCTCCTTTGGTTATCCCAGTACCCATGTTTATACTGCCAGTCAAAAAAAATACTTCCTTATACAGTATAATTATACTTTTTCTTGCTGCAATTTAATTTTGTTTTTCTGGTTCTACATGCCAGGGAAAGAAATAAATCTATGTCTAAAAGACTTGTATCCAAAATATATTCAGAATAATAGGAAAACAAAAGCAGGCATGATGGCTTACACTTGTAATCCCAGCACTTTGGTAGACTGAGGCAGCAGGATTGCTTGGGGCCAGGAGTTCGAGACCAGCCTGGGCAAAATGAGACCCTGTCTCTACAAAAAATAAAAAAAATAGCCAGGCATGGTGGCATGTGCTTGTAGTCCTAGCTACTCAGGAGGCTGAGGTAGGAGGATTGCTTGAGCCTAGGAGGTTGAGGCTACAGTGAGCTGTGACTGTGCCACTGCACTCCAGCTAGGGTGTCAGATCAAGATCTCATCTCTTAAAAAAAAAAAAAAAATAAGAGAGAGAAGAAAAGAAAGCAAACAACCTAACAGAAAAATTGGGTCAAAGCTTCAAACAGACACTTCAGCAAAGAAGATATATGAATGCCAAATACATGTAAAGATGCCCAACATCCTTAGACGTTAGTAAAGTTTAAATTAAAACCCCAGTGAAATACTACTATATACTCACTAGAAAGGCTAAAGTTAAAAAGACTGAGCATACCAAGTGTTGGCTAGGATATGGAACAATTAGAATTCTCATACTCTACTAGTGGGAATGTATAATCACTCTGGAAGACAATTTGGCAGTTTCTTAACAAGTTAAATATATACTCACCACGCAGCTCACCTGTTCAATTCCTGTGTATTTACACTAGAGAAATGAAAGCCTAAGTCCAAAAGGAGACTCGTGCATGATTGTTCCTAGCAAGTTATTTGTTACTAGTTGATGGATACAACATAAATGTCGTTCAACAGCTAAGTACACAAACAAATTGCAGTATATCCATACAATCGAATACCATTTGGCAATAAAAAGAAACAAGCTACGGATATACCTAACAACATGGCTGAATCTCAAAATAATTATACTGAGTGAAAAAGCCAGACAAAATAGAATGCATCCTGTATGAGTCCGTTTACTTAAAATTCTAGGAAATGCAAATTAATCTGTATTGACAGAACATAAAACAATCATTGCCAGGGAGGTGGGGGAGGGGAGGTTGGGTAAGGATTACAAAGGATGATGGCTATGTTCCTTACCATGACAGTGATGATGGTTTTATGGGTATATAAAAATATCAAATTGTACACTTTAAACATGTGCAGTTTATTTTACATCAATTGTACCCCAATAAAGTTGTTTTTAAAAGAATAATCTTTCATATACATTAGAAAAGTTGTTATACATTCTGTCTTGCTTTCTTAGCCTCCAGCTCCATCTCCAAAACATCTCAAGTCTTCTCTTCCTCAGATTAAACAAGCCCAGCTATTTCCTTTAAACTTTTACAACCAGAATTAATGTTCCCTTGTGCTCTTTTAAAAAATCAAATCAATAAACACTTAAATCCTAACAATCACACAAGAATTAAAAAACAAAAAAATTTTTTTGGACAATGTTCTGAATCTTTCACATGTTCTAGACAGGCTCAGAGAAGTTAACTGACTTGCCCAGGCTCACAAAGGGAATGAATGTATGAGCTAGGATTCAAAGTCAAGTCTGTCTCACTGCAGAGCCTGTGCTAGTTGCAAAAATGAGTGTTCCCCATCTCTGATATTTTTACCACCATAGAAGTGAACAACAATAGCACATATTAAAAGAAATTCAATTTTATTCATTTTAAGGACACTTGACAGCTCCAATTATTCAACCAAGTGATGTCAAATTTGTTGGGCCAGCTTTAATAAACTCACCTGCTGTATTCAGCGGTATGATTTCGTAGTGGTTATTAAGGTAAAAGATTCCCCTCCCCCCAACTTGATTAGATTAAACCTGCTTTCTAATATTTTGAACAGCCTTTTAATTTGCTTATTCCATCATGAAAAGGTAATTGTCAACTCATACTAGTTTTAGTCACCCTAAATTCTGACAAACAGAAGCCAAATCAGTGGATTATTTTTCAATATATTCCAAATGAATGCACAATGGAGACTGCTGTGCAAAGTTAGAAGATGAAACAAAACTGATTACATACACCTATACCCTGCCACTAATTAAAAATATACTAGTGTTACAAGTATACAGTTTCAATGGTGGTGGTATCTTTGTTCAGAAGCACGGTACATTATTATACAGCTGAAGCCCTCTAGCATTTAATTAGGCTGCTAATTATGAGAAGAATCACATTGCCTTCAAGTCTTTCCCTGGATTGTGACCAAGACTTGGTATATTAATTTCATGGTGATTGTGTTTTAAGATGGGAAACATGTCAGTAAAGAATACTGGTCACATCTTTCAAAGTGTCCAGGTGATGAGATTTTAGCTGTGGCACAGTTTGAGACATTAATTAGAAGAAAATACTGCTAATTCCCACTGCCAATTTTGATGATCAGATGATATTTTATGTTGGATTTTAAACATGAGTAGCATTCAAAGTCTTCACAGGGGATACACACATGAATATAAAAAGAAGAAAATTAAGTGACATTCTTTATTTCCGTTTGAGTTCAATCAATTAACAAATTTAGCCTCAATTCAGTATCATCTTACTCCCCGGCTTTCTTCCTTGCCTATCAAAATAATACTACTAATAATAAAGTCGGTGCAAAATGTATGAGTCACTCTTCAGTCATGCCAAGTGCATAATCTTCAACCCAAGATTAAAAATAAAGTGCTATGTGTGAAATTCAATACTGTTTAACTTTTGGGTGCTAAAATCTAATAAATATAATATTTCAAAAGAAATTAAACAATCTGGATCACTTCTGTTCATTTTCATGATTTCATCAGCAGATTTCTATGGCTTTGACTACATTTGCTAGTGTTCAGAGCCTGGGTAAACTGGTGGAATTTGGCATCACTTAGTTTATAATCTGTATCACCAGTTCATACAAGTCACAGAAAAGTTCTCCACTCCCCTATATACTTCAAAGCATTTCATTTATTATTCAAATGGTTCTTCTGACAAAACCATTAGTCAAGAAGAAAGTAAAGAAATCTTATTTTTTAAAAGACACACCTTCCACACCAGACTGCTTTAACTAACCATGCTATTCTTGGCAAAGTCTTTATTTCCTAAAGAATACATTTAATTTCAACTTTTCTTACCTCTGAGAAGGTCAGGGCTTGTTTTTACTTGTTTTCACTCAAAGTGAGCTTTTATATATTTTAAGTTTACCTTAACTTCTTCCTAAATCCCTACATCTTCTAGCCTTTTCTAAAGAAAACACTAAATTTAAATATGTGCAAGTTATTGAAGTCATAATGAATGTCTCATAACTACCTTCAAATGATGATAGGCATGAGTGCATGAGTTCAATACACACAGGGAAAAAAGAGACATCTTTTGGTCAGAGTTCTGAGTTAAGGGCATTTGGGGTTAACGATAAAAAAAGCTTCATGATTTGAAATAGGGTTATTTTCTTTATTTCCCTCTCTCCCCTCTTCTCTCCTTTCTATCCTAAAAATTCATACTGTAGCTATGTCATAGGGCTATTTTCTTTATTTTCCCTTTCCTCCCTCCCTTCCTTCTTTCTATCCTAAAATTCATACTGTAGCTATGTTACCAGGTAACATGTTTGCAGGGTCTGAGAAGTTTCTTGGCTTGATGAGAAAAACACAACAGTCTAGTCCTAAAACCCCACCACCACCCCCGCCCCATCACCAGTGAGGCTAAGAGGGCTGGCTGAATCGTAAGTCAGCAGTCTGATTAGCAAAGATGGGTTGGGTTTTGGACAGAACCTAATACAGCAGCATAAGGTGAGATACAAATTTAATACGGTCAAGAAATATATGCTTGGCTACTTAATGGCTGCCAGATACCACAGATGAGGTTGCCTTACCTAATACTACATTTCTAGTTGTGGAACATATCAATATCACTATTTGATAATCAAAGCCTTAGGCACTACTATTTCAGCCATCAAGTGACCCATTGCCACTTCTTTTGGTTCATTTGTAGAAAGAGAGTGGCTATCATGGTTCAGAGTCAATCATTTTCAAGACAGAAAGGGCTCTTTTCCAATCCCAAACTTCCTAGTATGTTTGTATGATGGTGACAAAATGGTCTCTTCATCTTCTTCTGTTCATTAAGGTATTCGGTACTCACAGTCCCACAGTTCTTAAATGGATACATAATGCTTTATATGCAACAGCAATCCCATTCAAAATAATGCAGGCCATGCAGCCCACCCATATTGTACAGTTGGCCCTCAGAATCCTCAAAGGATTGGTTCTAGGACCCGTGAGATGCTCACGTCCCTTATGTAAAGTATGCACAGTATTTGCATATAACCTATGCATATCCTCTGGTACACCTTAAATAATCTCTAGAATACTTATAATATTTAATACAATGTAAATGTTATGTAAGTTGTTATGTTGTATTGTTTTTACATTTGCATTGTGTTTTATTGTTGTGTTTACTTTTTCTCCAAATGTTTTTGATCTACAGTTGGTTGAATCCATAAATGATTGGATGAGGTCCAACTGTATTTGCAACTGTGACTGAAGCACTGGAGCTGTCAGGAAGTAATATTTACTTTTGTTGTGGTAAAACACACATAACCTAAAATTTACCATTTTAACCATTTTTAAGTGTACAGTTCAGTGGCATCAAGTACATTTACCAAGAAGCTTTATTTTAGATTCAACTGGACTCTGGCCTTGATGCGTGGATATCTAGTCATTCATTGGTTGATACTCACGTCTTCACAGAGATACATGTCATTCTATTTCCAGGTAACCTCTTGGCTAGGTATTCGAAGTCAGAGTTCATCCAACATACTATGGTTTGTATGCTTGAGGTGAGGAATGAACCACCAAAATGAAGCATTTGTCTATTTCCTTCCAGATGAAAGATAGAAACTTTGATCTTCTCTTCCTTGCCATTAAACCTTTCAGAAAATAAGGAACCCACTATTCCTTGACCTTTGGGATTTTTACAAACTTCAGACTTCAGTTCAGAACACAGACTAGAAACTGTCCAAGAAAAACATGCCCCAAATGAACAGGATATAAACAAAACTGTAACTAGGTAATTAATGGTAGGGACTTGACTCCCCTCACTGCTTCTCTGATAACAATCTGGCACTTTATCAGCAGGGTCTTTTATCTGGAAGGATTCACTGTGTTCTGCTGCTTGGAACTATTCTGGGAGGGCACAAAGACAAGCTTTCATCTTAGAAAGGAAATGGAACTACATCTAGAAGGGGTAAGAAAGAGTTAAAGCTGTAAAAAGAACTCCAAGTCTTTCCCTGCCAGAAAGGAGAGGTGAATGGAAAACACGATGCCATGCTTCACTGAAAACATGAGAGCAAATTCTAATGGGAAAGAAATCACTGCAGTCTTCCAAAGGTGGCAACTTGCTTTCTCCCTTTGTTTCGAGTTCTACATTTTCTCCCCAACGTATTCTATTTATCTTCCTGTCAAAACCAAAGAAACGTAAACTAATTCATACTATGGCATAAATGACTACTAATAACTTTTAAGTAATTTATGTTTCATTGAGATGTCCATTTTAGAAGGGATCAAAACCATATACTAAAAGAATGAAAATCTACAAGGTTTAGCTCATAATGGAGGAGGCATCTGAGAAAATTAAGTGGGTAGAGGGCACTGCTTATGACCTGTCAAATCATTTAATATAGGTTTCAATTACCCTAGGGGTAAAGCTGGTCTGGGTCAGTGACTACAGTGGAGTCACATCTGGCCCTTCCAGTGGCATCATTCCTAGGGAAAAAGGGACTGTTAATGGGAGTATGTATTCATTAGTAGTAGTAGAACGTGCTCCCTTTATTCCCTCTCCAAGCATGGGCACTCCACTCAGATCTCATAACAATGTCGTGGACTGGTTATGGAAGAACTCAGGAAAAAACAGGGATTTAAATTCCTCATCCTACTTAGAACTCAGGAATATTTATCCAAGGTTGGGCCAGGGTGGGTGGCCAATTACAAAATCTAGAGCCTGGGGCTTCTGTGCCAGATCATGGATTGCCCAGCGACACTAGTTCTCTTCTGTCAGGCTGTGGAGCCCCCGAGGTTCATATCTAGGGCCCTCGTGACGCTTCACGGTGGGTCAGGCAAGGAGGAGGACACAAGGAAGCTGCTCTGCTGGCTAGCTTTCAACGGGGAATTCTATCAGGACATGGCATTCTAAAGCTGCTACTTTAGAGACATGTTCAACCACGCAGCAGAATGCAAATCTCTCTCTAGTCAAGCTTTTCTTAAGTCCAGTTTTCATTCTGGCTACAAATTAAATTCTGATGTCTTAAATCACACAGAAAAAAGGGTGGGGGGATAATAAATGATTGAATTATAATAATTATATGACCCTGAAGCTTAACTAGAAAAAATAATTCTATTTCTTAAGTTTCTCTTCAGTAGAATTATGCAGGTTATAATTAGTATTAAGTCAATTTTACTTTTCATTTTATCCAAACCAGAAAGAAGCTGAGCAAAAGGGATTCTCCTGGGAAAAAAATGAATAAACATTCAGGCAAGAAACAAACCAATGCTACCCACACATCACCCAAAAAGACAGATTATTGTCTGAAAATATTGTCTGTCCACTGCTTTGTAAATTCTTTTCTTGTCTGTGGTGACACATCTGTCAGTAACAATTCAACTTTTCCTGGGCTACCTGGATATATTTTTCCACAGTTTCTGCTAAAACAGATGCTTCTTTCCTGTATGATTTAATAACCAAAAGGGAGCAGGCTTATTTACACAGTAGCCTGTAGATTTCATACAAATATATATTTTGTTAATGCTCCGGACACTGTAGAAACTGAACAGAAAAATCTCATTAATGTTTCTTGGTTTTGTGATTATTCAGACTGAGGCCTACTACAGCCTACTGTAGGACTGAGAGTTTTCAACTAAAGTAGACAAAAATGTGGCATCTCTTGGGGGCTGGTGGTCAGGGCACAAATGTCCCAGATCAGGAATTTTCCCTAATGCAAAAACCCCAGGGGACACATCTCATCCTCCGTGTACCCTCCACACAGGTTTTGGCTGGTAACCTTTGGATAATTATGAAAAGAGGGCAGTAGGACTATGTACATAAAAGATATAAAATTGGCAAACCAAGGGCGGTGTGAACCCACTTCAGAGGCCTTGGAGTACAGATGATCAACTAACAACCAGATGCTATTGTTACTTATCCATTAAAGCAGTTTCCTGAAGTTATTATATGCAATCTTAAGTAACAAAACCTTCCTTTCATACTATTCAGTAATGTAAACGCTTCACAGATTTAGATTTCCTTTTTTTCCAAATCAGTTTACAATTACTGCATAAGAAAACATTGGCAATTTAAAAAAGTTTCAACACGAATTGATATCCTCATGGCTGTTTTCTTTTTTTTTTTTTTTTTTTTTTGAGACGGAGTGGCTGTTTTCTTTATAAGAGAGTAAAAAGAGAAACAATCAAGTTACTATATGTGAAAGTACACTCTAAACTTAAATTCTTATGTAAACATTTGCTATTATTGTTTTTTTTTTCTAGCAACCCTAAAGATTTTCAAAATTACGTAAAGCAGTGGAAACTTAAGATGACATACTAAAGACAGATAGAAAACATATTTTCTAAGAGTTTAAAAATTATGCATAAATAGCAGCCCACAAATAATCTCATTAAGATTTTAGGCTTCTTAGCCTCAAGCCACATTCTCTCTTTACTAAGACACTTATAACTGTGCAATGACCCATGATTTCCTATTATAATAAGGAAAATTTCCTTTGTAAGAAATTCTCAGTGTTTCTCAAGAATCTCAAAACTTCAGTTGAGCCAGTTTTATTTAGCAACCTGTCACAACCACTTAAGCTTTATTGCAAGTTTTTCTTCCTTTTCTCCTGATTTCAGATTAGAAAATGAGACTACTGCCAACGAAATGCCCAAGGGGGGAAATATCTCAAGAAAGCAAAGTAAGTCCAAATGTTTGTTAGGTAAAGCTGCAGGTTAATTTTGGCATGCTGAGAACTACCCTGTCATACTTCACAGACACAGCATCATAAACAGATGAGCAAAAGCAAGTATTACAGTGTTAAGAGCTAGAATAGCTAAAGCAGTCGCTAACAGCATGGGTTCTAGAGTCAGATTGTTTGGGTTCAAATTCACGCCTTATCACTACCAGTATGAGCTAGGTAGGACACATTTAGAAAGTTCCTACTGCCCAACATTCCCCCCCTCTGTGGAATGGGATAGTAACGACAATGACTTGATAGTGCTGTCATCATGATTAAATGAGTTAATATGTGTAAAGTCCTAAAATATTGCCTGGCTTATAGTAAACATTTGCTAATTATTATCATTTATCACTAATCAGGATGGAAAAAATAGGAGCAAAGAAGAGATAAGAAGCATCGTCAAAAAGGATACCTCATTATGCCAAAAACTGTATCTGTCTGATTCACCACTCTGTTTCTAGTGCCTGAAACATAATTGTTTTCAATAAATATCTGTTGAGTGAATGAATAAATGAATTTGCCCTGACTCCTTAGGGAGTCACTTTTTGAATGTGGGCATATTATGTCTACTCTCTCTGGGCCTTGGCTTTTCACCTCCAAAGAAAGGAACAAGCACCTGCTACTTGCTACCTCAAACTGATGATAATCAACGTAAGAAGCAAAGCAAATCATTTCAAGCTTACTGGAGCGCTTTCAGAAGTCAGTGATTTTTTAAACCAATGCTCCTTTGTTACTGGGTATGCATGAACACAGTCACTGACAGCGGGAGGAACCTCTGTGCCACCCTGAGTCCTGATTCTGATATGTTTCCCTTAAAGAAGTTCCCTGACTGCAGCTAGCCAGGTAGAGCAAGATGTCAGACATTGTACTAGGCCCTAAAAGAAGGCTGTTCAAACTTCAGTGTGCAGAGGTAATTGAAATTCTCAACTTTTGGATGTGTGTGAGACATGCAGAAGAAGCTGTCCAATAGAAAGTTGAACTTGTGATTCTATATGAGTTCTAGATCTAGGACCAGGTAAGTGTAGGTGAGTGATAACCCCAGAGAGAGCATGCAAAGTGAAAAAGAAAAGGTTTGAGGGCAGGACAAACAGGTATACCAATGTTTGAGAGGCAGCGGGAGGAAGGGGGCCCTCCAAGGAGAGATAGAAATAACGGCCAGAGAAGCCACAGAAGAAAGAACTCAAGAAGAAAGGAGTCTGCAATAGCATCAAACACCAGAGAAAAAGCAGAAATGAGAAGGAATGAAAAGCACCCAGTGGCTTTTTTAATAAGGAGGTCACTCCTATTTGTTGGTGCAGTTTAGTGAGGCAGTGGAAGAAGCGGCCAGGCTGCAGTGGGTTAAGAAGGGGAAAAATGGAGACTAAACACAGACCACCTTTTCCTAGAGCCTGGCTATAAAACAAAGGAGAGGACTGTGGGTGGAGTGGGTTTCTCCATGGACAGAACCCACACCTGATGGCCTCCACATCTTCTCTTGCAAATGAGAGGTGATGAGAGTAGGGGTGTTGGGTTGGGCAAGGGCACAAAGTAGGCCCTCAGTAAATACACTTAATGGAAGGATGAACTGGTGATGAAGAGTGATCACAATATAAAGAGACAGAGAAGAATAAATGGTGAAGAAGAGAATGTCTATAACTGGTTGGAAGGGAGGCAAGATGAGCAGTCAAGAGTCACAATGTTCAAAGTGAGTGAGGAAGGAAAAAGTAAAAGGACGTGAGGGTGAAGGTATCCTGAGCAGCTGATGTAACATGTGTAGCTTGTTTTTACTAGAAGATTAGAAATAGACGGTGGGGGCCAAGGCCCAGAGGGAAAGGGAAAACCCATTCCAGTCAGAGAAAGCTAACCGAAACACACTATGTCATTATTTTTCCTTGTCCTCATTTGAAGCCTTCTATAATTTATCTTTACCTTCTTATTCTATTTCCCAATTCTTATTTTCTTCTGGAAGAAAAAAACACATTTTTGATCTAAAATGTTCTCTACTGTGTAGGATGACTGCCTATCAGTCAGCATTTGGGGCTTGGTAATGTGAAATCCTTCAATTCAGCATTAAAAATGCCTGCAGAGCACCTTTGCTACAATTTTTGAGAAACAATTTAAGAACAAGGAAATAAAAGTTCTGTATGGAAAAACACTGTTAAGATACTTTAAAATGTTAAGTATTACTAAATTTAAATTTTTTTTCCCACTACAATTCATTACTTCCACAAGACTTAAATGCAACACTCAGGACAAATACTGTTCTTTATTAAAGTTACCAAAGGTGCACCATCAATGGTTTCTCCTGTTAAATAGCAAACCATTTATTTTGTGAATTTCCTGGGTCGCCCTTGGTTCAAGTGGAAGCAAAGCTCTTTATGATGCCTTCCAAGTTATGAATCATAAAACTCTCCATCACAATCTTCCCCTTGTTGGATCCCCCTGACTTTTCACTCCTCTCACATGACTTGTTAATCACCATGGGTGATTTCTAAAAGTCCCTGAGATGGCAGACTGAACTCCCACATTTCTTCCTGCCTTGCTATTTGGGAAAGCCTCCCGGACTTCTCCAACCCACTGATGCTCTTCCCCTTCTTTGTAGGCCTCAGTCCTTAGTGTATATGTCATATAATTAAGTGGTTAATATACACGGTATCAGGTTCACAAGCATGTATTTTACCTTATTAGCTAGACGGTAAGTTCTTTAAGCATAAAGACATTTTTCTTTACTTTGCATCTTACCCAAGACCTAACACTAGCTAGGTACACAATGAATGTTTAACAAATACTTGGTTACTCAATTAACTGATTAGATTCTAACTTCTAGTATGAATGGCAGCAATAGGCCATAGATTATCATCATTGTCAGAAATTTCACCTAAGAATGGGACTGTGTGCAGATCAAATCACTTGTTCTAACATGACCTAAACTGGCCTGTTGGGATAACAGATAACACTGAAGAAAAGCTGGTCCCTACAAGTTCTGTTTTTCTAGTTTGCTTTGTCAATGCATTCCATAAGAGGTGAACTCCTCATTCCTTCTGCTCAAAAACATATTTAGAAAATGGTCTTAAAGAGATCTGGCACCAGAAATGAAGTTGGCCAGGCCCCTATCTAGGAACTAACAGATAAAAATTGGTGACAGATAACAAGGTATCTTTTTATGCCAGAACTATTTGCAAAAAAAGACACATAATGCAAAACATAATTTCATACTACATGCTGAACCTCAGCTACCCTGGGTAGAATTCAGAAATTCAGAGGGCCATGAGTACAGCCCTCCAAATAAAGTGCTAGGCACAGTAAAAAGGAGGCAGAGTAAGTAGCTGCCCAAACAATGTGATTTCCCCAGCAATAGGAAACAACCTTCCAATCTCTGCTTCTAGATCCTCCCTATATAAGGCCTAAAACACCACCATTAGAGTTTTACTGCTTTATTTCAAAATGTATGTATCTGTAATATACAAATACCCCATGGAAGATAACACTGGGGGCATTTACATGTTTTGCAAGTTTGGCCTATAAGCAAAGAAGAAAACTGAGCAGCACTGAACACCTGTGCCTCAACAATCTGGTCCCAAGCCTGACCTGGTATCAGACAGTCACATAGTGAAACCAAGGGGCCAGGGTTTCCACAGAATTATGGGATAGCAGAACCCTTTTTTCACCCAACAACTGTTAGCAGATTAGGATGGCTGGGCAGCGGGGGAAGGGTGGGGGCATACTCCTTTCCTATAATTCCCTTCTCTGAACCTCATGGAATTTAGTAGTAACCACAGACCAGGTAGAGTGCTGGCCAGGGCAGGAAGTTCTATGTCAACAGTACTGGCAAAGCCCTATTTCTCAGGTGTTTCTACTTGTAATGAGCAAGGCTTGGAGACCCCTGTACTCTCTCTCCAGGCAACTCTGTTCAAGATACTTTGGGAAATTGGGACAATAAAGAGTTATCTACTATAACCACTCTTTAGAAAAGCATCTCTGACTTCTCAAAGACTCAGATGTTCTTTTGCTTGTCAGAAAATGTGGCTTAAGCCAACATCTGGAATGGAGAAAAATACAGGAACCACAAAAAAAGGTAATTAAATTAATAAAGAATGCTTTTCAGACATAACATCTCATAGGCCAAAAATATGTTTTCAGAACTATCCAGAACACAGTTACAGAAGTTACTTAAATGCTAAATTTTAGTAGATTAATTCCTGGAGGGTGCCATTTAAGAGCAAACCACTGTGACTTTTTGGGCCATGCCAAGAATGGCATCCCAACTTCTTTTCTTTGAGAGATCGAAGGACCCATAAACAAAAATGTACAAATATTGTCACAGGATTAGAGGCAGGTTGATCATTTCATTCACTGAACATTCAGAATCCACAGCTGAGTTGTTCACCTATTCTGAAATAAGGCATGCCAAACAGATACCTTGATGATATCCAGTCCAACCTCAGGTGCGCTGCAGATATATGCTCAACATGTGATCAGTTTTCCTTGAAAACTTAACACTTTTGCTGATGGGCAAACTCAGTATTATGGAAATATGTTCTTTTCCTTGATAGAGAATACTAATTTTCACAAAATTCTTCTTTAAATTAAAAGCTGAAATCTATCTTCCATTTTCCCATTGGGAGCAAAAAAGAGAAATTATGCGCCTTCTACCATATGGCAGTCTCTCAAGTATATAAAGACCATTATCATGTTGCCACTAAGTCTTCTCCAGTCTAACTGTTTCCAGATGTTTGGTTTCCTCCTCATCTTGGTCACCTCCCCTCGACAGATACTAGTTCTTCAGTGACCTTCCTAAAATGGGGAGCCCAGAACAGAATAATAAGGAGAATAATGTGGGTTTAGGCTAACCAACAGAGTTCAGGGGGACTACAGCCTCCACTATCTGGAAGCAGCAACAGTGTCATGCTGCTTTCTCATGGTTCACCAGGATATCTCATTCACCAAGATATTTTTTCCCCCACAAAAACTGCTATGAAGCCAGATAGCCCTCATTTTGTATGTATATAATTTTGACTTTTCTTTAAAAAATCAGAATGATATATATCTCTATTAAATGTTATCTTGATAGTCTCATCCCATCAATCCAGTCTTTCAAGGCTTTTTTGGGGGACAGGGTCTCGCTCTGTCACCTAGGCTGCAGTGCAGTGGCCCAATCACAGCTCACTTGAGCTGCCTTGACCTCCTGGGCTCAAGCAATCCTCCCACCGCAGCCTCCCAAGTAGCTGGGACTACAGGCGCAAATCACCAAGTCTGGCTAATTTTTAAAATTTTTTGTAGAGACAGGTTCTCCTTATGTTGCCCAGGCTGGTCCAGGCTATTTCGAATCTTACTTTTAAATGATGAACTGCATCAGACATACAAAATGATGACAACAACGAAAAGAATCTAGAGAATAGGATGACATTCAAGCATTTGCCCAATGCCCAATTTAAGAACACATCACAAATAAAATTGTAGCTTCTAGTACATGGCTCCTCAATTTCACCCCTTTCCTCCCCATTCAGAGGTAATGGTCTTATGCCTGAATTTGTGTTTGTCAGTCCTATGCTTGAAGGTTATTTTGAATCTTAATTTGCTCACAAATTTGATAAGCATGCAATCTAGCTTGCCTTCATTTTTTTTATGGCTACTTTTAGCCATTAACAGCATAATCATAAAGCATCATGCTATAAAGTTGCAAGAGATTCTTTCCCTATCTCCTCAAAAGAATTTTCACTTGGACTTTCCAGCATTTGAAGCTATGTCACCAGCATCAGTCTTTTGACTTCATATACCTACCAAATAAGTAGCTTTACTTTCTTTCTTTCTTTTTTTTTTTTTTTGAGACGGAGTCTTGCTCTGTCACTCAGGCTGGAGTGCAGTGGCACAATCTCTGCTCACTGCAAGCTCTGCCTCCTGGGTTCACACCATTCTCCTGCCTTAGCCTCTCGAGTAGCTGGGACTACAGGCGCCTGCCACTATGCCCGGCTAATTTTTTGTATTTTTGGTAGAGACGAGGTTTCACCGTGTTAGCCAGGATGGTCTCGATCTCCTGACTTGGTGATCCGCCCGCCTCGGCCTCTGAGACCTGATTCGTCTAAGCTCTCCTGGGCCTTTGTTCAGGATTCTATGGTCCTAGGTTTGAGGCATATGTGGTTACCTAGAGCTCTTTGACTGGAACTTGAAACTTGCTTGTGAAAGGGAACTCAGAGATGTATGCCCAGGGACTTTTTGGCCTCTGAAAAGACTTTCTAGTCTCTAGAAAGCCCAGAGAAGCAGGCCCTGGTGAGCTGCATTCAGAGAGCCAGTCAAGGTTCTTTTTAAAGCATGAATTATTCTGCTTTGTGGTACCTGAACTGAAGAATGAATTAATGGTCTTAAATTGAAAGCATCACATTCACATGGTAAAGGGCTTTGTATCTGGATGCAGCACAACATCAGAACATAAAATACACTGGATTTTTTAAAAGTTGTATACAAGATGTTGGGATTGACATTATAAGTTCTGTCCCAAGAGGATGCAACAATCATAATGGCATATATGTTTAGGTATACTCTTAAACATGGGATAAAGGAGTAAAACTACATATAATACTTATAAATACCTTACAGAGAGGAAGGAAATAGCAGGTAAGTACACATAAATCAAAGGGAAACAAAAAGCTCTTGTTGGCGCTTTTAATCTTCTTCTCATTGTGCAATTCACTTTTAGCAGTCAGAGCAACCTTTGCACTACTCCCACAAACTGAAATTTTTTTCTTTGGCCAAACTCATAGTATCCATGAGCCTGATGAAAACCCTTCCAAGTACATAAATTACCCTTAACAACGGTACAAAAATAAAACACTGCTGACCCACTGTGCATACACCCATCCATCTTTTTAGCTATTACCCCAAGTCAAAACAGCCCACTCTTTACCACAATCAGAACCACAAGCACTGCCTGGAATGACAGGTTTTATGATCAGCCTTCCACTTTCTTCATGAATAATATTCTCAGAGGTCATCTAAATCAAATGCATACAGTTTTATCACATTCACTGCTTTTTAAAAATCTGTTTATAGTTCACCTCGCCAGTGAACATTTTGGGGTAGCATGGGTTTTCCCTGTGGTAGGCTGATGAAACCCCAAACTAACTAAATCTAGGGCCTTCCACTTTACCACAGAAGGTGGCCAAGAAAGAAGAGCCAGGCTTCTACTGTATCTGGCCACAAACCAGTCCTATAACCCCAGGCGATTGTCACCATGTGCCACACATGGTTAACCAATCCAATCAGTCACTTTTCCTACAGGAAAAGCAAAATAAGGAACAGATCCCACCATTGGTAGAGACATTACGTCTATATCCAGAAGACAGCCTGTACTCAGATACAGCAGCTGTGGATATAGGCTCCTCATCTCTCTCAGTTGCATACATTTCAGACCCTATAGGTCCATTCCGTGTAGCTAAGTTACTGGCTACTCAAAAGGCAACCAAAAAACAAGGTTATTTTGGTATAACAGAAAGAGTACATCTAACACCCTTGACAAGCCCTGCACTCTTGGGTTCAAATTCTAGCTCTGTAACTGCCTTGCTCTCTGAACCTCAATTTCCTCAACGGGCAAATGAGGGTGATAACACCTCTTCTCAGAGTCACTGTAAGTAAAATGACCAGTTCAATACTTGGCAGAAAGACGGGGCTCAACAAAGGTTGGTCTACTTCCTACTGACTTCTCTGCTCAGAACACTTTCTTTCTTGTTTTCTGCATTCCTGGGTCAAAATCTACTTCTTAATAAATTCCTTAAACTGCCTAACCAATTTTAATAAGCTACTACTGTCTAGCTTGTTAAAATTGTATGTGTGTGTGTGTGTGTGTGTGTGTGTGTGTGTGTGTGTGTGATGGTATTAAATTTAATATCCCAAGTTTAATTTTGCTACTCAAAATGTGATCTACAGACCAGCAGCAGTGGCATTATCTGGAAGACCATTTGGAAGTCGGACTCTCAGGCCTCACCTCAGATTTACTGAAATCAGAATTTATATGATAGCCAAGTGATATGTTTACATCTTAAAGTTTTAGAAACACTGTTCTATAACACACATGGACAGTCAATAAGTCAGAGCCTAGGCTCTGTACTTAAGGAATCAAGGGTGGTGCTTCTGCTTACAGGACATTTTGCTTACAGTGACTCTCAGAAGATGTGTTATCACCCTCATTTGCAAGTTGAGGAAATTGAGGTTCAGAGAGCAAGCAAGGCAGTTACAGAGCTACAATTTGAACCCAAGAGTGCAGGGCTTGTCAAGAGTGATAGATGTGCTCTTTCTGTTACACCAAAATAACCTTGTATTTTGGTTGGTGGCACTTCTGCTGTTGGTGATGTTCTATGAATCTACTTCATAAAGCACCTTACTTACTGGAAGAAAGCAACTACAACCGCAGCATTTTCTTTCACTGGAAGAACAGACTGATTGCAAACTTCTTACTTTGTATTTTTAGAGGTTAACAAATGATGCCCTAAGTACACTGGCTTCAAAGCAATATTTAAATTTTCTATATTAATGCAATCTTTGTTTTATATAATGGATACTTTGAATATAATGAGTAGTATCAGCATTCTGATTATATGTAAACTAAGCAACATTTTGGAAAGGTACTTTCAGGTACCACTGAAAGGTACTTTCAATGTAGTAATTTATTATTTCTAGGATGCAATGAACAACAGACTGAGTAGTAAAAAGCTTCCACAAATTCAATGTTCTTAAGACAGAGCACAGGTTCTAAAGCAAATCTCTGTTTCTAATGTAAACTGCAATTCTGTGCACATGCCTTTCCTCCTTGCATCAACTTTCTGAAAACATTTCTTAGTTCTTTCCACTTATTCATGAAAGAACAATTTTTAAGGCCCCTGAAAGTAAAATTTACCACCCAAATTCCTAAAATGAATCACCAAATGCCAGATGAAGGAGACTGGTAACTTTGTATATCAGGAAACAAAAACCAGTCTGCCTGAGTCATCTCTGTGATCAAAGATAACACAGCCACAGCCAAGGCTTGGCGCAAACAAATAGCTCTGCAAGCGCATGCCAGAACCTCATGTTTAATGGTTTTCTCACATTAAAATGCATAAGTCAGCTCTGTGAAACAAGGAAGTGAAACCTAGGACACTACATACATAAGAAATACTCTCTTGAGTTTGGTTTCTTACCCTTCTGCTCCAAATCCACTTCAATTTTTGGTAGAAACACAAAAATGAAGGTACTGTTTTGTCAAGAGCTAAGCAGAAAGGTAATAGCTAACTAATATGATAGGCTTCTGAAAGGTTTCATGAGAAAATTTTAATACTTCTTGGAGGCCTACATATTTAGGCCTTTGATCCAAAATGAACAAAGTAATCAGAAGACGGCAAATGCCTGAAAAGATGTAACACAAGAAGTGGTAATAGGCTCTAAAAGAAGAGAACCCTGTTATATTATTTCATGAATACTCTATATTCATGGCTTTTTTCAGGTACTACAAACGTAAAAGAGAAGACGAGTGGGAATTCATGCCACATGGCATTACCATTTACATGCCACCCATTGCACCGGCTCGCAGACTCTTCCAGAGTGAAGAGGCAGATGTCCTGACATCCTCTCGAACCCGTGGACAGAAGATACATACCAGAACCAAGCCTGCTCCGTGCTAGCCAGGCTCAACACAGGAATAACGCAAACATGGGGCTATGTCTTTCAAAAGGAGTATCTCCTATCAACACCATCCACCTGCCTTGGAGCAGACAGGGCTCAAAGAAAACATTACTTACACAGGTTCTAATGAGATCCTGTACCCACAATATAAGCACCTTACTCTGAAACACTGGGGGCAATGGCAGGAAAACCCAGGCCTCTGCTTTCACAAGACCCCTCCCAAAGTTTGTGTGTGTGTGTGTGTGTGTGTGTGTGTGTGTATACAAGTTATATATATATACACGCACACACACAATAGTTATATACAAAAGTTTTACATATAATATATATAATAGTTATATATATAATAGTTTTTAATATATACAATAGGTTTACATATATAAAAAAATATATAATATGGCCGGGCGCGGTGGCTCATGCCTGTAATCCCAGCACTTTGGGAGAATGAGGTGGGCGGATCACAAGGTCAGGAGATCGAGACCATTCTGGCTAACACAGTGAAACCCCATCTCTACTAAAAATACAAAAAATTATCCAGGCGTGGTGGCGGGTGCCTGTAGCCCCAGCTACTCCGGAGGCTGAGGCAGAAGAATGGCGTGAACCTGGGAGGGGGAGCTTGCAGTGAGCCGAGATCGCGCCACTGCACTCCAACCCAGGCGACAGAGCGAGACTCCGTCTCAAAAAACAAACAAACAAACAAATAATATATATATATAAAATATATATGATATATATAAAATAGTTTCTGAAATAAGAAGAAGATAAAATATTCCCGTAAAACTCCCACGCCAACCTAGACAATTTCTACACAGCATGACACTACCTCATAATGAAGGGAACAAAAGGTCCCATGCTGAGAGCAGAAGAAGTACCATCCATCGGGGAAGCGTAGAGTCTCTCCAACACCAAAAGTAAGAGAAACATGCTTGGATGACGATTTGGTTCTCCCATATCACTGAAACAACAATTATTACACATGAAAGATTTCACATTTAGGTAGTGAAGCACTCCTCCTTCAAACATTTTTCTCATGAAATAATTATGTATATGGCCGGGTGCGGTGACTAATGCCTGTAATCCCAGCACTTTGGGAGGCCGAGGCGGATGGATCACGTGAGGTCAGGAGTTCAAGACCAGCCTGGCCAATACAGTAAAACCTCATCTCTACTAATACAAAAAACTAGCCGATGTGGTGGCGCATGCCTGTAATTCCAGCTACTCGGGAGGCTGAGGTGGGAGAATCACTTGAACCTAGGAGGCGGAGGTTGCAGTGAGCCAAGATCACGCCACTGCACTCCAGCCTGGGTGACACAGTGAGACTCCATTTCAAAAACAAAATTATGTATATGAAGTGAGACTCCACAATCAAGGGGATAGTTTTCCTTTTTTCTTTTTTTTTTCTACGTTCACTTCTTATCTCCCAAATGTGCATCATAAGAAAAAACTACTAGCAAAACAGGGAAATGGGCTTTCGTACAGGATCCTCTTCTCAAAGCTTATCATTTACATAATTAGAGTACGCTATTTTGATTAGAACTGTTCCTACAGTAGAGACGTGCCTGTTCCACAGTATGAAATGTGAAACTTTCAACATCCAAATGTATTTAAGAAAGCATGAATAGTCACTAAAGGCCAGAAAAGCACATTAGCATAAACTACTAATGTGAGCAAATGCATCATAACCAGAAGTAAAATTCATTACTTTTATTTTCTAATTATAAACAATTAGTGTACATTCATACCAAGTGCAAAATTATAGGAAAAATACAAAAGACATGCTTTATGATGTCCATACTAAAAATTCCACTACCAGCTTCAGAATGTGTGTGTGTTTTTTTTTTCTTTTTTTGAGACGGAGTATTTTTCTGTCACCCAAGCTGGAGTGCAGTGGCAAGATCTCAGCTCACTGCAACCTCTGCCTCCTGGGTTCAAGTGATTCTCCTACCTCAGCCTCCCAAGTAGCTGGGATCACAGGTGCGCACCACCAGCCTGGCTAATATTTGTATTTTTAATAGAGACAGGGTTTCGCCATGCTGGCCAAGCTGGTCTTGAACTCCTGACCTCAGGTGATCCACCTGCCTTGGCCTCCCAAAGTGCTGGGATTACAGGTGTGAGCCACCACACCAGCCAGAATGTGATTTTTAAGACAATGGTGAACTATAAGACTGGAAAGCCCTCGTAATGGCTTTGCTCTGTGTTTCCAAGAACACTGGCCATTTCTGCTCAGGTAGACAAGAACCATTTCTGAACACAAGTGATCATATTAGTCAGCTAATCGCTATAGTTTCACAATGGTAAGTTGCAACAAGCCAGTAATAAAAAATGACAGGTATGCATAAAGCAAACTCAATATGTAAACACAGATTTTTTTAAAAATAGGAAGAAAATAATTCATAACAGAAGAAATCACCATGTGATTCCTAGTTTCTGTACCACCGAAAATGGAATTAAGTTTGATAAAATTTAACATAAAATAGCATTTTTAAAATATAAAGACAGGATTTTACATAACTTTTCAGGTACAAATTTACTACAGAGAACCAAGCAATATGATATAATTACAAAAAAGCACTTTAATAAAAAAGCCAATTTTATGCAAGGAAGCAGTCTGACCGTGCACAGTGGCTCAAGCCTGTAATCCCCACACTTTGGGAGGCCCAGGTGGGCAGATTGCTTGAGCTCAGGAGTTTGAGACCAGCCTGGGAAACATGACGAAACCCCATCTCTACAAAAAATACAAAAATGGGCAAGGAGTGGTGGCCACCACTGTACTCCAGCTTGGGTGACAGGGAAAGACCCTGTCTCAAGGAAAAAATTTAAACAAATTTAAAAAAGGGAAGAATTTTATTAAAAACAGCTGCCTAGAGGGAAAATCTCAATTACTAAGGTAATTCACATCCTTGAGGTCATTTTGCCCCACCCAATTCTCTTCTTACCTGTCTACTGTATTGGCTACAGTTTCCAACTGTTTGAGAAGAAAAGGATAGAGTTCTGGGAAACGAGAGAAAAACTCTCTCCCTGTCATTCTGTGAAAGAAGGAGGAAAAAATTTATTATCATTTATTCCCTTTGATCTGACAATAAAGCCTTTTTTTTAAAAAAAGGAAGATAAGTACGGTTGTTTGGATATTTAATTAAATACAGTTAAAAACAGAATCTACAGCATCTTAAGAATTTAACAATCAACACAAATGGTAATTCTGATTTCTGAAGTGCTCTCAATCCATGAACTTTTATCTCAAAATTTAAGATTATGTATGTTTACAAATATTTGATATTAAATTTTATCAGGGAAGAAATATGTAATCTGTGCCAATGCCAAGTTTCCACAACTGATTTGGACTATAAGTAGAGTCAACACCAGATTGACTGAGACTGACTCAGCTTCAGTGATAAGGACAGGTCTAGAACAAGCGTTCCCAACCCTGGCACCAATGACAGTTTGGACCAAATAACTCTTTGTTTCAGGGGACTGTCCTACACATTGTGGGATGTTTAGCAGCCTCCGTGGCTTCTACCCACTAGATGCCAGCAGCACAACACCCCTCCCCAACAATCATGACAATGAAAATGTCTTTAGACATTGCCAAATATACCTTGTGGGACAAAATGGCCCCTGATTGAGAACCACTGGTTTGGAGTATGGTTATGAGAAGTACAGTCTTGGCATGTGAAGTTCTGGAAATCTAATCCTTGCTGAACTTGTAAGAATTATCTTTTTCAACTTTATAAAAACTTCTCTTGAACTACGAAAGTAGAATAGTTCCTCAGGCTGCACCACTGACCAAAAAGCTCAAGCTAAATATGGCATTTAGGAACAAACTGTCTCCATAACTATTAAAGAATTACTCCGAAGGGGTGACATAAATATTCCCTAACCTACCCATTTTTATCAGCTCTACATGTTATGTTCCTATTAATTGAAATCCAGAATATCACATTTTAAAAAAACTGAAACGTTTTTACACACAGCAAAATGCTGTGATCAAGTGTACCATTCAACCCACACATACATACACTCGTAATCCACACCCCTATCAAGACTCAGAAAATTTCCATCATCCCATAAAGATCCCCCATGCCCCTTCCCAGCAAACTCCCGCCCCACAAAGGAACCTCTGATTTGATTTCTATCATTACAGTTTGGTTTTGTCTATTCTAGAATTTCATATAAATGTAATAATACATTTTTGTTTGTTTGTTTTTTTGAGACGGAGTCTCACTCTGTTGCCCAGGCTGGAGTGCAGTGGTGCGATCTCGGCTCACTGCAACCTCCATCTCCTGGGTTCACGCCATTCTCCTGCCTCAGCCTCCCAAGTAGCTGGGACTACAGGCGCCCGCCACCACGCCCGGATAATTTTTTGTACTTTTTTTTTTTTTTTTTTTTTTTTTTTTTTTTTTTTTTTTGAGACGGAGTCTCGCTCTGTCGCCCAGGCTGGAATGCAGTGGCGGGATCTCGGCTCACTGCAAGCTCCGCCTCGCGGGTTCACGCCATTCTCCTGCCTCAGCCTCCCAAGTAGCTGGGACTACAGGCGCCCGCCACCACGCCCGGATAATTTTTTGTACTTTTTTTTTTTTTTTTTTTTTTTTTTTTTTTTTGAGACGGAGTCTCGCTCTGTCGCCCAGGCTGGAATGCAGTGGCGGGATCTCGGCTCACTGCAAGCTCCGCCTCGCGGGTTCACGCCATTCTCCTGCCTCAGCCTCCCAAGTAGCTGGGACTACAGGCGCCCGCCACTACGCCCGGCTAATTTTTTGTATTTTTAGTAGAGACGGGGTTTCACCGTTTTAGCCGGGATGGTCTCGATCTCCTGACCTCGTGATCCGCCCGCCTCGGCCTCCCAAAGTGCTGGGATTACAGGCGTGAGCCACCGCGCCCGGCCAATTTTTTGTACTTTTATTGGAGACGGGGTTTCACCGTGTTAGCCAGGATGGTCTCGATCTCCTGACCTTGTGATCCGCCCACCTCAGCCTCCCAAAGTTCTGGGATTACAGGCGTGAGCCACTGTGCCCAGCAATAATACGTTTTTTTGGCTTGCTTTTTTCACTCAGCACAGAGTTTATGAAATTTATCCATGTTATTCAATATATCAATAGTCTGGTTCTTTTTCTGTTGAGTAGTATTCCATTATATGAATCTGTAAGTTTGTTTATTAATTCTCCTCTTGACAGGCATGGGTTCTTTACCTTTTTTTTTTTTTTACTATTATGAATAAAGCTGCTATAAAATTCTAATATAAGACTTTTTAAGGACACGTTTTCATTTCTCCTGGATTAATATCCGAGAATAAAACTGTAACATGTCTAACCATTTAGGAAACTGACAGTTTCCTGAAATAATTATACCATTTTACACTCCCAACAGTAAGGTAGATTTCTGATGGAGATTTCTACAGTCCTTTGAACATTTGCTGTTGTTTTGTTTTTCCTTCCTTTGTAGCCATCCTTGTGGGTATGCAACAGTGTATCTCCCATGATTTTGATTTGCATTTCCTTGACGACTAATGACGTTGAGCACTTTTCATGTGCTTTGGTCATTATTATGACCCTTTGTGAAGGATCTCTTCAAGATTTTTGCTCATTTTTAATAGGTTGCTTTTCCTTGGTCATATATATGCATGGCATATACCTTCTTCTAGTCTGTGGCTTGCCAACTTATTTAATAATGTCTTTTGATGAGGAGAATTTTAAAATTTTTGACAAAGTTCACTATTTAATCAATTTTTTTCTTTATGATTCATGCTTTCTATGCCTAAGAAATCTCTACCTACCTAAGAAAGATATCGTATATCTTCCTCTAGAAGCTTTATGGTTTTAGCTTTTACATTGAGGTCTATGATCCATTTAAAATTAATTTTTGTGTATAGTGTGAGATAGAGGTCAAGGTTCTTTTTTTCCACATTGGTATTTCATATTTTTAATCGGGAGATTTTTTTTGGAAAAAAAAAATGATATGCCTTAAAAAGGAGATGTGCTGCTGGGTGTGGTGGCTCACACCTGTAATCCCAACATTTTGGGAGGCCGAGCCGGGTGGATCACCTGAGGTCAGGAGTTCAAGACCAACTTGACCAACACGGAGAAACTGTCTCTACTAAAAATATATAAAATTAGCCGGGTGTGGCGGTGCATGCCTGTAATCCCAGCTACTCTGGAGGCTGAGGCAGGAGAATCACTTGAACCTGGGAGGCAGAGGTTGCAGCGAGCCAAGATCACGTCACTGCACTCCAGCCTGGGCGACAGAGTGAGACTCCATCTCAGAAAACAAACAAACAAACAAAAAAAGGAGATGTGCTGTGCTCATAGATGAGAGGATTCCATATTATAAAGATGACATTCTCCCCAAATTGATTATAAATGCAACGCAATTCCAATAAAAACAGTAATTGTGTGTGTGTGTGTGTCTGCAAGACTTCATTTTATTTATTTATTTTTTGAGACAGAGCCTTGCTCTGTTGCCCAGGCTGGAGTGCAGTGGTGCAATTTCGGCTCACTGCAACCTCTGCCTCCTAGGTTCAAGCAATTCTCGTGCCTCAGCCTCCTGAGTAGCTGGCACTACAGGTGCGCACCACCACATCTGGCTAATTTTTCATATTTTTAGTAGAGATGAGGTTTCACTATGTTGGCCAGGCTGGTCTCGAACTCCTGACCTCAGGTGATTGGCCTGCCTCTGCCTCCCACAGTGCTGGGATTACAGGCATGAGCCACTGCGCTCAGCCCTGAGAAGTAGATTTTAAATTGTATATAGACACATCAAGGGCCAAGAGTAAGAGTAGCAAAGATAATCTTAAAGAAGAACAAGGTTGGAGGACTCACCCAGATAGCTAAAAAAAACCATAACACTCATGTAATTAGGACTATGAGTACAAGTAAGCCAATAAAATAGCATAGAAAGCACAGGAGCAGACATATATTAATACACGTATAAAACTTGATTTGTGTAAGAGCTAATACTGCAGATCACAGAGAAACGTAGTGTGGTAACTGATTATCCACACAGACAAAATTACAATTGGATCCCAAGCTCCCACTGATATGAGAAGAGGGCAGGGAAGTGCTGGGAGGAGAAGGGCTGGTTCCTGGCGAAGGAGGCTCTGTCTCCGGCCTGTGCCCACGGACCTAGGTGAAGACAGGCACTCCTGCCTTCGTGCCCAAATGCTGCATTTCCCAAGACCACCCTGGCCCGCCATGCCCCCAACCTGTACCTATAAAATCCCCCAAGACCCTAGCACGCAGGCACACAAGCGGCTGGATGACAAGAGGGGCACATGGGCGGAGGAACACACAAGCGGCTGGATGGCAGGAATACACCAACAGGCACCAGCAGGCCATCGACTGGCGAAACAATGAGGAGTTTGGCCAGGGCAGTCAGAAAAGAGACAGGCCGCCGAGTGGCCCAAATCCAGCGGAAAACCATCTCCCTTCTGGTTCCCCCATCTGCTGAGAGCTACTTCCAATCAATAAAACCCTGGACTAATTCTCCAAGCCTACGTGTGATCAAATTCTTCCGGTATATCAAGGCAAGAACCCTGGGATACAGAAAGCCCTCTGTCCTTGCAACAAGGCAAGGGGGTCTAATTGAGCTGACTAACACAAGCTGCCTATGGACAGCTAAACTGAAAGAGCACTCTGTAACACACACCCACTGGGGCTTCAGCCGTAAACATTCACCCCTCGACACTGCTGTGGAGTGGGAGCCCCACAGCCTGCCTGTCTGTATGTTCCCCTACAGGTTTGAGCAGCTGGGCGCTAAGAAGCGAGCTACAATCCCATCACACACCTTGTGAGGGGGACTCACACACCCTGCAAGGGGGACAAGGGAACTTTTCCTGTTTCACTACTACGTATACAAATTAAATTCCATTGACTTCAAGGCTTTAAAACAGCATAAACAAATAGCCAGGGCCAGGCGCAGCGGCTCACGACTGTAATCCGAGCACTTTGGGAGGCCCAGGTGAGAGGATCACCTGAGGTCGGGAGTTCAAGACCAGCCTGACCAACATGGAGAAATCCCATCTCTACTAAAAGAAGAATACAAAATTAGCCAGGCATGGTGGTGCACGCCTGTAATCCCAGCTACTCAGGAGGCTGAGGCAGGAGAATCACTTGAATCTGGGAGGTGGAGGTTGAAGTGAGCCAAGACTGCACCATTGCATTCCAACCTGGGCAACAAGAGACTCCTGGAAGGAAGGGAGGAAGGAAGGGAGGGAGGGAAGGAGGGAGGGAGGGAGGGCTGAGCAAGGTGGCTCATGCCTGCAATTCCAGCACTTTGGGAGGCTGAGGCCAGCAAATTACTTGAGTTCAAGAGTTCGAGACCAACCTGGCCAACATGGTGAAATCCTGTCTGTACTAAAAATACAAAAATTAGCCAGTTGAGGTAGCATCTGCCTGTAATCCCAGCTACTTAGGAGGCTGATGCGACAGAATCGCTTGAACCTGGGAGGCAGAGGTTACAGTGAGCTGAGATCGTGTAACTGTACTCCAGCCTGGGCAAGAGTGAGAACTTGCCACCAAAAAAAAAAAAAAAAAAAGAAAGAAAAGAAAAAAGAAATGCATGAGGGTTTTTTTTTTAACCTATTTTGAAAATTTGGGATTCTGCCCTGAGCATTCCTGGCATAATGCTTCTTTCTTTCTTTCCCCTAATGACAAATCCAGGCAGCCTAGTTAGTACACCTTCCATGTGGCAGCCTGGCCAAAAGAGCCCTAGGAAATTCTAACTTAATTCTATTTAGCCACCTGGATTCTCTTAAAAGGATTAACCTAGTTCTAAATCATAAGATAATGACTACTTGCTTGAGTACACAGCTTGTTGAGTCTTCCTAAAGTGGCCCATGAGTACATAAAGGGTCTCTGTAAAATTTATAAAAATGCCTTGTTTCTCTTGTACCTGACTATTCTAGACAAAACGTCTGGTTGCAAGTAGGGAGCAACTGGAAAAAAGACAAAGTTATAAATATTGAAATGGGAGAACTGATTTTGAGGAAGTAGAGAGAATAACCTTGACACCTGGGAAGAGACTATCTCAGACCCCGGGAGGTACAATGGGAGGAAGAACATAAATGGTGTCTGTTTTTTGAAATTGCCCCAAGAGCCTTCCTCACCAAGGAAAATGCTCTGCTCTTCCCCCAAACTGTCATGAGCACATTAAATTTAACCAACTGCTGGGTCTGTGAGCCTCCCTCAGATGACCTGAAGCACAATTTGATTGCTTTCCCCTTAACCTTACTGAGAAGCCTATCAGAAACTATATGTTATGGCCTTGGCTCCAAGCACCTGTCAATATCTCTGAATGTCCTTCCCTTTTCTGTAGCCATAGCTCAATCATTTCAAGGGACAGCTGAATGCCACTCAGCTGTTGGTGTGGGCAGAACTGGATAGGTTGGAATGACTGTACTTAAGCAATCCTTCCAAAACCAAGGACTAGAATACATTCTTTGGACTAAACTAGAAACTTTAAGATTTACCAGCTGATTGTTCAATGGAGGCACTATCAACATATGCTCCTCAACTGACGTAGGGATCTCCCCAAACTGTAAACAAATGCTTTCTTTACAGGAGTACTAAGTGTGTCCTTGGGACTCTATTTCTTTTGTGAAAGCAGGCATTAACTCTTCCCCCAACCAAACACGGTGATTTGCACCTTAGGGGTGGCTGTAAGCAAATTTCAAATGTTTAAGGAAATACCACCAGTAGGTCATATAGCTCTCAGATGTCTACGAAGATCTCTCCAAAATGGGGTTATGCTTGGTTATTCACAGAAGCTTCCCAGAGATATAAGCAACTCATTATTTTTGCACACCCTGTGGTTGGTTACTCCTGCTATAAGAGTCATTCAATTAAAAACATGGTACAAAATTTATCAGCTGATTTTAACTGAGGTAATCACTGATAGCACTTCAGCCCATAAAGCCACTCAGGTTTGCTTCAATTCACAGGGCAAGTCATAACAATATAAATGAAAAATTTTCTTAGACTTCCAATCTACAGGTTAAGATAAGATAAGATAAAGTCTGTATAATCACTAATACATTCTGCTGTACCTGGCTTAATGGCTTGGACTAAATGGAAAGGTCAATACAAAAACTTCAAAAGACAGCCTTTTGAGTTTCTACCATAGACCCTGTTGGTTTCTGGGATTTGTACAAGTGATTGGATCTGAGATGCTGGGTGGCATAGTTGATGTCAATACTGAAAGCTGAGCTCATCCTGCTGCTTGGTGTCCTACTGGTAGTAACCTTAATTAAATGTTGTATGAGACAAACTGAATGGATTTGGTGCCAACTCATCACTTAGATTAATCGAAGGAGCCAACAGTGTGATGTATTCATGGGAGAATTCACTAGAATTTTCACCAGAAATGGGAGACAGATGCTGTTGAGAGACAAGATGAGTTACTGCCACTGTGCCACTATTGCAAAGTGAAGCACTGACTGCCTTTTGTTCTGGACTTTCCGGACTCTATTCAAGGATGTTTATATAATGAACAGCATTGGAAGATATAGTGTCTCCCTCTGGATAATAAAGTTTTTAAATTAAAAATAAAAATACAGGCCACAAATGGGGAGAACATTTGTATATATATATCTAAGAATTACATAATCAGTATCCAGAATATACAAAGAACTCAAGTGATCACTGAATAAAGGACAAATAATATAAAAATGGACACACCTATCAAAATGAAATTCACAGAAAATAAACATAAGTGGTCAAGAAACAGTAGAAAGGATGCTCAACTATACCAAGGGATGGCCAGGCGCGGTGGCTCACGCCTGTAATCCCAGCACTTTGGGAGGCAGAGATGGGCAGATCACGAGGTCAGGAGATCGAGACCATGCTGGCTAACACAGTGAAACCCCGTCTCTACTAAAAATTAAAAAAAATTAGCCGGGCAAGGTGGCGGGCGCCTGTAGTCCCAGCTACTCGGGAGGCTGAGGCAGGAGAATGGCGTGAACCCAGGAGGCGGAGCTTGCAGTGAGCCGAGATCGTGCCACTGCATTCCAGCCTGGGAGACAGAGCGACTCCATCTCAAAAAAAAAAAAAAAAAAACCCAAACTATGCCAAGAGACTATTTTATACCCTCAAATTGGCAAAGACTAATAAGTCTGATAATACCACGTATTGAATCTTTCAGAATACTGTTCATGGAAATGAAAATTACTACAGTTCTGAAAAATAATTTAGGATTTTCTTGAAAGTCAGAGATGTGTTTACCTAGTGACTCAAGAATGCTACTCCAAGGTAAATGGCCTAGATAAACTCTTGAAAACGGGCATCAGAAGGCTTGTACAAGCATATGCACAGCAGCCACTTGTTCATCAACAAAACATGAGTAAACTGTAGTATAGTAGTCCCCGTATGTGAGCTTTAAAGAATAATACAATAAACACTTTGGATCTACCACCTAGCTAAAGAAGTGGAACATTACAGTAGTCCCCCCCTTATCTGAGGGGATACATTTCCATACCCCTAGTGGATGCCTGAAACTGGATAGCACTGAACTGTGTATATACTATGCTTTTTCCTGTACATACGTAGCTGTGATAAAGTTTAATTTATAAATTAGGCAAAGTAAGAGATTAACAACAATAATAATAAACTTGAACAATTATAACAATATATTGTAATAAAAGTTAAATGAATGTGGTCTCTCTCTATATATATACCTTATACTGTACTCATCCTACTTCTTGTGATGATGTGAGATTTTATCATGTGAGATAAATTGCCTATGTGATAAGATAAAGTGAAGTGAATGACGTAGCATTTAAAACTTATGAACTGTCTCTTTCTGGTTTTTCCACTTAATATTTTTGAACCACTGGTGACCAGTAACGAAATCACAGAAAGCGAAACCATAGATATCCTCATCCTTGGTTTCAGTTTCCCTTGGTCAAACATGGTTCGAAAATATTAAACGGAAAATTCCAGAACTAAACAATTCATAAGTTTTAAACTGAGTGCCATTAGATATTTAGATCTATAGAGAGATCTTGAGAGAGACGGAGAGAGAGAGAGAAAGATCACACTCGTTTAACTTTTATTATAGTATATTGTTATAATTGCTCTATTTCATTATTAGTTACTGTTGTTAATCTCTTACTGTGCCTAATTTATAAATTATGAGTAGGGTGATGAAATCTCATGCTGTCCCACTCCATTCTGCCCAGGATGTGAATCAGCTCTCTATCCAGCTATCCATGTTGTATATGCCACCAGCCATTAGTCATTTAGTAGCCAACTCTTATCAGATCAACTGTCCTGGTGTCACAGGGCTTGTGTTCAAGGAACTTTTATTTTACTTAATAATGGCCCCAAAGCACAAGAGTGTGATGCTGGCATATTGTTATAGTTGTTCTATTTTATTATTAGTTATTGTTGTTAATCTCTAATTGCACCTAATATCTAAACTTCATCACAGCTATGAGTGCATAGGAAAAAATATAGTGTATATACGGTTCAGCGTATCCATGGTTCGAGGCATCCACTGGGGGTCTTGAAAAGTATCCCCCACAGATAAGGGAAGACTACTGTAATGTTCTATTTCTTAAACTAGGTGTTAGATCCAAGGTGTTTATTGCATTGTTATTCTTTAAACCTTATACATACTTTATACATATTCTTTTACCTATTTCATAAAATCGAAAGTCTTTTAAAAAAAGAAATCCTTACTCCTTTCCAAATTACAGACCCATTAAATATTTATTGAACATTTTATCCAAAATATGTTCATTTCCTTTTTTATTTATTAGATATTTTAATGGAAAAAGTAAAAATGCAAATGTTAAAAAATACACACTAGACTCCCCACAGTGCCTTTCCTCATATAGAACTGTGTAATAGCATTTCAGCTTTCCTATTTTAAAAAATTCAGTGCATACAGGTATATACTTTTAGTTTGTAGTTTTTTTCCTTACAAATAATCACATTATATACACTTTTCTGCACCTTGAGTTTTTTTTCACCTAATCTGCAAAATTATTCCATGTCAGGCACACTGATCTATTTTCTTCCATTTAATGGCTACAGAGTAATCTATTGCATGATTGACTGTAATTTACTTAATCCCTAATGACAAGCCTTTTGGTTATTGCTAGTCTCTTGCAGCTACAAATGATTATATGTACATTTCCTTGTTAATAAATTACAAACTTGGGTTTTACAGGATCACTGTTTTACACAGGGAGAAAGCAAAATCATTCCACTACAGGCCATTGTTATATTCTTGACCACCTCAGAGCAAAACTGGTCAAGAACATCAATTTCCACTGTTAATGTCCTTTCCTTGGCTTTTGATTCTGTGAAGAGAAGTCACTTAAAGGTAAATCTTTGAGTTTAGTATTGGGATCCCTGAGTATATTTGCTCATTCAGAATCTCTCATTATACAAACAGAAAGGCAATGGATATGTCTTCTTGAGGAATCAGTTATTAATTTCCAGAGAAATAAGTGGTCTGCTATTTCTTGGTTGAGTAAGAAACACACGTAATCTCACTTATGCACACCGTATGATTCTATCACTATGATCTAGAAACTGCCTAATAGATAACTGGCTCTGCTGACCATAATACCACTCTGAGAAAAGGGCAGTGGAGCTACTATTCTAGGATTAAAGTCATTCTTTTAATTGAATTAAGCTAATTGTCCCAAACAGCAAGCTATGTCATGCAGTTACCTTAGCAAATATTTACCAACTAGTTTATCTTGGAAGCTATATAAAGAAGGTACTTACTGAAAATTAAACTTCAGTGAACGTTTTAAGTAATTGTTTTGTTTTTAAGAGCAAAGTAGGTTTTTGACTACATCTTTTCAAAAGTATACTGTTAAAATTATTGTGGCCATGCCTGATGGTGCGGACTTTGAAGTATCAACTATGCATTTGTCAGGGTTTAAAAATATCAAAATTATTTTCTACAGAAAATTTCAACCTTGTTCAAGCACTCTGAGCATACAGGAAGTGTCCTTCTAACATTCTTAGGTTCCTCAACACAGAAATGTCAACCCTATTTCTGGTTTAGTTCAGCTAAAAGGCCAGAGTTCTAATTTACTACAAACACAAAAGAGCTGAGCTCCATGTACTCGCCAGGGAGCATCATCTCAACTCTGCATTAGCCAAAAGCTAGTAAAGACTTGGTTAAATATTTACATAGTATGTCTGAAGGATATGCAACATTAACAATTCTTGTGTATTATAAAACAGACTCTCAATAGGTAGAGGGTAGGAGAACCAGAATTATTTAAGGGGCTTATCCAAACTTCACTCACTTCTGATTCTCAACTACACTAAAAGGTCTACTGTAGACTCTACAGCATCTTGAATCCAGAAATTAGGCTGATATCAACACCAGCCTTCAACTAACCATGACCATATTAGTTTTCATGGTTGTACTGAGAGAAGAATCACCATTTATAATAGTGTCTCCATATAAAAGAATTTCATAGGTTTTGGACTGCCCATGTAAGGTCTGTAATCTAGCCTTACTTTAAAAGGCCAAGATCATAGGACCATTTTAGGTCATATTTGAATCTCCCTGCTCTGAATCCTAGAATAGGTGAGTCTTCTCTCTCACTTGCTACTTAATCAAAACTGTAATGTGATCGTATTTTTTTCACAAAAGTAGCAAATATTTTTTTAAAGTACCTACATGCTTCATGTTGGGCGCAATCCTATGGGAGATACTAAGAGTAAAAGAGAGTCAGTGCTCTTGGAGCTTAAAACCTGGTTAAGAAGACAGGTATTCACATACAATATAACTAATAGCATAAGGCAAACCATTTTAATAGTCAAGTGAATGATATTTACAATAAGAGTTTGGAGTTGGAAAATATATCATTTGGGTCGGGGACATCATTATGGATAGTTTTGTGGGGAAATTGGAAACCAAGTCCGGCTGCAGTAGCTCAAACCTGTAATCCCAGCACTTTGGGAGGCCGAGGTGGGCGGATCCCTTGACGTCAGGAGTTTGAGACCACTCTGGCCAACATGGTGAAACCCTGTCTCTACTAAAAATATAAAATTTAGCTGGGCGTGGTGGTGCGTGCCTGTAATCCCAGCTACTCCAGAAGCTGAGGCAAGAGAATCGCTTGAACCCAGGAGGCGGAGGTTGCAGTGAGCCAAGATCACACCACTGCACTCCAGCCTGGGTGAGCGACAGAGGGAGACTCGGAGTTGCAAAGACAGAAAAAAGAAAATGGAAACCAAAATGAGCCTTGAAAAATTAGTAAGACTGGATTAAAAAGGAGAGAAGACAGCATGCAAGGGAAAAGTACTTAAGCTGACTGGATGACAAGAGGACTTCATGACGAAAGAAGGTACAAAAATTTTTTTTCTGGCATTAATTTTTTTTAGAAACTTGAATGCCAAGCTAAGCAGCTTTGCTGTCTTATGGGCTTTGACAGTTTCTGAACAGGAGAGATATGTTACAAGAGCAGATGGACTAGGCTAGAGAGTAGAAACATGGTGACCCCATGGACCTTCACTAAATGTGTCCCTTATCACCTCAACTAGAGCACAGATTTCTGTAGGTTAAGGACCATGTCTTCTAGTTCCATCAACATTCTATGCTCTCTCTACCCTCTAGATTGTGGCAAATATTGTACTTTCTGCCAGGAACACCTCCACTCTCCGCCTCTGCTGCCCACCGCACCCCTCCTGTCAGACTAACTCCAAATAATCTTTCAACTTTGGGCTTAGGCAGACTTCTTCCAGGACACATTCCCTGATATCTCAAGTCTAGCTTAGGTACCTGTCCTCGGTTGTACACTACACCCTTTGCTTTCCCTAACACAGGCAGCATGTCATACATGAAACTTCCTGTTTTCTTGCTTATTTTGCCCACTAGATTATACACTCTGCACAAGAAGAAACCATAGCTGACTTCATTTTCTCCACAATATTTAAGATACTGAGTATAATGCCCAGTTTACAGCTGGTGCCTACTAAACAGTTGCCGAGTGAGTGAAGCGAAACACAAGGACAGAGTCCTTAAGACAGGCAAGGAGAAAAGGAATTATGACCAAGATAGTAACACATTAATAATTACACAAAATGCATCATCAGGTATAAATGTAGTGGCATTCAGAATCATCATTTGAGTTAATAAAATGAGTACCCTGCCAGAGCTTGAAATGTTCTTAAACACAAATAAATAACGCTTGTCTCACTGGTTTACAAACAGTTCAATTCTAGTTCACCGAAACAAGCAAACAGGCTAATAAGTTACCACTGCAGATATAGCGAGCCCTGGGGGTAAATTCTCCAGTGACAGGCATTTCAAACGTTTATCTATGTGATCAAAAACCAGCCTGGAAAACAATAAAAGTGATAGCCAAAAAGGAAAAACTGAAGCTCTGTAAGTTCAAGCTCCTAGGAAGAAAAAAGGAGACCACTAAAAATTGTGAATGGGATAAAACAGACAGGTGAAAACAAACAAATCAGGATAAAGAGTGAGAATGAAGCAGCTTTAAATTCAGAACTGTCAGACTATGCAAAAGGTGAGTTATTCCCTCTCCCACCAGGTAAGGATATGCAGGCACAACTGATGAGAGGCCCTTGGGGAAACACAGAAGCTACTTGCAGATCTCTACTTGCCTAGCACAAAGCATAAGGTGCAGAGAGCAAGAGTGGCGGTAACCTCTACCAACAAGGCAACCCTTGGCATGATCCGTTCATTGCTAGACTCCACAGAGCCCACAGCCAGGGCCTGGACAAAACAGGTCAGCAACAGAGGTTTACTGAATCAAAGAAAACACCTGCCAGGCACCATTTCGTTTTATTTTAAAAGCTTTAGAAATATTATTCTAGCACTATATGGTTATTGAGGAAAAAATAAAGAATGCCACAAAGAGAAATCTAAAAATCACCACGAACTTACCAACTAAATTTAGCCACCAGTTTTATGTTTTGATGTAGGTCCATCTACACCTCCCTCCTCATATAGTGTCCTATAATCAGCTTACTGCACTTACTAGCATATCAAGAATGGTTCCATATCAATCTGAAGCCATTTTAACATAGTAGTCTCTGTGTTTTACACTCTCTGTGCCTCTCCTGTGTGTGAACATTTGTCTGGCCATACATTCCTCCGGAGCACTAACCTTGACACCAAGAACAACTTACTCCCATCTGGGTTAAGCCATAGGTGGAACGCTGCTACTCCAGCTATTTCAATTTGTCTGCATATTCCACATCTAATCTTGGTAATGCCAAGGGTCTAGTTCTTGAGTTTTTAGAGCATCTGAGCTTTGGCCATTTTGGTAGGCTTTTAATCCAATCTGCCATCTAACAGCCTAGAAAAAATTTAAACCAAGCTCCAATTTCTCATAGAAACCCTGTCTTCAAGATCTGCCACACATATGAAAAGTTGCAATGCCAGAAGCACATGCTTCTGAACAAAAAGTATACCAGTGAAAACTATTGTGCAGTGAAAAAGGCATCTGGTGAAACGTGTTGAAAAAAAGGTGGGGGGGGAGGTATCCACACACACCCATTTCTTATACACACATCCCATATCATTCTCGATCATCTCAGGAATAGGGATCAACAGAGTAATGTACAGAGGTATAAAAAGAAAAGCTAGCAAAGGCAAGCAAAGCCACCATGTAGGAGTAAGGAACTGCATAGGAAACAGTAGTAAAGGTGTGGGTTGTGTCCAGTTTTTAAAAACAGGACTTATTCACAGGCCATGGAGCAAACACCATAAATCTGGTCACTGGATGAAAACAAATGCTGAAGGCCAAAGCCTGGGGGTTTTCAGTTAGTATTTCAATCGGGAAGCCAATAAACTATTAAAACGGAGCTATTCCCTAGATTCTGGCCTATAAAACCACCCCACAAGAGAGAAATCATCTAACGGCCTGTGTCTCCTCACCACAGTGATTGCTGATAAAAACAGCAACCTCATCTTAAGAAAAATAATCCCCCCATCCCCCGCAAAGGAAACAAACGTACAAAGAAGACAAAGCATGCACATGCGTTTCAAAGGATATGATCAAATGCAAACTAATAAAATAGAAACAACTAATAAAAAGAAATCTCAGTTTGAAATCCCATCAGGAAGCCCATCTCTGATTCTGCTCTTGGAATCCTCTCAGATTCTGTTCTTGGAATCCAATCCCTACCTCAGACTGGGCTGACACTAGCTTTTCTCCCTAGAGTAGTTAACAAAACAATGAGTGATCAGAAAAGAGATGTCAGGAGTCCCGTGGTCAGAATCTCACACTCAGGAAGTCTGTGTATTCATAGCGATGGATCTACCAGGAAGCCCTTTCAGGCAGACCATGTTTGAAGGAAAGCATCCTCCTCGGGGCCTCTGTTTTGAGCACACTGACTGATCAGGGCTCCAACCAGTATCCTTGTTTCCCTGCCGATCCTCTGTAGGTAGCCATAGGATTTTTGGACTTTTTTTGTTTTTTGTTTTTTTGAGACAGAGTCTTGCTCTGTCACCCAGGCTAAGAGTGCGGTAGCACAGTCAGAGCTCACTGCAGCCTCAAACTCCTGGGTTCAAGTGATCCTCTTGCCTCAGCCTCCTAAGTAGCTGAGACTACAGGCACATGTTGTCATGCCTGTCTAATGACGTGTTGTTTTTCTAATCCTTCCCTTTCAGAAGTTGCTTTCAAGGTGGAGAATTCCCAAATCACTAAACTGCCTATTACAATACTATCCTGAGACAGGGAAGTGAAAGGTCTTGGTCCTGGAAGAGCCCTGCCACGCCCCCTGTGAAGTCACTGGCCCAAAGGTGGGCCAGGAAACACATTTCCACTCCTTTACACAGTGAGTTGGTGAGTAAATATCAATCTCTTGAATTCTTCATGTGTGCAAGGTCCCATTTGGGCAGCTTACATGGGTATTTTTTAACTAGGAATTCTTTTTTAGAAAATGTTCCTAAAAAATCATTTCTAAAATCTCACAATCAATTAACTGTTATAGTTTAATTCAATAATCATTTACTAAACAGTTTCTGATAGACTTTTTCCAAAGATGGTCAACAAACTTCTATCGTTCCTTATATGTAAGTGCCTCCTTCCTTCGAAGAAGTGGGTCTATTTCCCGTTTCCTTGACTCTAGGATGCCTCATGACTTGCTTTGATCAGGCAGCAGAAGTGACACTGTGCTAGTTCTGGCTTAAGCTTTACAAAGCATGGCAGCTTCTGGGTTCACCCTCTTGAAGTCCTGACTACCCTGCTAGAGAGAGGCCACTTTGGCCCCCAGTCATTTATGCTTCTACTTCCAGCCCCAGAAATGTGAGTGTGAAGCCATGTTGGTTCTATCAGCCCCAGCTGAGGTCTCAGATGAAAGCAGCCACCTGAGTGATCCCAGATGACAACACATGGCGAAGAAGGACTGCCCAGCTAAACCCGCCTGCCACACAGAATTGTGAGAAATGATAAATTGTTAAGTCATTAAATTTTGGGGTTGTTTGTCATGCAGCAATACGTAATTGAAACACAGTTATAATACTGAAGGCAATGAGTTAGACTCTGTGGAAAAGGTAATACTAAATAGAAGAGATGCTGATAACAAGGAGCACACGATTTACCTTTACTATATTGATTCTCTCATAGTTCTAGAAGTCAGAAGTCTGAAATCAGTATCAAGGGTATCAAAATCAAAGTGTCAGCAAGGTACCTCTAGAGACTCTACAGCAGAATCCCATCTTGATCTCTTCCACCTGCTGGTGGCTGTCAGTATTTCTTGGCTTATAGCTGCGTATTAGTCCGTTTTCATGCTGCTATGAAGAAATACCCGAGACTGAATAATTTGTAAAGAAAAGAGGTTTAATTGACTCACAGTTCTGCATGGCTGGGGAGGCCTCAGGAAATTTACAATCATGGTGGAAGACACCTCTTCACAGGGCAGCAGGAGAGAGAATAAGAGCCAAGCAAAGGGAGAAAAGCCCCTTATAAAACCATCACCCCCCATGATTCAATTACCTCCCACCAGTTCCGTCCTACGATGCATGGGGATTAAGGGAACTACAATTCAAGATGAGATTTGGATGGGGTCACAGCCAAATCATATCAAGCCAAACCATATCAAACCATATCTATATTACTCCAATCTCTGTCACTGTGGTCATACTCTTTTCTTCTGTCTCCCAAATCTCCCTCTGCCTCCTTTGTATAGGCAATTTCATTAGGGCCCACCCAGCTAAGCCAAGATAATCATCACCCCAACTCAAGATTCTTAATCACATCTACAAAGATCCCCTTTCCCTTACAAGATAGCATTTATAGATTCTGGGAATTAGGATCTGAGATCTTTGAAGGGCCATTAATCTGCCTGTCACAAATGCTAAAACACAAGAGTTAAGGCACTGCAAAAACTGATTATAGGAATTGGAGTTATTCCTGTCATATCCAAGCAAATCAGAGTCAAGGAACCCAGGGAAAAAGCACTCAGGACACAAAGTGCCAGCTCCAGGAACTGTCTCACAAGCCCAGCTGCTGAAATAACCTCCCATAGCCTTAAGACTAGTTTTACCTAGTAGCTGCTGAAACGACCTGTAATTTAATGAACTTTGTTTCAAAACATTTTATGTAATATTTCTCTTTCCCAGTAAAATCCCAACATTTCCTTTGTACTTTGGACATACCAAAAACCACTCTGGTCTTTGCATATATCCCAATTTACAATTCTGTTTTTATATATATATATTCCTAAATAAAACTTTCTGCTTAGAGATTTGTCTCTATGTTATCCGATTTTTGACAGCACTAAGGGGGAAAGAATAAACATAACTAGTTTTTCCAAGGCAATTGTTTTTCCAAATCTTTAAAGCAATGGATTACTTATTTCAAATATAATGCCAATTTTTATTAATAAAGCATCGAAACAAAACAAAACCAGTGAAAGAATTCTCGAAAGATGACTAAGTAGGAAGCACTAGGAACCTGTGTTCTCACGAAGGCAACAACTGCACTGGCAGAATGGGTCTAGTGTAACTATTTTGAAATTCTGTAGTCTATCTGAAGGATTGGACAGTAAATTGCAGTCAATTTTGGTCAGTTTCAGCTCCTAGAACTGTAGCAGCTAACCAATCCCTAGCCTCATGGCGGGCAACTATGCACATGCTCCAGGATCAGCTTACACAAAGCCTGTGGGATGAGGATCCCGTCCTCCAAAAATCTGGGGATCTGTGCTTTGATCAATGGTTGCTGTTCTGATCTTGGAGATACAAACACATAGGCAGGCAGCCATTGTTGCAACCCTCTTAGCACAGTTACAAACCCCTCCCCTCAGGCTGAAGCAACTTGCAAGGAATTTAAAGGGCAATTCACTTTTCTTCCTTTCTTTTTTTTTTTTTTTTTTTGCTTTTATTTTCTTCTTCATTTTTCTCTTTTCCCACTTTCAGAAGACAGATATTTAAAGTCTAGGACATTCAAAAGTAACCACATATCAGGGGAATGTAGAAGGTTACCACACACACCCAATGAAAGGTGCAGGCTCAAAAAAGACCTGAGAAAAACTTAAGCTTACACATCAGGCAGACCCCCTGACACAGACAAAGCCTACCACAATCAAACAACAAAAGTAAAATCAGAAATCAGCAAACCCTGAGAAAGAGGGAGAACCTGATTTCCAGAGTTACTACACTATTAGATTCAAGCATCCTGTTTCCAACAACAACAACAAAACAAACAAACAAAACCCTGCTAGGCATACAAAGAAACAGGGAAAGATAGCCAATTCAAAGGGGGGGCGGGGAACCCAACAGGAACTGGCCCTGAGAAAGACTTGATGGTAGAGACAAAGGCTTTAAAACAAGTATCTTGAAGCTGTTCAAAAAACTAAAAGAAGACATGGAGAAAGTCAAGAAAATGATACATGAACAAAATGAAAATATTAATAAATAGATAGAAACCTAAAAAGAAACATAAAAATACCTACCACTAAAATGTACAAGAACTGAAGTAAAAAATTCATTAGAGGGATTCGAAGGCATATCTGAGTAGGTAAAGGAAATAATCAATGAACCTGAAGATAAGACAAGGGAAATTATTGAGTCTGAGGAACAAAAAAAAGATTAAAGAAATGTGAATAAGTCCAAGGGACCTGTGGAACACCATCAGGTGAACAAACATTATGGGAGTTCTAGAAGGAGAAGAGAGAGAGAGAAAGAGGTAAAGAGATTATCTAAAGAAATAATGACCAAAACTTCCCAAGTTTGATGAAAGACAGGAATATAAACATCCAAGAAGCTCAATAAACTCCAGATAGGATAAACTAAAAAAGACCCACACACATTAAAATCAAACTGTCAAAAGACAAAGACAAAGAGATAAGCTTGAAAGCAGAAAGAGAAGCCCGGGCAACATGGTGAGACCCCATCTCTACAAAGAATTTTTAAAATTAGCCAGTCATGGTGGTGTGCTCCTGTGTTCCCAGCTACTTGGGAAGCTGAGGTGGGAGAATCACTTGAACCCAGGAGGTCAAAGCTGCAGTGGGCTGTGATTGCACCACTGCACTCCAAGCTGGGTGACAGGGCAAGACCCCGTCTTAAAAAAGAAAAAGTGACTTGTTACATGCAAACGGTCCTGAATAAGATTATCAGCCAATTTCTTATAAACTTTGGAGGCTAGAAGGCAGTGGGCTGATATATTCAAAGTGCTGAAAGAAACAAACAAAAAAACCTGTTAACCAAGAATCCAATACCTGGCAAACGGTCCTTCAACTGTGAGGGAGAAAATAAGACATTCCCAGATAAATAAAAACTAAGTGAGTTCAGTACCACTAGACTTGCCCTGCAAGAAATATAAAAAGAGTCCTGAAAGCTGAAATAAAAGGACACTGGACAGGAACTTGAAGTCACATGAAAAATAAAGATCTCAGTAAAGGGAAATACATGGGGAGTTACAAAAGCTAGGATCATTGTAACTCTGGTTTATAACTCCACTTTTTGTAATCTACAAAAATTTAAGAGACTAGCATATTTTTAAAAACTATTATTAGATTAAAAACCAGTATTATTATAACTTCATACTTTGTTTTCTACATAAATTAAGAGATTTATGCACAAAAATAAAACAACTACTAATGTTTTGGACACAACTGTATAAAGATATAAATCTGTGACATCGGTAACTGAAAGGGGGTAGAGACGAAGCCATATAGGAGCAGAGTTTTTGTATACTACTGAAGTTAAGGTGGTATAAATTCAAATTAGAATGTTACAACCTTAGAATATTAAATTGAAACCCATGGCAGCCACAAAGAAAATAGTTATAGAATATACACAAACACACAAAGGAAATGATGAGGAAATTAAAACATTTCACAGCAAAAAATAAACTAAACATTAAAAAAAAGCTATAAGGCATATAGAAAACAAATAGCCAAATTACACAAGTAAGTCTCTCATTAGTAACTACTTTAAATGTAAAGGATTAAACTCACCAACCACAAGACAAGAGATTGGCAGAATGGATAAAAAAAAACATGATCCAACTATATGCTGTTTACAAGAGACTTGCTTTAGCTCTAGGGACACAAATAGATTAAAAGTAAAATCATGGGAAAATATATTCCATATAAATAGTAACGGAAGACAGCAGGGGTGGCTATAAATAAGCCAGTCACAAAAGACAAACACTGTATGATTTCCTTTCTATGAGGTAGCTAGAACAGTCAAATTCATAGAGACAGAAAGTAGAATGGTGGTTACTGGGGCACTGGAGGAAAAGGGGAATGAAGAGTTATTAAGGAGTATAGAGTTTCAGTTTTGCAAAATAAAAGGAATTCTGAACATAAATGGTGGTAATGGTTACACAAGAATATAAATATAGTTAATATCATTGAACCATATACTTAAAAATGGTTAAGATGGTAAATTTTATGTTATGTGTATTTTACCACAATAAAAAATATGCTATTAAATTAAAACAAAGAAACCAGAGCTGTTCTGGTTGAAGCAGGATTGAGGCAAGTGATCAACAGTTTGGCCTCTCTCTTATCCTTAGGCAAGCACAGATCCTGAACTGCCACCACGAGCTCCAGAGGCAAAGTTTAGAGCTTGATGGCTTTAGAAACTCTAAAGTGAAACTCTGAACAGCTATCCACACTCCTTATTTCCTCATTTCCTATTATCCCTATCTTTCCAACCTACAGAAGCACATTCCATCCCCCACTGTCCATTATTCCCTACAATACCAATTTTACTTTTTCATAACATTAACAGTTACTGTTGTTTTACTGAAACATGTTTAAAGTCCATCTCCTCTCACTAGGATGTTAGCTCCCTGAGACTAAAGACTATCTAATTTCTGCTCTGATCCCAGCACCCAGAATGGTGTCTAGTACATAGGAGGCATTAGTAAATATTTGCTATCTTCTTGCTATTTTTTTTAGAACTTCCCACAAATCCTGCCCCTTCTTTTTCAGCCATAGGGGTTCCATGTTAATCAACCTGACTCTAAAGATATATACAAGATTACAGAAACTCTTCTTTGTTAATTCTAAAGAGCATCACATAACCTTAGTCAGGAATGTGTACTAAACATGCCAACAGTTCAAACAGTACTACATTTGTCTCATCTACTATACTATCAAGAAATCACAGGCTGGGCTCAGTGGCTCACGCCTGTAATCCCAGCACTTCGGGAGGCTGAGGCAGGTCAATCACCTGAGGTCAGGGGTTCAAGACCCGCCTGGCCAACGTGGTGAAACCCTGTCTCTACTAAAAATACAAAAATTAGCCGGGCGTGATGGCGCATACCTGTAGTCCCAGCTACTCGGGAGGCTGAGGCAGGAGAACCACTTGAACCCAGGAGGTAGAGGTTGCAGTGAGCTGAGATAGCACCACTGCACTCCAGCCTTGGTGACAGAGCGAGACTCCATCTCAGAAAGAAAGAAAGAAAAAAGAAATTGCCCAACAATTCCTCTTTCATTCATTAAAAGTGAATAGACTAATTTAGCATAAGGTCCAATATTCTCAAATAATTTTTTTTTGTTTCTATCATTTTGTTCAGCTAACACTTTTAACTAAGATTAATATTAATATGCCAACTCATATTGTTCAAGTGAGGGGGTGGTGCCAATAGTCCCATATTTCAAGGAACATAATAAAACTAGAAGTATTTTCAAATGACTGTACTCATTTCCTTTTACAGATGAGAAAACTGATACCCAAGGAAATGAAGTGAGTCTCCCAACATCAAAATACAGCTTGGAGGTAAATACAGAACTAGAATCCAATTATCTTATTTCCCAATCTAGTCATTAGACATTCCAAGGTTTCTATTTTACAAGTAATCTAACTACTGCTGTGCCAGGCATCTTCTTAACAAGCAGAGGACACACTGTGACCCAGACAGGCCAGTTTCCAAAGAAGTTCATGTGTCCCCATGGTTTGGTTGTATGGCAGTCTCTCCACTGCTGTCAATCAGCCTGGTCAGGTTAGATTAAGGTTCCTCACCTGAGCTTCTACTCCGACACACTGAGTCAGGCCCACCCACTGAATTTATGGGAGTAGATGAACAGGCAAACTGCCAGCTAAACTGATCTTTTAAAATCTAATCATCTGCTGTTACAAAGCATTTTTGGAGATCACTGGACCACAGATAATTCCATTGGGTCCAATAAGTCTCCTGTCTCTCCTGTATTCAAATTAAGAGACTCTTCCTAATATACTAGAATATCCCTTACTACCCTCCACCCACCCCCAAAAAAACATCTAACTCCCGTGCAAATCAAACCAGAAAAGAGTGTGTGTATTTGTTCTTATTCAGGCTAAATGCTTCACTTTTCCCCAGTGAACCGATGCTTTTTGTAAGTCTGTGAACACTCAGGCTGAGACTTATTTACAAGAAAAATAAACAAACAAACAAAAAACCCAAGTAGTCACCAGGCAAATGTTACACTCCCAATTAAGACACAATGCTGTCTATAGGTATGATGTGATGTCTGGTATACACATATTTTCCCAAATTCACAATTAGAAGAAATAAGACTCAGGATACAAGGTGTGATTTTCCTCAGCTGCAGAAGTATGGAAAAGAGTCCCTTAAGAAGTGGACATCCATCTCAGACTGCAGGAATTAGTCTTCCTTCTGAAGAACTGCCTGGAAGTACTCAAATAATAGGATAATTTTCAACAGATTGGCTGGATTTCCAGACGGAGAGGGAAAGCCAGCATTTGGTAGAGTTGTGAAAAGAACATTTTGGACATCTTAGCCATTTGTTTTTTTGAGAGCTAGAAAACTAATCTGGAATAAGTATAACTCATTATTGCTATTATTATTAAAAACTCTAACCTCTGGCTCCTGGGGCTGGCAGCAGTAAGTAGGTTGGTTTCTGTATACATGCAAATGAAATTTATTAAGTTAGATATTCCAAGATGAGAGTCCTGTTTTTGGTTTTCTCACAAACGCTGGTTTTTTAAAGTACTCTGAAGTTAGTAGACTGCCACCTCTTGCAGACCCTGGAAAGGAATTTGCTTGGCCCCAAGAGCAGCCTGTACATTGAAATTACACAGAGTCAGACTTTCAACATAGCTGGGAGTCATTCCCTTACATATGTGTTTCCGCTTAATAGCCAGACCCAAAATCGTTTAAAGACTGAAGCTGTGTTTGCTACTTCAACTATATTTCTTATAGCACCCAGCAGAGGAGAACAACATAGCATGCACTTTCTACATTTTGTTTTTAAGAGACAGTGTCTTGCTCTGTCACCCAGGCTGGAGTGCAGTAAAGCAGTCATGGCTCACCGGGCTCAAGTGATCCTTCTGGCTCAACCTTCCAAGTAGCTAGGACTACAGGCATGCACTACCATGCTTGGCTAATTATTATAGAGACAGGGTCTCGCTATATTGCCCAAACTGGTCTCAAACTTCTGGCCTCAAACAATCCTCCTGCCTTGGCCTGCCAACTTTTTTCTTTTAAATAAATGAAGAAATAAATCAAGTCTCTTTTCTTCCCTTTAGTTATATTCTATTAATTGCAATTAATATGCACTCATTAAAACAAACAAGCAATATACAAATAAGTAAGTAGAAGGAGAAATTCCACTTTGTCCATTCTAGACCTTTTCTATGCACATATAAAAACATTAAATTAGCCAGGTTCAGTGGCTCATGCCTGTAATCCCAACACTTTGGGAGGCTGAGGTGGGAGAATTGCTTGAGTCCAAGAGTTCAAGACCAGCCTGGGCAACATGGTGAAAACCCATCTCTACAAAAAAATACAAAAATCAGCCAGGTGTGTTGGTGTGAGCCTGTAGTCCCAGCTACTTGGATGGCTGAGGTGGGAACATCTCTTGAGCCCAAGAGGTCGAGGCTGCAGTGAGCCAAGATCACAACACTGCACCCCAGCTTCAGTGACAGAAGGAGACCCTGTCTAAACACACACACACACACACACACACACACTAAATTACACATACATGGTTATGTTAAACAATATTGTTTGGCAACTAACTTTTAAAAAATACTTAGGTGCTGTATTCATGTATGTCCTGGAAAGAAAGAGAAAGATATTTTCCTTGTCCTTAATTTAAAAGAAAACTTTTAAAATAAAAGTACACTCTATTTTAGCTCCAAGTGTGATTAACAGTTAAGTTAAATACGAATAAGAAGCAAATCATATGCCCTCAGAATTTTGAAGGCAATGCTCCATTAACTTCTAAGTCCACTGTCATTTTGATTCCTAATTCTCTGTATATGAGCTGTTTTTTTTTTCTCTCACTTCACAAAATTTTGGAAATGACGAGTCTTGGGGTGAATCATTTTTCATTCACTGTACTAGGACTCATGTTCTTTAGTTCTACATGTTCTTAAGCTACTTGATAATTTTCTGCCCTCACTTTGCTCTGCTCTCCTTTCTGAACTTCTGTAAGTTGAATGTTCAACTGCCTGATAATCCTCTAATCTTATTTTTTCTCTCCCATGTTCCATCTCCCTCTCTCTAGGTCAATCTCTGGCAGTGTCCTTTTACTGTCTTCCCTAGTATGTACTGAAATTTTTACTTGGGCTATCATATTTTTTAATTTTCTAAAGCTCCTTCTTATTCACAGATTGCTCTTAATTTCATCTCACCTCCCTGAGAGTGTAACTTACTTTTTTTCCATCTGTTCCCTATATTACAGTATACCTGCTTCTACGGAATTCCCGTTTTTAAAAAATCTCTATTTTTCTTTCTATTGTTGATTATAAATTTTAGGTGGCAGCTGTTTCTTGGTATGCCTGTAGTACTTCTGTCCGTCATACAAACACACTTTCTCTCTTGCATAAGCACGTGCTCTCGCTCTCTCTCTCTCTCACACACACACACACACACACACAAACACACACAACAATGCAAAGAGTAATTCTGTCAGTTAAAAACAGGAGCATATTAAATGCTATAATGTGTAAAACAAGGGTTAGAGAGCAGGCTAACAAGAAGACACAAGAGAAGCCTATCCTGAATAAGCAGTATTGCAGAAAGGCATTTATGCAAAGGATAGGTTAGGTTCTGGCTTATACTCATCCAAACACGCTTTCCACTATGTAAATCTGAAAAACATCAATTCTAAATGCAGAATTAAAAGATTTTTCTCTTCTTCTCAATTCAGCTATGACTAAGGAAACAGAGACACAATAGTTACTAAGGAGGCAGGAAATCCTTCCAGCTAACCAACTTTTACATTCTGTTCCTTATGGTCAAAACGTTGACCACACTGTGGTAGCTCTTTTTGACTTTATGACCTTATTACTAAGACCATCAATTATATTCACTGTTATTTGTGCAGACGAACTGCTCGATTGCCAAAAGACTACGCTACAGTGCTATTTAACCTTTCCCAACAGAGACTCATTGAAACTCATTTGGTAAAATGTTTTACCTAACCTTGCAAAGATACTTCCTAGTAAATATTTGAGGTATATAAATACCTCCAAGTAGTCTTAAAAATGTGCAAAACTCATCATTGTTAAGGCAAATACTCATCTAAATTATAAAATCACATTAAAAGTTTAAAAAAAGTCATGCATTCAGACAAAGGTAATATTCCACATAAACTAAGGCAGTTCAAATACTATTTATCTGACTACATTCAGCCTACTTCCAATGGCAATTAAAAAATAATAATATGCACAGCATTTCATTTTAGAAAAGGCTGCTACTACATCATGGAATAGAATGTGAAACCATGTTCCACAGATTATTTATTCTGTGGTGGGGTGGGAATGAGGAAATGCAAAGTAGAGAAAGAGCAAAGGTCTAGAACCAGCCTGACCAGAGGAATACCACACAGTGGCAGTGTAACCTTGGGTGATTCATTCAACCTTGCTAAATAATTTTACATTTTCTTTTCTTTTCTTTTTTTTTTTAAGCAGAGTCTCGCTCTGTCACTACATTTTGTTTTCTATAAAATGGGAATAATAGTGCCTACTTAGTGGAATTACTTGAGAAATGAGATAATGCATCAACAAATCACAAATCTAACTTTGTACCTTCTGAACAAATTACACACACATTGTTCTTTTGTCTTGGCTCTTGCCACCAAGTCCTCTTCCTTTCCCTCAGCACTTTAAAGATGAGATGAAAGGAATAGAGAGGAAATTAGTATAAATTACAATTAAGTTCAACACACTCAAGATACTAAGATACTAAGAGTACACCAGAGAACATAACTCACTTTCAAACTTACAATGCAAATAGCTTTTAAAAATACACAAAGTACAGGCATTGAAAGCATGAATAAAATTTAGGTCTGGCATAAAAAATTTTACACAGCATTCTGAATACATTAACACCTATACTTTGAAGGAATCAAACACTAAATTTTATATACGTGTGTGTGTGTGCACACACGTGCCAAAGGCCAGGAAGACAGCTATGAAGTGGGATAGAATGTTCCACATCGGTAGAAAAAACGTATTTAGGATATCTACACACACACACACACACACACACACACACACACACACACACACACACACATGCACAGTGAGTGAGGTGATTAAAGGAGATGAAAATGGCGGTATACACAATGCTACTCTCACTCTCCTACTCACACATAATAAGATACCAATATTTGGTTTTGATGTGCCCATTCTAGTAGTAAAAGTAGACACTTCTGTGAACATATACACAAAGAGGTGCAGATGCTTCAATAACAAGTTTATTTGCTTCTTGGAAAAGGAAACCGTATTTCTCATAATTATTTGTAATTACAACAGACTTACTAGTAGTTGAGTCTCTACTAAAATAATTTAAAGTCAATCTTAACAGTTTTCCAAAAACACCTTCAAATTTGCCAGGAAACAAGGAGCCTAGAAAAATGACTGATACAAAGACTAAATAAAAACAATGAATTGAAGGAACAGTTACTGATAGTTTTCATATGTAAATTCTGGCATTCCATCTTATTTTTAATTAATTCCATTAAACTGGTGTTTCATAGGTCAGAGGATTTTATGACTATACACCAAAAATGTTATTTAAAATTCAGTTATAGGGAACCGCCCACAAATATTTTCTAACACTTTTTTCTTTTGTCCAATTCAAATTGTTTTTGCTTCACTTTTTTCTCCTTTAAGTCCAATTTCATTCTTTTTATTCACTTCCACTTCCTGTCTTTGCCCTTCAACAAGGAGTACTCCATTATAAAGTCTATTCCATTCTTTCTGGAATCTACATAGCACCAAACTAATCTGCACATACACTGAGGATGAGAAAGGAAAAAAAAAATCCCAGGTGATAGGGGATATCCTTACATACACACACAGTCTCACTGTCCTCTACCTCTCGACAAAAAACAAAACAAAACAAAACAAACACAACCATAAATAGAATGGCCAAGGCTTATTTATGGAAAGGAAAAAGGGTAGCACAGGATAACATGAAAATACTGCCAAAGAAGCCTTCATCTCCTCTGGCCTAATTTAAATAGGGTTACTCAAGTTCATGGATTGGTAATGGATGATGTTGCAAGATAAGATAAATCAAAGAGTCATCACTAAAATATTATTTTATTCTAAGGACAGTCTGCGTCGTATGTTTTGACCTAAAAGATATGACTCACAGGGAGCCCAGGATTCCTTTTCCTTTCTTCCCTGAAATGTGAGCAAAAGCAAAAAGGGGTGAAGGTGCCATATACCAAGAGTCCAATGCCACCTGAATGATGATTTCATTGTGCTATTCATCAGATATGTAACTTGGGGAAGTCACCTAACTTCTGAGCCTCAGTTTCCTCATCTATTAAATGGGGATAACTATACCTAACCAAATTAACTTCCTCACATGGTTACCATTAGGATCAAATGAGATAAGAGATCTGCAAGTACTTTGAAATCACCAAGTTCTGCTGATTCGACCGCCTATCTCTCAATTCTATTCACTTTTTTCAACCCCTACTGTCACTATCCTAATTCTGATCACCAACATTTTCATCCTAGCCTACATCTCCGGTTTACAAATATCAGACCACATGCCAGTGCCCATTCATGAAGAAAATGAAAACAACCAAAACAACAACAAAAAACCCCACAGTGCAATGCCGTAAATTCTGCATAAAGCTAAGGTATTCTATTTAAATATCTAATATTAATTTGAGATTCCTAAAGGGGGATGTATATATGTGGTTATGTATGTGAAAATGTCCTTTAATTTATGAAATGATTCTGACATGTAATATGCTTTTTAATGTACTTATTTAACAAAATTAAAGGGTTGATAACTGTATTATGTTGATCTTCAAAATAAAAAAAAAATTTTGCTGGTTCACAAAACAGAAAAGTCTAGGTACCACTTGTCTTGTCTACATTATTCTAACAAACAAAATTATTCAAACAAACAGATCTCTCAGTCTTGAGCACAACTTTCCAATCCAGCCACATCAGCCAAAATGATCATACTAAAGCAAATCCTGTTATACCTGTGTTTAAGATACTTTCTTTGCTCCCATGTCCTTGAGTTAGCTGACAAGGTCCCCAGCTCACTTCAGGCTGCCCTCTCTGTACCCTGTGCATTTTCATCCTGACTTTTGCACGGGAGCAGTCACCCTCACCTCCACTCCTCTTTCCCAAATAAATATTGCACATCCTTCCTCTCACCCATTATCTTTCTTGCTCTAGGATGTCTTCCTTGACTCCCCCAATCCCAGATTATATGCATTTCCCATGTGCTTTTATAAGTGTTTACATCCCTTGTTGTAGACCTTCTTTCATACATTTGATTAATACTTACTGAGCTTCTGCTATGTCAGGCACTGCTCTAGGTGTTGAAGATAAAACACTGAATGAGGCAAATACCCACCCTCCAAAGAGCTGATATTCTAGTAAGAGAAAACAGACTAGAAACTAAAAGTCAAAATAATAATAAGGAAGTAAAATATCCAGTGATTACTCATCCCTGTATCTCATGAACCTAGTACAATGCCTGGGTCCTGGCTGGTTCTCAAAAAATATTTGTTGAATGAATAAATACACACATGTTAAACAGTGCTGTGTGAATGTGAGGGACTGACTACTGTGTACATAGGTCCATACTGGCTATTAAAATCTCTCAGAGTCTGGCCCAAGCTTCCAGAAGCCAAAGCATGCTGTGTCAGTTAGGGCATTCACTACTGTAGACTTGTTTTTTAAAAAACTGAGTTTGCCTACTTTTTAAAAACAAAAACAAAAAAACAAGTTTGCAAAAGTAGAAATTTTATCAGTAGTTTTCAGACCAAATGAGTTCAGCACGGAAGTCTCAAAAGCCACATCTTGGCAAAATATGCATCTTCCTCAAACTCAAAACACATAAAATTAAAAGAAAGCCAGTTCCTTATATAGTTCAGACACAAGGATGTTGGCTTCATGCTGTATCTAGAAGGTTGATACTGGAAAAGTCAGTAACTACCCTGAACAAGGACCTTGTCAGATCACTGTCAAGGCATAATCCCACCTGAGTTATCATCTGCTGAAGTGAATTAAAGTCAAGAAAGTAAACATTTAATGAATACTTACTTGCCTTTGCTCCCAAAAGGATCTTAGAAACAAGCTTTCTCTTAATAAAAAAAAAAAAAAAAAAAAAAAAAAAAAGTAAGCCAGAAAGCTGAAATGAGATCTGAGGAACACTTCCACATGGGTCAGCCAGTCAGCATAAGAAAGAGTTGGCAGTACCCAGGTGAAACTGCTCCAGACTGTGACTGTAACACTATTCTGTCCATGCAAAGATTTGGAAAATACATTTTCTGGACAGAACTGGGCCTAACATCTCCACTACCAAGTTGAAAAGCCAAAAAATAAACCTGGTACAAAGGTACTCAGTGGTTCTGAAAATAGCTCGCTGTCTTTAGAGACTGCAAAGACATCAAGCCCTGGGCCTGAGACATGCACCAATCAATCAAACAACTGACAGATATATATTAAACATTATGTTAAGTGCTCTGGAGGACACTCGTACATAAAAGATACAATTCTAAGCCTCAAGGAACTTTATCAAGTTTACAAAACAAGACAGAAATGAATGGGAAAACAAAAACACAAAAACCAACCACAAATGAAGGGTTGGCGTGGTAAGAGCCATAGACGTGGTATAACATTGCTCTGGAGGCCAAACTGGTGGGGGAGAGCCCACAGAGGAATGCTCCAGGAAAGCCAGTTTCACAAGAGGTGGGATTAACCAGGATGTTGACAGATTTGGAAAAGCAGAGGTCCTAAAGTATTCTAGGTGAAGCTTGGCATTGCAGAACAGTTAGGATTCACCTGTCCCAGGAGTGTGGGGAGGCTGTAGGAGGAGGAGAAAAGTCAGTGGAGAAGGGGATGGCACAAGGACACTGTTGAGGCAGAGGTGTATAAGGTTTGCTGGGGACAACAGCCAAGGCTAGAGCAAAAACCTCTCGTAGAAAGTAGGCTGGACTGTGGAAGGCCTCAAATGCCAAGCTAATGAATTTGAACCTTATTTCTCAAACACTGGAAAGCTACTTGAAGTTTTGGCATAGGAGTAACATAATGAACTGTGTCTGGGTCTGTGCTGAAAAGTTTCACCTAAGTCTACACTGCCCACACAAAATATTAAAGAGAGAATTTTTAAACAATGTGCCAAAAGTTTAAAAACCAACACATTTTCATAGATATCTAAATTAAAATCCCTGTGACTAAGTTTTAGATCATTCAGTAAATCACATACACTTGAGTAAGTGCAGGAACCATTGAAAGGTCCATTTTAAGTACTAAAAAATGATTTTTGAAAGGTAAACCCAGTCCTAACTACATCCACTCCCTGACTTTGCCCTCCCCCAAACCTGACTAGGGTCTTTATTTTGCTTTAAGCATTACAGATTTCCTTATGTACCTGGAAGGAAGAGCTGTTAGTCATCAATCTGGATGGTCTGGGTTAATAGAGTCTTTGTTCAGAAAATTTAATTATAGGTTTGAGCCCTGGATGAATGCAAAATGAAAATACTGGAGGGGACTCAGCTAATCTGCTAACTCAGCAGTCCCATGGACCTTCAGAGTTGTCCCTTGTGCATCGTTTGGAGAGGCAGTTTCTCCCCTAGTATCTGTGGCATGGCCGATCCAAGTTTACTCCTCCTTGCTTCTCTGGCCTGATCTCTGGCTACCCTGCACTACTGCTTTCAGCAAAGGTTCTGCAATCAAAGGCCTGAAAATGTTCAAATGTAATTTTGGCAGTTTCACATCCCTTAGAGGTTTCTGCCTTCACACAGGCAACACAACGGTGTTAGTTTGCACTGGCTCCAGGCAATACCACAGCTTTACCACCTCTGACCCCCAAAAGGTGCCCAGAGGGAACAGAGTTTAAACCCAAGCTTTAATCTACCTTAACATTTACCAAATAATTTTACTCTGGCAAGTGAGTATCTGAGGAAGGCTGCTGAATCAAGGGGATTTCGGGCTGCATTTTATACTTTGTTGATTACTATAGAGATGCCAGAATTTTAAAACCATAAATAAGGAACCAAATAACATTTTAAGATACTAGATTTTGAAAATGTTAGAGCAACAAAGGAGAAAACTCTGGTTAATAAAACACCTGCTTTCCAAACCATGGGTAACGTTCAGGCATCTTTCCACAGAAACTCTAAGATTCCTGCCAGTGTCACAAAAGGGGAAGGCGCTGACCAAAAAATGTCCATGAAAGCCATTTGAAAAGTATAAAGAGAATTTCCTGAAATAGTAAGGTGAACTTCTAGTGCCTGAAAATCTCTAAATCAGGCTCTCCTAAAGGACTGTAAAGTCAAGGTAAACATTTCTAGTTTAAAAAAACAGGGGAGGCTACCTTTTGGTTTGATGTTTCAATTTCAAACTAAAATAGAAGGTAACAACCTCTAATATGTTCAAACATTCAGATTCCTAGAGAAAAGTGATATTTAAATGTAATATATGGAAATGATTAGGGCAACATTTAATTGAAAAGTGAAATAAACTAAACTCAGAATAGGCCATTTTGGAAGGAAGACCAAAGAATTTTGGTTTCTCTTCATTTCTATCATTCTCTTATACACTGTGCCCTATGGTTGCCATTTGCGGGGATACAAAGATGAATTTGGCTTTCCGTTCTCCCTCAGTGTTGAGGGAGAACTCCAAATCAAAATCACAAAACAAAAAGCCATCTTTTTTGGAAAATTGTCTTAAATACTAAAAGGCATTTCCAGTTCAAAATATAAAGGTAAACACTCTCACAGAGACTCAATTATTTGGGCAGAGACATGTGGTTAACATTTCCTAGGGAAGAAGCAAATGAGAAAAGGTCAAAGGCAAAAGTCAACTGAGAAGAGCTGCAACATCTCAGCAATTTACAAATTTAAAGGACAGCAACAGTTTGAGGGTGAGGGATACACATACCACTTCCATTCATTATAAGCTGAGGTTTAAGGGAAAATCTCTTGCTTCTCTGGGGTGAACACCACAACATCTGTTCTTTGGTCATAACAGCAACTAAGTTGATTTAAGAAAATATTCTCTCTCTCTTTTTTAGAGCTGTTCATTCATAATTACTTGATTTCTCTTGAGACTTGGTTCCCTTAAGATGTGTTTATTCTGCACATCTGCTCTCCCCATACCTGATTACACAAAGGTATCAGAAAGAGCAAACCAACAGGTATAAAGAGACCAGCCCTCAAAACAGATCAAAGCAAACAGCCCGTGGAGTCCTTTGGAAATCTTGGCTGGCAGCTCTTGTAAATAAAAGTGCTTCTAAAGCAGAAAGCATTCAACTACCGTATTTATATAGGGCGTGATTGACAGGTCAGTTATTAACTTCATAAAAACACAGGCAATGTTAACTAGCAAGAATGTTTGTTCTAGCTGTTCTATCTGAAGGAAAATGAAATCCAAGATAGAATGGCTTGCTCTCTGTTTCTTTTAAGTATTTATTTTAGAATCGTGCAGTATAAAAGAATGTTTTTTCAAGTCAGTGAACTTAAGCTATTTTGCTTACTGTTCTGGAATTTAAGTATGTTGTTATAATTCTTTAGAAAACAAATGTTACATTTACTAAAGGCAAATTCCAATGGTGCCAATGGTGCACCACGATCTTTTCAAGCCCTCAAAAAATTTTTATTCTTTTGAATTACTAAAAGTAAAGAAATTTTACATTAATTAATCTTTCTTCCAATAACTAAAGTATATGAAATCAGGGAAGGAAAGAGCAGGATGGTTTCCTCTCAGTGCTCCAGACACAGGCATGTGCTCCTTGAATTGCTTACAGTAGCAAGTTTAAAATTTGCCGGAAGAAGCTAAGAATAAACTGATCTCTATTTTATTAGTTATTTTGAGAGCTTTATTACTAATACATTCTACTATGTAAGATCATTTACAACAATATTATAAGGTAGTATATTTTATTTATAGTTATCTCACAAAATCTCAGTTGTATATTGATATATGGTCAGAAAATTCTGTAGAAGAAATAAATCCACTTTTGTATGCAACAGTTTTCATCCGTGAGGCTTAATATGGTTAGCACCTACTCCCATCCCAGTGGGTAAAACCAAAAATGTCAGCCTATGTTTCTCCAACTTGAAGAGCAACTTCTATAATAGTAGCTTTGAGCAACTATATAACAAAGGAATCTAAAACTTTTGCTTCTATCCATTAATACTCTTACTCATCTATAAAACAAGTAACTTAAAAAAAAAAGTAACAAAAAAGAAGTAGAAGGAAAAACAAGTTTTACTTTTTTGAATCAATCAATGAATACTTTCAAGATTGGAATTGTATAATGTTGGCATTCCTAGCCAAATAAATGCTTATGAAGTGGACTGGTATTTATGTGCATCTTTGTTTATGTGTGTTTAGTATCCTTGGGCCTGGGTTTTTTTCCATGTAAACTAATAAGTTTTGTTAAATGCCTCTTGAATTAAGTTAAGAAGGCTATTTGTTAGCAAAATGTATCACTCTCGGCAAAGGCTGTCATCACATGAGCTACATAACAAGCACAAGAACAAACCAAAATTCCCCAGAAAAATCTTGCTCATCAGTACATTTAATGTACCACAATCCCGCTTCCTCCGGCATTCCTACAAACAACAGTCTTTCAGAACACAGAATTCTTATGAAATAAATACTCAGCCTCAGAACACGCCCTGGCCTCCTCCACTATCCACTCCTCCTGCTTCCCCCGCAGGACTGTATTTTCAAACTAGAATATTTGTTTTGACAGACTTCTGCTTGCTTAATTCTCTAGCAAAAGATTTCTTGAGCACCCCTAGCCAGTAACGAACATTTTGCCAGAAATATGCAACTGTTGGCATGACAAGAACAGGGGGAAAAAACCCTGCCGGCAAAGACCCAGAATTGAAGATAAAAGCTGGTATATTTGGATGAAAAGAATCTTTTCCCTTAACATATTATAATTTCCTCTTGTTTTCCCTGCTTCTCACTATCATGAGGAAAACCTTGATTTGGCAGTTTCACATACCTTCTCTACACTATGTAAAGCAATAGGAACTATTCTCTAAATCTTGGTTTCTAATTAAAGAACTATTTATCCAAATGAAAATGGAGGTTAGCTAATCCTACTCAAAGAGTAAATCTCCAAAACAATTTCTTAATAATAGTTTATCAGGAAAATTAAAATCCATTGAACTTGTTTAATCCAGTGGAATACTTCCCTTTCATTATTTCTCCAGTTACATTTAAGGACTTAACACTCCAAAACTTAACGATGCAAGATGGCTCCACCTTCTCTGACTGAGTTCAGAAGGGCTGGGTAGAGTCTCACACAGCTCTCCTTAGAGAGCTCAGAGCGTGGGTTAAGTGCCTCCTTCTACAACTACCCAGATTCTTGGGAGGAAGAGCCCACAAAGTAGATTTTCTGCATGGGTGGATTCAGACACTTTCCAGAAAAACACAACACAACAAAATACTCACAGATCTTGAAAAGAGCAAGCCTGTCCCAAAGAATATCAGATTACTAAAATACTCAATGTCTGCTGAGGGATCCTCATCCTTCATACCTCACTTAAATACTGATGCTTCCCTGAGTCTACCCTAGCCCCTCTGGGTGATCTCATTCACTTTCCTGGCATAAAATACCACCTACGGATGACTCCTTCATCTGACCTAGACCTCACTCCTATGCTCCAGACCCTACATATCTAACTGCCAAATAGATGTCATTTTGGATCTGCCATTGGATGTCCCCCAGGCATCTCAAAACACAGGGGCAAAACTGAACTTGGTATCTTCCCCCACCAGTCTGTTCCTCCTCCTAAATCCTCGCTGCTGTAAATGGCACCATGAGCCCCAGAATCTGTCCAAGCCACAAATCTGCTGCCATGCCACTATGTTTCCTCTTCCCTGGCCCCCTTGTTTTTCATCAAGTCCTATCAAATCTACTGTCTTAATATCTCTAATCAGTATCTGTCTCTCCATCCTCCTTGTCTGCCTCATTTCCAACCTGAACTCATGCTCCTCTCTTCTCACCACTTGGTCCATCCAGAATTTCCCAAAGTGTGTCCTATAAAACACAGCTCTTCAATGGATATTCTATTAAAAGGATTCCATGATTCAATATTTTAAATGAGTAGTCAATGCTACGACTGGAGAATCATAATGCATAGCAGCATATTAATGTCTTCAAGAAATTCTGAATTGAAAAAACATGTTCACACCAACCTTTCACTACCATCATCTGTCCTCCTGGCTCCCTTTGCCCCTACAGTTTTCTTCACTTGGTTAACTTCTACTCATCCTTCAAGCTCAGGCCCTGACTCTTACAGGAAGTTTTGCCTAACAGTCCCTACTCATCCCTACTCTGTGTGTCCATACCTCCTTGCATACCTCTATATGAGAATATTCACGCTGCTAGCACACAGTTTGGGGTATGTCTACTCTACTTGATTCTGAGATCTTTGTGGGCAAAGACTTTGACTTATTTACCTCCTAATGCCCAGCATATTACCTGGCACATAGCAGCAGGTCAATATACCCTACTGAGTAAATGAATGCTTACAAGAGCTAATTGTATTGTGCATTTACTCTGTGCCAAGTACTCTCCTAATCTGCAGGCACGTATGAACTCACTCAATTGCACAAAAACCCTAAGAGATATTTTCCCCATTCAAGACATGAGGCAACTGAGGCAGAAAGCATAAATATGTTTCATTATTCCTCCAATATGACCTTATTTTCTTATCTTCAGCAGGATAAATGTGAGTAATTTTATTCTACTTCTAAAGAAAGAGGATGTGATTAAACACCACGGGGGGCCGGGCACGGTGGCTCACGCCTGTAATCCCAGCACTTTGGGAGGCCGAGGCGGGCGGATCACGAGGTCAGGAGATCGAGACCATCCTGGCTAACACGGTGAAACCCCGTCTCTACTAAAAATACAAAAAATTAGCCAGGCGTGGTAGCGGGCGCCTGTAGTCCCAGCTACTCGGGAGGCTGAGGCAGGAGAATGGCGTGAACCCGGGAGGCGGAGCTTGCAGTGAGCCGAGATCGCGCCACTGCACTCCAGCCTGGGCGACAGAGCGAGACTCCGTCTCAAAAAAAAAAAAAAAAAAAAAAAAACACCACGGGGATGCTGCTTGGCAGAACTTTGTTACTTTAAGAAATACTGTATATTATTTAACAAGAAAAAAAACCTTTCATGTAGTGCAAATTTGAACACTAGCTCTGCTTCACGCTAGATATGAAATGATGTAGCAAATAAATAACCCAAATTCCAAGTGTGCCATTTAGAAAAGGGACAATAATACTTACTGAGTATCACTACCAGGAATACAGGACATAGTATGTAAAAGCCCTTTGTAGCACTTAAGGTTGGTATACTGATGCTACTACCATCATGAACAATACAATGGAATAATGTTTACCTACCCACACAGCAAATATTTAGGACTGATTACTCTGTATTTCTATTTTTATTTCCCTGTGGGTAAACTGGTCCAAATAATTGGAAAAGTTTTCACATCTGCAGAGACTTCTCCTGAAAGTTGAGAAAATTTCTACTAAATTGAACCAATCAAACTACATCTGTTTTGAGGCTCACAGTATAAACTGGTAAATAAGAAAAATAATTGACTATTAATTTTAAAAAGCTTGACAACAGTCTTAAAAATTTCAACAAAATTATGACTACCACAACTGACTAAACGATCTACACTGTAGAGACTGTCTACACTCTTCTGTCACTAATGGAATCTTATATAATATAGCCAGTGCTCTCAGCCCTACAAACTATGAACAGCTCAGTAGATAAATCTCAATAAGCCTCCACATCAAACAGACTGGAAGAAATCAAAAGACCGCTGAGCTAAGCCAGACCAGGCTGATATTTTGGTTTATTGGTTAACTGTTATGCTTGGAAAGGCCTAAAGCTTAATTGCAAGGCTTGAGGTGTAAGTAAAAAATGCCTGACTTAAGTAAAAATACTGATCATAGCATCTGTCACTAGTTAAAATATGTGGAGATCTTTATCCAGGATATTTTTTGTTGTTTATATTTTAAATAAATGAAAATAGCCAGTCACACGGTGACTAAACATGAATCATTGTTTCAGCTTTTTGAGAATGCTTGGTGTAAATTAGGGAGTAACGCTGTTGTTAATCCAAGTCATGTGAAAGTTAAAAAGGGGAAAAATCTGGTTTAGTTTATGACTTCTTGTGGTATTAACCATAGGTTTTTGCACAAATATTAATGAATACAACGCTTTGAAACACTATATGGAAAAGTGAAATCCGGTGGTGTTATTTGGATCTTTTTACCATTTTCTACTGAATAACTAACTCCATTTGGCTGAATAAGCAACAAAATTAAATATTTTTTAAAGGCCCTAAGAGAAAGTTCTCCAATAAAGGGTCAGTAAAGCTTTTAGTAAAAGACTGAAAATGAGGTCCTCCTCACTGCATTGCCCTCATTTTCACTGCTACCAAAGCTACCCAATTATACTCACTGCTACCAAAGCTACTCAATTATACTCAATCAGCATTTACACAGCGCTTTAGGATGGGCAAAAAATTTAAAATACAATCCCCCACCAACTTAAGAATTTGGTATCTGAGGGCATATAACAATTCACAAGAAACAATACCACCGCAAGAAAGAGATGGCATACAGAATCTGGGGCACATCAGGAAGGGTCCTAAGGAAAGGAAGACCAAGTGCTGGGATGACCATTACCACATTTATTCCTCACAACTCTAGAAGCAGATACTATTACCATCCCCATTTTATGATTGACCCTGAGATGAAGAAACTGAGGCCCGGGGGACTAAAATAAATTGCTCAAAGTCAGAGCCAAAAGTTAAGTCTAGGTCTCCCTATCTCAAGATGCATTTTTAAAGCAACATCATTGCCTACCTACTATATTAGGCAGATCCTAAATAAGGCACTGGGATACAAGGGAGTATGAGCCCCGGACCCTGTCCTCAAGCAAGTTGGTCAGGTCAGGGAAAATTTCCAAGAGGAAAAAAGCTTTGGGTTGAACCCAAAGGATGGGGGAAATCAGCATACTGTAAGCAAAAGAGGAGGGACAGGCACTGTAGGAGTAGAAAAAGCATGAACAAAAGCATAAAAAGGAAAAGCCCGACAAGTTCAAGGGAACAATAGGGAGATTGGCTTGATTAGAGTGTGTTTATTTGTTGGGGTGGGAGAAGTTAGCCAGCAGGGGCTTAATAAATATTTGTGGGTTTGAATAACAGCAGATAAGGTGAAAAGGGCAGGTCCAACTTACAGAGGGCCTTGAAAGCTAAGCCGAAGAAAATACAATTAACCAACAAATAATGTGGACAAACCTGAAATCTCACTAGTAATAAAAACAATGCAAACTGAAAAAAACACGGAAATTTCCCCCTCACATTCCCTTAAATGAACATTAAAAAAAATTATTATTCTCACTACTAGGAAGACTATACATAACTGGTAAATTTGTAAACTGATATAATCTTATTTTTTAAAAGGCTTGGTTATTAGTTTCATTGAATGTTTATATTCTTTAACCCAGCATTTTCGCTGCTGATCATTTATCCCCTCAAAAAATCCAAAAAAACATGCCTCTCTCTGCATAAGAGAATATTCCCTGCATCACTTTTTATTATGTGGAAAATCAGATGGAATGTAATGCTCAATGATAAGTAGGTGGTTAAAACAAAAAAAGTTTCTTAGAAAGTGTTTTAAAAACGAAAAGGACCAATTAGATGGGTATGACTTTAGACTGTAGGCAACAGAAAGCTAATAAAAATTCCTGAGTAGGAAGGTGACATGGGAAAAAATGTTTTTCAAGAAATCCGACAAGGGCCGGGTGTGGCTCATGCCTGCAATCTTAGCACTATGGAAGGCTGAGGCAGGCAGATCACTTGAGCTCAGGAGTTTGAGGCCAGCATGGGCAACATGACAAAACCCCATCTCTAAAAATAACACAAAAATTAGCCAGGTGGGGTGGCACACCTGTAGCCCCAACTACTTGGGGGCTGAGGCAAGAGAATTGCTTGAACCCAGGAGGTCGAGGCAGCAGTGGGCTGAGATCGCCCCACTGCACTTCACTCTGGGTGACACGGTGAGACCTTGTCTCAAAAAAAAAAAAAAAAAAAGAAAGAAGGAAAAGAAAAGAAATCTGACAATATGTAAATAGAGTCTGAGGCCAGTTATAACCTTTGACACATAAATTACACCTAGGAGAATCTATCTGTAGGAAATAACCCTACACATTAAAACATTTTATACGTAAAGATGCTCACCATACCATTACTAATAATATTAAAAACTAGGGGGGAAACGAAATGTTTAATAGTAGTAGAATTATCAAGTAAACTACGATTTGTCCATTATAAGGAATGTTACTTAAGCACCTCTTAGAAGATGAATGATTACATAACTACATGAAAAATGCCTCCTATAAGCGAAAAAGGGAGGATACAAAACTGTGTGTATATAATAATTAGTAATATACCTTATAAAAACTGAACACTCACGAATGAGAAAATGACAGGAAAATGCAACAAAATGCTAACAAAAATTGTATTTGAGTGACAAGAATAAGACTCTAACTTTTTCATATTCTCCATTATTTTAAATAAGCATATACTACTTTCAACATAAAAAGAGGGAACAAAAGTGAAACAGATAGAGGCAACAAGACCTAGCCTAGACCACAGCATAATCCATTCATCCACCTGGCTTTGGAAGACTCCGCAGTTTCACTAGACTTAGCTAACCTGTAAAATCAGCAGTGAACTGGTAGCAAGGAAGAGATAATCTCAGTTGAAGAATATTTGTTTTGAATATAAGGAAACAGAGCTCATCTATGGGATGGGTAGTGATAATGGGGAGGACCTGAGGGACAAAAGACTGACCGTAGTAAGAAAAAATAAATGTAGGAAAAGAGTTGGAGTCTATAGGCCTACTGAAAACATACAGGTGTTTTTCTTCAATTCACACTTGGACTCAGGTCTCTAAAGGTCCGTGGTTCTCCTAAGTAAATATACCAAAAATTACAAATTTCAGGGGAACAGAGAATATTGCTAAATACTCATTTACTGTCACCCCCCAAAATAAAAATATTGACAATTATATCATAGAGTATCTCTGATTATAAAGAATACACACCTGGCTGGGCATGGTGGCTCACATCTATAATCCCAGCACTTTGGGAGACCGAGGCAGGAGGATCACTTGAGCCCAGGACTTTGAGACCAGCCTGGGCAATGTAGTGAGACTCTCTCTCTACAAAAAATTATAAAAATTCGCTAGGCAGGGTGGTGCACATCTGTAGTCCCAGTTACTCGGCGGCGGGGCTGAGGTGGGAGGATCACTTGAGCCTGGGAAGTCAAGACTGCAGTGACCTATGATTGTGCTACTGCACTCCAGCCTAGGTGACAAAACAAGACTCTGTCCCAAAAAGCAAAATAAAGTAATATAAAGAGTACATATCTAAAATTGGTAAGTTTCTCTGAGAAGTAGGGAAACCTCTTGTAAACAGCAAACACAACTCCAAGCATTTCCTAATATATAGGCTAAAACATATACATCATAGACAGAACATGTAACAACAATCAAACACTTACTTGAGTTATACTAGAATAATACTATAACATTTGGTTCCTAATTAATGATTGTTCCCTCTTCTTCGTTTTTATCACTATTGTCACTTCACAATAAGACTTACCTGTTCTGTAATGATTTTGTGCCTGTTGGTTTTTGTTTTGTTTCATTTCCAGCACACTGTATGCTCCCTAAGAATAAGTTGCTAATGCCTGCACTAAGTCTGGCATACAGTTGATCCTTAATACATAATGAAGATATTAGATCATGCACACAAACCCACTCAAGACTAAGATAAATGAACCAAGAAACATGTTTCCTTTTGCTATTTTGATTAAAGAAATTCTACAAAGAGTGATATTATACACAAGGCCCTGAAAAACCGTTAAACTTCGATTTAACAGGGATTGGGGGAAGAAAAGTTTCCAGAGAAAGAAACCTCCATAAAAAATGCCATGGATGTCATGGAATTTGATCTTCATGGGACAGCCAACCAGTTTGGCAGTGCATGACAGCACAATTTTGAAGGTAGCCAAGGCTGAAAACAGAAAGGTTAAAAACAGGCAAGTATTTAAGTATGATATCTCCAGAGATGGAAAGCCCACAACTTATAGTCATATGGCAATTGAAATACGTTTTTCCAAAGACATAAATGCTATAAATGGTGGCACTGCAGACAGCCCACAGAAATTACTTCACCATTGAAACACTACACTTTTGCAACAATTAAAAATTGAAACCTATGCTACTATAATATTGATAACTAATCAAAACAAGAGAATCATTGAAAGAACCTCTTTTATTTCCTTGAAGTGTTTGAAGCTAAACGGAAAGTTGGCTTAATTAAAGCATGAAAGAGATGGAGATGATGACCTGGTGCTAGGTTTCTGGGGAAAACCGGGCACTTGTCACTCTTAAAGGCCAGTGACAATGTGTTTTTAGTACATATAACTTCATTTCCAAATACAGCCACCTGTCACTTAACAACAGGGATATGTTCTCAGAAGTGTGTCATTAGACAATTGCATTGTAGTGTAAACATCGTAGAGTATACTTATACAACCCTACATGGTATAACCCATTACATAGCTAGGCTATATGGTATAGCCTATTACTCCTATGCTACAAACCTGTACAACATGTTATTGTACTAAATACTGTAGGCAATACTAACACAGTAAGTATATGTGTATCTAAACATACTAAGCATAGAAAAAGAATAAAATATGCTATAAGAGATAAAAAAAAATGGCACACCTGTCTAGGGCAGTTACCACGAATGGAGCCTGCAGGACTGGAAGTTGTTCTGGGGTGAGTCAGAGTGAGTGGTGGGTGAACATGAAGGCCTAGAACACTGCTGTACACTACTGGAGACTTTATAAACACTGTATCCTAAGGCTACACTAAATTGATTTAAAAAATTTTTTCCTTCTATAGTAAATTAATCTTAGCTTACTGTAACTTTTACTTTATAAACTTAAAATTTTTAACTTTTTGATCTTTTGTAACAAAGGTTAAAACACATTATTCAGCTGTACAAAAACATTTCCTTTCTTTATACACTTATTCTATAAGCTTTTCCTATTTTTAAAATTTATTATCCTACTTTTTAAACTTGTTTGTTAAAAAGAAAACATGAACATTAGCCTAGGCCTACACAAGGTCAAGATCATCAATATCCCACCTCTACATTCTGTCGCACTGAAAGGTCATCAGGAGCAATAACAAGCATGGAGCTGTTGTCTCCTATGAGAACGACACCCTCTTCTGGATACCCCCGAAGGACCCGCCCGAGCCAGTTTTACAGTTAACTTTTTTTTTAATAAGTAGGAGTACACTCTAAAATAACAATAAAAGATATATTATAGTAAATACATAAACCAGTAACATCATCGTTTTGTGTCAAGTATCACATTATGGTACATAATCGTACATGTTAGGCTTTTTTTTTTGAGACAGAGTCTCACTCTCACCCAGGCTGGAGTGCAGTGGCGCGATCTTGGCTCACCACAACCTCTGCCTCCTGGGCTCAAGCGATTCTCCTGCCTCAGCCTCCCGAGTAGCTGGGATTACAGGCGCCTGCCACCACACCCAGCTAATTTTTGTATTTTTAGTAGAGACGAGGTTTCACCATGTTGGCCAGGCTGGTCTCAGACTCCTGACCTCAGGTGATCCATCTGCCTCGGCCTCCCAGATTACAGGGATTACGGGTGTGAGCCACCGCGCCCGGCCCATGCTTGACTTTTATACAACTGACAGCACAGCAGAGGTAGGTTTTACACCAGCATCACCACAAACATGCGACTAACACATTGTGCTGAGACATCATAGGGGATAGGAATTTTTCAGCTCCACTATAATCTTATGGAACCATCGTCATATATGTGGTCTGTCATTGACTGAAATGTTATGTGGGGCATGACTGTACAGGTAGGAGAGGCATATCATCAATACTGCTCTGTGTTTGTAAACCATGACCTGAATCACTTAGTGTCATATGGATAGAGCAAAAGAAGGAAGAAAGATACAGAAATAGATGACATTTTCTCACCTTAATGGAAGAAGAATTAAAGAGATGGGGGTTTAAAGAGGATGTGTGTTTTAAGACTGTGAGAAAGAGCTCTGTTCCAGGTACAATTACACAGTGAAGCTGAAGTGAGGAAATGGGAGGAGTGGAACATGCAGGCTCTTCCCCTGAGAGAGAGGAAAGGAGTTCACAGAGTACTGACAGCTTTCCACTTTGTTTTAGAGTTACGTTTACAGCCGAGTTCAAGTGTTATCTCTCCTCCTCCACTCTTCCCCAAAGATTTCGACCATATTTTATAAATGTCTGTACTCCCCTTAGTACTCAGATCCTTGAACCTTGCAAACGTCTGTGCTGAATGAATGATGAAGAAAAAAAATGTTGAATCATCTAAACAGGACACTAATCATAGAAAATGGAACCAGCGGCATAAGAAGGCTTTGCTTATAGGGGGCAAAAGAAGAAATCAAGTGAATTGAAGGAGGGAAGTATGCAATTGACCATTTATATGTATCTAAATCAACTTCAGGTATTCAGAATTTGAGTGATCATAGAGATAAATAAAAGAAAGATGAAGATGTCTGAAGAGTATTAGATGCTTCTAGAATTGTGTTTATAGAGTGGAAAATTCTAGCCCTCCAAGATTTAGTAACCTGTTTCTTTCTCAAGAGAAGTTAGTCTGACCCCGTCTTCTACTAAGCCTGAGCGGTCTGCCCTGACCCAGACCGCCTCATGGACCACTTCTATAGAGGCAGTATATGCTGAAAAAAACATTTAGAGTTTAGAGGACAGAAAAGAAAGAAACGTAGCAAACAGAGAAAGAGAGATTGTTCAGGACAACTGACCTAAGTTGAGTTCAGAGACCAAGAAGTTACATCAAAACACTTGGTTCATAAATAAAAATAATTAATAATCCCAACAAATTTAGAAAGACGGCTGGGCATGGTGGCTCACACCTGTAATCCTATCACTTTGGGAGGCTGAGGTGGGTGGATCACTTGAGCTCAGGAATTTGAGACCAGCCTGGGCAAATGGCGAAACCCGGTCTCTACAAAGAATACAAAAATTAGCCAGGCATGGTGTCACGCACGTGTAGCCCCAGCTACTTGGGAGGTTGAGGCGGCGGGAGGATGGCTTGAGCCCAGCAGGCAGAGGTTGCAGTGAGCCAAGGTTGTGCCAGCCACTGCACTCCAGCCTGGGCGACAGAGCTAGGCCCTGTCTTAAAAAAAAAAAAAAAAAAAAAAAACCTAGAAAGACTATTTGACTTCACATTATTTGGCCTTACAAGAAGAAAATCAATGTGATAATATAGAGGTGAAATTCGAAAGTGAATTAGAGTTTATATTAAAAAACAATGTTAACATTCTGTTAGCTTGTTAGAGATTAGCTCTGAACCAGGGAGACATTTCATATTGCAGAATAGCATTTTCGTGGTTAGGAACTGATTACATTCTACTCAGAATCTCTATTTTAACGTTCTACAAAACTTAGTAAAGTCATGTGTAAAGACACACACTTTGTTCCTGGGTGAGATTTTTATAATGCAAGCTGCTTACAGGAATGAATTTTATGGAATCATATATCTAGACACTTGTACTACTTCACATCTTTTAATAATTACATAAAGAAAATACATAAAAGAAAAACATATTTTCCTATTAAGCTAAAATACTACATACATAGTCTTAAGTCACTGTTCTTAACACAAACATTTTCAGAGCTTTTCAGATAGCCTAGAAGAATGTAGTAGCACACATGATTAGTTGCCTAATCAATATTTATTCCTCTATCTCATCCTTCCTCTTAACAGAACTGATTTTGGTTGGGTATTCACCCTTCTGAGTAGTCACGTGCTTCGGGGAGGACCAGCACCAACCCCAGACCCAACTGATGAATCCTATTAGTCTAATTATAGTGGATCTATTTCTATCACCAGGGATAAGCTGGGCCATGCTAAGATGTTAACTCTGGCCAACAAGATATGAAGAAAAGTGTGTAGAGTGTGGAGGTGGGAACATGGGAACATAAACAGGAGGAAATGCTGTTGCTCTTAAAAAGAAACAGAAATGCACAAGGCCACTGGGTATTGTGCCTAGACACTGCAGTGTCTGGATATGATGGCTGGAACTGAAGCCATCTTGCAACCATGAAGGAAGCTTGCCTGGGGCTCATGGCATCACATCAAGGATGGCACAGCAGAAACAAGAAGGGAAATCGGAGTCTCTGATGATGTTTTCAACCTCAAAAGAATCAATCCTCTTTAAAATTTCCTGGTTATATATGGGATAGTAAGTTGTCTGTATTTAAATTTTGATTTGGGTTTACTGTTATTCGCAGCCAAAAGGATTCTAGCTGCATAAGTCTGAATTATTTCAAGCCTCTGGGTAAATGTTAACAGACGGTGCTATTACTGTGGGGATTAGGAATGACAACAACAGAGTGTGCTACTTAATTTACTAGCAAGACTGTATTTCAAAGCTGGTTACTATGTTATGTCGTTCTCCCTGTCGGCACTCTTCACCCACCCCACAAACAGATACATATATCACAGTCATGCAAGTTAGGTACTAATCTTGCTGATCAGTTCACCAACTGTATTATAGGCACTATCTTCCCCATACTAATGGTCAAATCATTGGGAAAATGGAAATTATGTTCTTCTGACAAAATGTTAGAAGATTCTAACCTAGAATATAAAGTTCATTCTCTCAAAGAGGCATTTTGGTTATTATAGAATTTTTAAAGGTCTACAATTATGAAATTTTCCTAGATTCAAATGTATTGACTACCTACTATATGTAGGACGCTATTTTACATTTTTATCTGACAATGTGGGATAATTTACAGTGTATTTAGCTGTAACTAAAACTAATCCTTTCTGTTGCTGCCAAGATATATCTCAAATATATATGTCTTTCTCACAGTAGATATATCTACTGCTCCTAATAATCAGAAATATGCCTTTCACCTGCTTTAATCAGTATCCCGACAGCAGTATTCCCCAAACTGTTGGATGGAAAAAAAATGGCAATATATGTTCTTTGAGAGAGAGAGAGAGAGAGAGAAGGGAAGAGAGAGAATCTCCATGGTCAAATAATTTAGGGAAATGCTCATACTGCATGCTATATCCCACTCTTGATGATTCTCAAAACACATTATAGCACAGGTCTGAGAAACCTGTCATTATTTAATTCAGCATTTCTAGTCAGTGAATAACAGAAAAATCTATTTTTCACTAAACATCTCTTAATTTCTTGAGAAAACTAGTATTCGTTAAAACATAGGACATATATTCCCCATTAACATAGCTGCTACTCAATTTAGAAGTGGCACTCCCTTTCAAGGCCTTGCATCACATTCTCCATGCCCACCAGCCAGTGGTACAGAATGCAATCACTTCTCAAATAATTCCTAAAGCAATGGTTTTATCACAGAATACTCTGATACAAAGACTTCTAAATGAATCCCAATGTTCTGTAAAATTCAAACTAGTCTCCTGACATGTCTGTTTTCCACACTCACTGATAGTCTCAGAACCTACTACAGTGCCTATGCAGACTAAGTGACCATGAATCCTTGCTCTAGGAATGAATGACTGAATGAACACTTCCACATGTCCTCTCTTTCCTCATCTGATTCATCTTTTAATTTTCTTAGACATGTACAATGTGTGTTCCAACTTCTACATCTCTGTTTATGTTACATGATCCCATATGCAACACCCTCTTCTCTACCTATTGAAATCCTGACCATCCTTTCAAGTCCGGATTCAACCCAGACTGCTACATGGAGAATGGCCTCATCCTCCTCTGACCTCTTATCCCCTGACAGTCAGTGCCAGAGAGTTTGATTCTCACATTTCCTAAACTAGTTTCCATGTTGGTCTTACCTCTCAATAAATGGTAAACTCCTTGAAATCTCAGACATGTTATAAACTACTTTTGTATATACCAGGATGCCAAGGTCCATAAGGAGTATTCAATGAAAAAATTAAGAGTATATTTTATTTAAAAGTTCAATGTATAACAACAATAGCTGGAAATTCCTGAGATTTCCAAACTGTACATTACTCAAATCAGTAGTTACAAGGACCAAGTTCTGAATAAAGAAATATTATCCAAGTTCTAAAGAAACTGTTCCCTCTGGCTTTAACCTCTTAGACTCCATTTTCTCATTTGGAAAATAGCTCAGTGGTATTGCTCTACAGGTATTGAAGGGGCAAGAAATACTGCTTGTAAACCCCCTGATAAATGAAGACTTTATCTCATACTCCTGGAAGCAATCCTGACGTCTTAAATTATGTAATCCTGGTATTACATTATATTAGTCTGGCCCATATAAAATGTAAGCTACAAAAATACCAAAGCTAAGAAAAAATATTTACTCATGCTTTTACTAAGATGCAGAAAGAGGATACATGCATTGCCAAAATTCCATAGAACATGCTCAAACTAAAGCAACAATGCCTTAGTTATTAAAGAAGGCAATAGCCTGAAGCAGTACTTAGAAATAAAGATTACTTCGTCCACGTAAGAGTCAATATTTAAGAACACAATGACTAATTCCCACTTCAAGTTCATGAAAACATTTCTTTTGAAGAACTTCTTTTCAGTTAAAAACTTTATTTGTGGTTCTCCTACCTGTAATCTATGAACCTAAGAATGAACAAAAACTTGAAACATGAAACTCTCTAATAGGCCAAAGTGTCAGTACAGACTTAATTCTGACTTTAGGAACATCTCAACCAGGGTTACACAAAACTTGTACTTTACCTCTCAGTCTCCAAAAATACTCATTTATCTACTCTGCCTAAAGAGTAGATAAATGATTGAATGTTAATTCTACAAACAACTCTGGAAAATGCATGAATGACACTCCAGACTATACCAAAACACTAGAGCTCTTAACTTACTTTCAAATCATTAATATTTATAATCTTATGATAATTAAAGCACCTCTTTGAGAAAATTAACTTCATACTTTAAATCAGAATCATCTGAATCCAAACTACTATTACTGTTGCTAACAGAAACTTCATTTCTAAATAATCGACTGATTTTTTAAAATGTTTTAGTTGAGCTTATTGTGAACTAAAAATAACCATTAAATTCTATCACCAGCACTAGCTCTGTGACCTTACACAAATTGCTTAACTTTTCTGCACCTCAATTTTCAGATCTGCAAAATGAGAATGAGACTGGATGACTTCCTAGGTCCTCTCAAAGATAAAAACAAATAATAATAATGGTTATTAGTATCATTTTAATTAAAGATATCAATGAAAGACATAAGCACACACTCTAGAGAAAGAGTTAAGTCTAGAGAAATCATAAGAATTATCATAAGCCTCAAAATCCTCTATCAATAGCACCAAACTATTATCAAACATAAGAGTTTTATAGAGATAAATGTTAAAAAAAAAAAAAGTTAACTTCTTGCTAGCAACACTGATATCCTTATTGGGGTAATTTCATTCATTCTCTACTTTCTAACCAGAAAACTAAGATTTCTACCTTCATAGTTTTACGACATTCCCGGTTGACATTAGAAACCTTGAGCCTTGCTCCTCTCCTCCCTCACCTCTGTCTACATGAGAACAGCGAGGGGCTCATTGAGGTAAATAACATTCATGCACCAAAAAATACACATCCTTATTGTCTTTTACCGTCCAGATAAAGAATCTTAAAGTCAACCCAAAACAAAATTCTCCTCTGGTTTACTCCTACCTTTCCTGCTAAAATCAACCTACTATGTGGGAGATTTGAGATTATTGGTCAACATTCAGACTTTGGGTGAAGTGGCTAATTTCCCAAAGAGTCTGACAAAATAAAATCTAAAGCCAACTCCAAAAAGGTGACACCCTGCCCATGAGGGAATCCGTTGTTTGGTGTGTAACAGCATGTGCTCTGCAGATGGAGCTCGCTTTGTGTTCTAGTTCTGCCACTTTCTGGCTGTATGGCCACAGGCAAGTAGCTAAACCTCATGAGCCTTAGGTCCCTCTTCTGTGAAATGAGGATGATACTGCCTACCTCGCAGAGCTGTGATCTCGGCTAAGTTAGACATGTATAAAGGGTCTGGCATGGCCCACGCACTAAAGAAATGTTACCTTCCTTCACAACTTCTCCTGTCCTTCTACACAACTGAACAGAGACTCCAGCACCACAGATAACTGCCATATTCTTCATCAGACTTGGAGTCCCCTAGGGCAGAGAGTATTTCTGATTTATCTTTGGATCCCAGTAACTAGCAGAGGGCCTGGCCCAGAGTAAAAACATAATAAATGCTTGTTCAGTGGAGAAAATTAGAACTGTTTGGGTTTGAGGATGTTAATATTACCCTGGCCGCTCACGCCTATAATCCCAGCACTTTGGGAGGCTGAGGCAGGCGATCACAAGGTCAGGAGTTCAAGACTAATCTGGCCAATGTAGTGAAACCCCATTTCTACTAAAAAAAAAAAATTTCAAAAAATTAGCCAGGTGTGGTAGTGTGCACCTGTAATCCCAGCTACTCGGGAGGCTGAGGCAGGAGAATTGCGTGAACCCGGGAGGCAGAGGTTGCAGTGAGTTGAGATCCTGCCATTCAACTCCAGCCCAGGCAACAGTGCGAGACTCTGTCTTGGGGGGGAAAAAAAAAAAAAAGAAAAAAAAATTACCCCGGCCACAGTCAAAAGAAAATTCTGTTTTTCAATTTGGCCAAATAGGGCTTGCTACAAGTTACTATGTAGTTCGAAGCAAATAAGCTATTCTGAATTCTAATAATTACATTCTCTAAAATATGAAAACCCAATTGCCCTGCAGCTTTCAATTTTAGTTTTGAGAATTCAATTCTTTCCCAAACAATAGCGTGGGTAACCACAGAAACTTGTGGAATCTCTTTTCCTAGAAAACATGAAGAACAGGAGAGAAGCCAGTCTGTCTGGAAATTGCTTCAAAATCTCTCTATAAGCACGATGCTGGACTGGATTAGATGCCCCTTGAAGGATCCTTCCAGACCTACACCACTAAAATGCTAAGAAAAATAACTAAAATAATTCTCTATCACTTATACCCTGGAAAATAAAATAAATACAATTTAACATCTCCCAACATAGTCACTAGAAACAATTTTACTTGGATCATCCCATGATTTTAGAAACACATTTTCTTCTTAAATTGTACTAAATTATCCTAAGCTATTAATTTGAATATGAGCTCTCTTTAATAAGACAGAATAGAGATTGTACTTAACACAGTAAACAAAACTATTATTTTGTTCCTCTTTCAATCTACCTGTTTCCATGTACCCCAAATCTACTCATTTCCCAATGCCTTGTAAAAAATACTACTTCCCCCCAACATATACTCCACTCAATTCTACCATTTATAAATTTCTAATGTGTTCATCACTCACATCACATTGTACAGGTGATTTTTATATGGTGTCTCCTATTTGTATCTGACTCACATGTAACAATTTTTGTCTTCCTAACTGAACTGTAAACTCCTTGAGTAAGATCCAAGTTTTATATTCTTCATGTACTCCCCTATTATGTTAATACTGAGTTCATGATAAGTGCTTTCAAATTCTCATTGGCTCACTGATTTAAGGTGGAGAGTGTGCAAAAGCTAGACAATGCTATACATTAAGAACCTGCATGAAGCTTTGGCAAAGCACACTCCAAGAAGTCAAAAATAAACCTTTTCTGATTGCTACATATTGACATGTATCATTTAGCTGGGACTCACAGCTGAAAGTTAATACACACAGGGGCTAAAAGGAAAGACCTAGAGCTAAGCGCCATATTAGTTTAGCTCCTGTCCTGTAAGAAATGAGGAGCTATGAAGCTGAGCTCACTCACATGGAGATGGAGGCTATTTTAGAAAACATGCATATTGCACAGGTTGCAGAGCTTTGCTGGTTCTGATTTTACATAAAATCAGTTCTTCATTCTGTCAGGCCAAGTCAGTCACGCAGCAATAAACAGAAAGGAAAAGAGCTTTAAAAGTTAAAATGTAATAATATTACTTTAAAAGCACAAGTGAAACTTCTGTTTTCTCATTCTTTAAAACCCAAAAAACACATCTAAAATAAGACTAATGGGTGCAAAAATTCAGTCATTACAGGTACCCTCTACACACTTACAAAGGATCCTCTGCTCCTTTCTTTATATATGAAACAGGAACTTCTTGTCTGTACTATGCGACAGGGACTGTTCTACGGCACTGGGAATACATCATTTTACCAAACTTACAATTCCAGTAACATTATGTAAAGCCTTACTTTAGTATTTTAAAAAAAGAAAAGACCTCAGGAATATTCCAAACCTTATTTTACAGAGAAGAAAACCAAAGCCCAGAGAGGTTGGCTATTTTGTCTCAGTTGATTATAGTGGTTATATTGTAACAAACGCAGGAGTAGAAACCAGATTTCTTATTTCTCCTCTAGTAACAAAATTTACTTATTCATTAGGCAATTATTCCTATATGCCTTCTATATGCCAGATACTATGCTAGACTCTAGGTACCCAAGAATGGTTAAGATACTGACCTTGTCCTCAAAAAGCACGGTCTTAAGAGCAAGACAATCAGATGAGTACAATCACAGAAGTGGTAACAGAAAGAAAAACCAAACTATATCTCTAATTGCCTAGGACTTCCAATATGTTAAAGAAAATGAACTTCTAATAGTTTGTTTTATCCTCACAATAGCCCTAGGAGTAGACAGCACAGATCTTATTATTCCTGGTATATAGATGGAGAAACTGAAGTGCAAAGTGGATAAGGGGGCCTATTAAGGTCATCTCCAGTGGCAGCAAAATGCCTAGAAACCAGGTTTGTTTACTCCAAGTCAGACCTTTATTTCCCATTAGATGGAAAAAGCAGATGTTCTTTTTATGTCCAGTTCCCTCTGACCAAGAACACACATTTCCAAATTGCGAGCAGGACAATCTGTGGTTGTGAAAGGAAACAACTGACTTGTGAGGTGTGTCACCGGCTGAGGTTAGTTATCCGGTGGATAAGTAACCAACCAAGATATCATTATTACTAGCCTTCTTAAAGTGCCCATTACGTACCCAGAACAGATGAAAAAGGTCCTTCCTTCAGAAAGTTAATATTGGAAGGAACAGGCATATAAACATTTAAACAAAAAGTGACATAATTAAACAAACTAAAACTAAAAGAACCATCACAAGCAACTGCAAATTTAAGACACTAAAGGTTTTGCAAAGCAAACCTAATGGGAGCTGCCAAGAAATATATCTTCATGGGTTAAACAGGGAACAGAAGCCTTGTACACATAATGGTCCATACCGATCTTCAGATTACTAAAATTAAAAGCTCTCACATTCTTCACAGTTAAAAACTTCTCATTCCTATTTCCTTTTTTCTAGAAATCTTATATATTTTGTAATCTTTCCTATCCAAGAGGAATAAATTTATAATGGAGGTTTCCATCATTGTAACTTTGGCAAAAAATTAAAATTGTATAGTATCACTGCCCTATTCTTCCTCCCTCAGATACAACCTAAATGAGGTTTTCTCATTTTCTGATCATTTTCTCCTATACATAGTAAAATGTATATATATTTATATATATATTCAAGAATCACTTCATAAAAAACAAAAAAAAATTTTCTTCAAGTTCAGTTTTAAACATTAATTTTACTTGTTTGATGACTTAATATCATATTTCATTTATACCAGTATTTATCAAGGCCTTATAACATGACCCAACTGTTTTAAACTGTAGCACACTGGAGAATTATTAACAAAATAGACAAAGCTAAGGAGAAACAAATATTAGTGATTTCAAGTTAGTGACAGGAAGAATTTCTTTAAGAACAGGCTAAAAAATAAAAATTATAATCATCCCTCCACAAGAGTAATGTTTTATTTATTTAAAAAATACTCAGTTAAAAAAAAAATTAAAAAGCTCTCTGGTATTGCCTGAACATGCTCAAGGGATTTATACTTACAGCCAGTTACCTTCCTTTTAAATATCTGGTGAATGTTACAGGGTGACAAGAAGCAATTTAAATGATAATTCGGAAATACCATAGTAGGTTTCATTAGAATTATCACTAGTACATCACAAAATGATTTCATATTTTTTTAATTCCTAAGATTTAGTTCCATCACACAAAAATGCATTTCAATAAACATTAGCTTAAAACTTAAATATGAAGCATAATGACTTTTTTAGGGAAGAAGGGAATAGGGCTTTGAATATAACTCTAGATCCTCAAGAGAAAGACCACTGGGCCAAACTGGATCCTAAATAAAGTTAAGGAAGTAATTAAATGTGCAGCAACAGTGACATCTAGTGTTAACAACTGCAAGTCAATTAGATTACCATTAAATCCTCTTAAGTGCTAAAAAACAACTATTCAAAGCTTTTCTTCTTTAAAAACAAACAGATCTTGTGCATTTTTATCTAAAAACTACCCAAAATCAAAATGGTTCCACAGGTTTCTTTTCAGGCATAACAAAAAAGCTGTTTTTTAAAGACAAAAACAAATTAGAGGTTAAACATAAAACTAAAGACCAAAAGTAAAAAGCACTGTTTATTTCTTGTGGTTAACACATATAGGTGCTCCTCTTAGTACAAGAGTTTAATGCAAAGGTAATGTGAGAGATGTTCTAATGAGAGGATCATAAACATTTAAACTTCCACCTATAAAATTAAAGATATTATACAAGCTAGGATAATATATACAAGTAAAGTTAAGACATTTCAGGACTACTTAAAGAAGATGCAATTAAAAAAAAAAAAACAAAAAAAACACTAGCTTTTGCATGGAGAAACAAGCTCTACATTTCACCCCTTGCTACCTTGCTAAATTTTTGTTGCTTTGAAAGGTCCACTTATTAAACAGTTGATATTTTTGCCCAAGGGTTTATAACTTGGCAGCATAGGTTAATTCATTACAGTATTTTTATAGTTTTATGCTCTAGATGAATCTATAACAGTAGGCACAATTTCAAAATTTGTTTTTGGCCAGGACAATATTGTATTTTTTAAAAAAAGTAAAGTTAGCCTTAAATGGAGCTTACCTATTTGTTTTGGAATGTTCATCCTTTGCCCTTTTAACTCCAAAAATTCTTGTGATCAAGGCACTAAAGAGAAGTGTGGATGAATTTCGCACCTAATGTACAAACGAAAACACAATAAGGCTTAAATATTCTTGGCATGAAACCAACGTTTACAATGTTCAAACTAGATAATTCAAAATCATTACCTAACTGGCTAGTGTGAGGCTAAAAAGACAGATTTGTGTTCATAAAATAATTTAAAAAAAAAACTTGACAGTCATCGATTCAATGACTTCAATTGAGCTCTACAACCCAATCACATGCACACAACACAGCCTTTTCCTATATTCCTAATATTACCATCAACAGTTTTCACTAATCTCTGCACTTAGAGCATCAAATAACACTTTTCTAAAAATTCATTTTTCTATATGCTTCCTGACAATGAAGATTGCAGTAAAACCTCAGCTCTTTCCATTTATTTTCTGAAATCATTTTACCTACGAGAAAATACTTATAAAACCTAACTTCAAAGAACCAGGCCCAGTGGCTTACACCTGTAATCCCAGCTACTTGGGAGGCTAAAGTGGAAGGACTGCTTGAGGCCAGGAGTTTGAGACCAGCCTGGGCAATACAGTAAGACCCCCATCTCAAAAAAAAAAAAAAGTATTTTTTTAGAGATTTTTTTGTTTGTTTTGCTTTTGACTTTTTGTTGTTGTTGTTATTTTTACAGCCATGGCACATGCCTATAGTCCCAGGTAGTCAGAAGGCTCAGGCAGGAGGATTGCATAAGGCCAGGAGTTTGAGGCTGCAGTAAGCTATGATTGTGCCACTGTGCTCCAGCCTGGGCAAAAGAGTGAGAACCTGTCTTTAAAAAAACAAAAAGAAAATCCAAAAATCCTAACTTCAAAGAATCCAGGTAATTAATATGGCTAAGAAAATAGTTAAATCCAAAATGTTGCTTATCAGCTTCACAATGCAAGTAACTTACCAAGTAATTTCAATACTGAAATTAACTGATAACATTAGTAAAGATAAGAGGCAGGAATTACCATGAATAAACACAAATTATTTCTCCAAGATGATAATAATCTTTTCCCTATCTTTTCCAAACCAATGTGTCAAGATGCTTTGGAAGAGCATAAAAGGGTCTTGACTGTTTTGGCACTATAGGCTTCCTCAATTACTCTGTAAAAATCGGTGTAGAGATATATATGTACTCACCTTGCTACAGTGTGTAAGGCCCTATACCAGCACCATGGATAAGATCCAGAAACAGAAAACACATACTTACTGGTATTACAGACCTTATACTCTAATTAAGTAAGTGACATAACCACATGGTGTGTTAAATAGCAATATAAGTAGAAAGATCACTAAAAGTAACGTTAAGATTTAGAAAACAGCTTCCTGAAAGCAATGCCCTTAGAGTCACAAGCTCAAATGCTCACAGGAAAAGTGAGTGACACAGGCAGCAGTGGACTTGGTCTAATGCAGTCAGTGTCAGCTGAGTTGCTGCCATGAGGAAATATAAGTCCAGTTTTGCCAGATCATCTGCTTTTTCAAGAGAAGCCAGGAACCCTGGTTTTTATGTGAAATCTATTTTGAAATGCTGGCAGGAAATTAAAGGAAAAAAAGAACCAAACACCATGAAAGCCAAATAAAACAGTGGTAGGCTAGTTTGTCCTACTGGCCACCAGTTTGTAACCTCTCCTCTAGAAGCCCAGAACTGACTCAAGTCATGCATGGTAGCCATAGAAGTGAACTTTACAGATATACTGGCACAATCCATATCAAAAATGCAATAAAACCCTAAAACTGAACAGATTCACTTACGTTCATTCAACAGCCATCAAACATCCAAGGAGGCCCTACTATGTGCCCTGCCTAATTTAATCCCCAAATAACAAATCAATCCATGCTGTTACTTTATCAATATAATCTCTGCCCTCATTCAGGTCTGGATTATCTTCTACCTGATCTAGTGAGGTAGTTCCCAAAGACTTTTAGGTCTAAGATGACTTGGTAAAGATATCTGGGACCTTCTCTCCTCTCAGAAATCACACAAAAACACAAAAAGAAAAGGAAAACAGAAACACAGACTCCATCTTGCCCTAAGCCATACTTTCTGACAAAGGCTGCCAGATGCAGTAAAATTAAAACAGGAGTGCCTGGAGATGTTGAGAAATGCACACCTTAAACAAAACTGTAGAGGACTATTTTACAAAGTGAATGGATACCCTCTGAAACAAAACTCCTTTGATTCAATAGACTGACGGCAGGAGACACATGTCTTTTTAGTAATATTAAGATGGACCAGACAGTTCTAATCCTATCTGCCTGATCCATCCTGATATGGTCTGAATATTTGTGTTCCCCAAAAATTCACATGTTGAAATTCTAACCTCCAAGGAGTTAGGTGGTGGAGGCCCTTGGGAAATAATTAAGTCATGGGGGTAGAGCTCTCACGAATGCGATTAGTGCCCTTATAAAAGAGGCCCCAGTGAGCTGCCTCACTTCTACCATGTGAGGACACAGCTAAAAGGTGCTATCTATGAACCAGAAAGTAGGCCTTCACCAGACACTGAATCTGCCACCATATTGATCTTGGACTTTCCAGCCTCCAAACTGTGGGAAATAAATTTGTGGTATTTTGTTATAGCAGCCCGAAGGGACTAAGATATCCCTTATAAAGTGCCCTCATTAGCGATCAATGATGATCATTACATTTTCCATTAGGTGCAGCAAAATCACGATATTCTATAGGCCTTCTGCATTAATCATTTACATCCTCAGAAAAACTTTATTTTTTTAAAGTTTTTCCTCATCTGCTATTTGGTTACCCTGTTCATCAGTTAGTAAAGAATTATTTCCATATATTGATCATTTTCAGAATAATTAGTTCATGCCATACCAACCTCCAAAGGTGACTGCATGATTGTTTTAAAATCACTTTTAAATTACTTTTTTAAATTGAGGTATAATTCACATATAAAATTTATTATTTTAAAGGATGCTATTCAGTGGTTTTTGCTATATTAACAAAGTGTGAAGCTATCACCACTAACCAAATTCCACAATATTTTCATTACCTCAAAATGAAACTCGGGAGCCGTTAGTCGTCACTCCCTATTCTCCTGCAGTAGGAAAGCACAATCTACTTTGTGTCTCTATAAACTTGCCTTTTCTGGATACTTCATATACATGGGATCATGTAGTATGCGGCCTTTAATGTTTGGCTTCTTTCACCTAGCATAATGTTCTCAAGGTTCCCCCATGTTGTAGCATGTATCAGTATGTTATTCCTTTTTTATGGCTTAATAATATCCCATTGTACAGATATACCGTATTTTTAAAATCTGTTCTTCATTTGACGGACATTTGGGCTATTTCCAATTTGGAATATTATGAATAATTTTGCTAAGAATATTCATGTACAAGTTTTTGTGTGAACATGTTTTCATTTCTCATGACTATATACCTAGAAGTAGTATTGCTTGGTCACAGAGTAACTCTATGTTTAACCTTCAAAAGAACTGCCAAAGTGGTAGCACCATTTCATAGTCTCACTGGCAATGTATTAGCGTTCCAATTTCACCAGTTCTCCAATTTCTCCACATCCTCCCTAATACTAGTTATTTTCCATGCATTTTATTTTAGTGGGCATGGAATGGTAACTCATTGTAGCATTTCCCTCATGACTAATGGTGTTAAGTATCCTTTTGTGTGCTTACTGGCCATCTGCCTATCTTTTTTGGAGATAAATATTCTTTGTCCATTTTAAAATTGGGTTGTCGTTTATTATTGAGTTATAAGAGTTCTTTATATATTCTGGACACTCCACTCTTATCAGATGTATAATACGCAAATATTTTCTCCCATTCTGTGGGTTGTCTTTATACTTTCTTGATTGTGTCCTTTGAAAAACATTTTTTTTCTTGATGCTGGTTAAGCTTTATTTAAAAAAAATTTTTTTTAACTTTTCTAAGACAGCTTCTTGCTCTGTCGCCCAGGATGGAGTGCAGTGGTGTAATCATAGCTCACTGCAGCCTTGAATTCCTGGGCTCAAACAATCCTCCAGCTGCAGCCTTCCGAGTAGCTGGGACTACAGGTGCATGTCACTATGCCCAGCCAGACATTTTTAATTTTGATCGAGTCTAATTTATCAGTTTTTTTCATTCCCAGTCTAATTTATCAATTTTTGTATTGCTTGTACCTTAGGTGTCATATCTAACTAAATGTTATCTAATCCAAGGTACAAAAATTTACCCAGGTCCTCTTCTACAAGTTTTATAGTTTTAGCTTTTACATTTAGGTTTTTAAGACATTTTGAGTCATCTGAATATGGTATGAGATGGGGATCACATTCATTCTTTTGCATGTGGATATCCAGTTGTCCCCGTACCATTTGTTGAAGGCTATTCTTTCTCTACTGAATTGTCTTGGCACCTTTATTAAATGTGGGGGTTTATTTCTGTACAATCAATCCTAATCTGCTGATTTATGTGCCTAACCTTATGTCAATGCCACAAGCTCTAATTTACTGTTGCTTTGCATTAAGTTTTGAAATTGGGACCTGTGGGGCCTCCAACTTTGTTCTTTTTCAAGATTGTTTTGGCTATTATGGGTCCCTCACATTTCCATATGTATTTTAAGATCTGCAAAAAAAAAAAAAAAAAAAAGCTAGAAGGGATTTAACAGAGGTTGTGCTGAATCTATAGATTAATTAATTTGGGGAATACGTCATCTTAACAATAGTTAAGTCTTCCAGTGATGAACACAGGAGATCTTTCCATTTATTTAGGCCTATAATTTCTTCAAAAAATGTTTGATAATTTTCAGTGAACAACTCTTGCAGTTCCTTTGCTAAATTTATTCCTAAGTATTTTATTCTTTTTGATGCTATCATAAATGAAACTGTTTTCTTAATTTCATTTAGATTTTTCACTGCTAGTGTACAATTTCTGTATGATGACCTTTTGTCCTGAAACCTTGCTAATAGACAAGCTTTAATTTGCATGTGTGTGGATTCCTTAGGATTTTTCTATATTTAAGATCATGTCATCAGAAAATAGAGATAGTTTTGCATCTTCCTTTACTGGATAACTTTTATTTTTTATTCTTCTCTAGTTGGCCTACTAGGAACTCCAGTACAATGTTGAATAGGAGTGACAAGAGTGGATTTCCTTGTCTTGTTCCTGATTTTAGAGAGAAAGATTTCAGTCCTTTACCATCAAGTATATTGTTGACTCTGGATTTTCCACTGAGGTTGAGAAATTTCCCTTCCATTCTTAGTTTTTTTTCACATAAAATAGCATTAGATTTTGTCAAATGCCTCTTTTGTATCTGCTTAATAATGTGGGTTTTGTTCTTTAGTCTATTCACACAGTATATTACATTACAATGGTCCTCCCTCATTAGCAGTTTTGCTTTCTGTGGTTTCAGTTACCTGTGGTATAGTACACTAACGTATTTTGAGAGCAATCACATTCACTTAACTTTTATTATGGTCTATTGTTATAATTGTTATCTCTTATGATATCTAATTTATAAATTAAACTTTATCACAGGTATGTATGTATAGGAAAAAACAGAATCCATAGGGTTTAGTACTAACCATGGTTTCAGGCATCCACTGGGGGTCTTGGAATGCATCCTCCTCAAATTTGAGGAGGGGAGTACTGTAATTGATTTTTATAGGTTGAAAAATACATACTCTGTTTTAGAATTCTGTAAGTTATACAGAACAACACTTAAAAGAGTTATTGTAAATATAGAGCAAAATAACTGGCATGAAAGCCTACTTCCTACTTAAGACAGAAGAGTGTCCCCTAGATTTCTGTGTGACAGTATGAATGGTTCAAGGATATCTGTTTCAGGTATTGCTTTGTATGTTTTACTATTTCATCCATATTTTCTGTTCCCATCCACTATAAATAAAGCTAACAAGGAGGAAACTGAAGTAGACAAAGAATTGAGAAAGAGGTTGTGACTAACAAACTACATTATCAACTCCTAATTCACTGACAATAAATGCTAATATGAATCATTGATAGCAATCTTAATGTGAGTAATACATTAGTAGTATTGGCAATAAAACATGTCCCTTTTTGGAAGGATAGATGGAAAACACATTAGGTTGGTGCAAAAGTAACCGCAGTTATTGCCATTAATAAGTAAAAAGGAGAGTAAAGACAGAAAAGGGTAAGCAGTAGTACAGCTAAAAATGGAGAAATGATAATAGCTGTAATGAACCACAAAATGATGCTGTGGTCAACAATGGACCACATATGTAATGATAGTCCCATACGATTATAATATTGTATTTTTACTGTACTTTTTCTATGTTTAGACATACAAATAATTAACACTGTGTTACAAATGCCTACATACTCAGCATGGTAGCATACTCAGTATGATAGCATGCTGTACAGTTTGTAGCCTAGGAATAATAAGCTATATCATACAACCTAGGTGTGGAGTAGGCTATACATCTAGGTTTGTGCATGTATACAATATGATGTTCACACAACAATGAAATTCCCAAACAACAGATTTCTCAGAATTAATTCCTGTCATTAAGTAATGCATGACTTTAATCCCAGCTAAAATCTATCCTTCTCACGAGGGAAGCACTTCCTGCTCCTGACCTCCTTCTCCATCAAGCCCTAAATACATGGTTGATAGGAACTTGGAATTCAACTGCAAACTGACAACTGTTACCAAAATTTTTCTCTTCTATTCACAGAGTGTATAACTTTTTCTTTCCTTTCTTGCATGAAAAAGCTTTCATGTAGACTCGTTTAAGATACAGAAGAGGCTGGGTGCAGTAGCTTACACCTGTAATCCCAGCACTTTGGGAGGCCGAGGCAGATGGATTGCTTGAGGTCAGGAGTTCGAGACCAGCCTGGCCGACATGGTGAAACCCCATCTCTACTAAAAATACAAAAATTAGCTGGACTTGGTGGCGGGCGCCTGTAATCCCAGCTACTCAGGAGGCTGAGGCAGGAGAATCACTTGAACCTGGGAGGTGGAGGTTGCAGTGAGCCAAGATGGCGCCACTGCACTCAAGCCTGGGCAACACAGTGAGACTCTGTCTCAAAAAAAAAAAAAAAATACAGAACAGTTTGGTAATTAAAACTGGGTTACACAAAGCCTTCTGTGTGTGTGTGTGCACATGTATATATGTGTATATTTTTCTTATCTATGTATATAGCTTTTCTTATATAATAGAAATGCTCCCTTGAAAAATATTTGAAAAGTATGAATGGACAGCCTACTATGTGCAATTGCTATGTAATATGGTCATTTACACACCACACACCCTATCCTTAATAGGCAGTCAATTTCTTAAGGATGGGATCCACACATGACACTTAATATTTTGTCTTGTGTACGTGGTAGCAGAAAAAAATATTTTCTGAGAAAACTAAATGAGATTTGGGTTCTAATTCGCCTTCCATCACTTCTTAGCCATGTGACCATGAAAAGACAGTTAAAACTTTGGGTCACAAGTCTATCATCTGTAATCCAGGAAAACTGTGCTGGGATTTCTGGGCCTATGATTAAAGGGAGGGCCAGCCATGTCCTAGAGTTTCTGGTGACCCTCTTCCAAAGTAGCAAGACACTTCACCTATGAGCAGACAAAAGAAGAGACAGGGTTTAAACTAGCCCATATAGTACATATGAGTGAATTAGAAAAAAGGTCCCTCTTCCTCTAGGTCAATGAAGCTCCATGCCAAGGCACGCGGCACAGTGAATAGAGCACAGCTAGGTTTCAGCAGTACACAGCTCTCAGTGTAGCACCCTTGTGGCAACCTCATAATTATCAGAGGGCCTGGAGATGCTGGTGCCAACAGAGGCACAGAGTAGCCATGGCATGGCAGCACTACTGGGCAGATCTAACAGGATCTTTTTCCTACCCTCCTTTGAAACCCACTGCATGCTATGAACCAGATTACCCTGGGGGAAGCAAGCTAAATATACACCAGATAAAAATATAGGCCAGGCGCAGTGGCTCACACCTGTAATTCCAGCAATCTGGGAGGACAAGGCGGGTGGATCACGAGGTCAAGAGATTGAGACCATTCTAGCCAACATGGTGAAACCCCGTCTCTACTAAAAATACAAGAATTAGCTGGGCGTGGTAGCATGCGCCTGTAGTCCCAGCTACTAGTGAGGCTGAGGCAGGAGAATCGCTTGAACCCGGGAGGCAGAGGTTGCAGTGAGATGAGATTATGCCACTGCACTCCAGCCTGGCGACAGAGCAAGACTCCGTCCAAAATAAAAATAAACCCAGTGTGGGTCTTAGAAAGACTCTAAGTGGCATACTCAGTGGAGTTTTTTGGGCGGGCTCCACTGGGAAAGCCGAGAATTGCCTGTTCTGCAATGAGGATGAGGATGCAAGGAAAGAAGATCAGGCCTCCCCTAGTCACTGAACATAATAAAGAGAGATGAGTGATATTTTTAAACAAAAACTGCCTAGTAAATTCTCGGGTTCCACAAATTACTTTCTGTTAACTTAGATTGTTAACTAAACTGGTTGGTTTAATCTCTGAAATATTTTTAATATAAATAATATGTTAAAGACTATCACTTTTCCCCATCTTTGCTGAGCCACCACCATCTTTTGGTAGAACTATTACAATAGCTTCCTGACTGGTCTTCTTCCTTCCCTCTTGCTATCTTACAATCAAGTCTCCACTTTTACCTACATCAATCACATCCCATGACTCCCCTGCTATAAATTTCTTTCATGCAGAGCTTTTCAACACAGTAGAAGTCATTATTTCAAACCTCAGGTCTGTTCCAACTATATCCATGGAAGCTCTGGTTCATCCAGCCACTTTCAGACTCAGATGAGATGCCACATCACTGGACATGCGATCTGGCTTCCCTAGCAGCTGCCCAAGGGTTGTGCCAACACCTGCCCAAATTGTGGTAATGCCCCAAGGATGAACTTTGACCAGTAAAAGACAAACATATTGGGCTGTTCCAAAAGGTGGTAGTTTCACATGGTCTGGCTAGAAGATGCACCATGTACAAGACAACCAGCTCAGATTTTCTGCAAGGTTAAGGTTCCCTTGGTAATATCATTCATCTTTCCTTGCCTCACTTCCCTTTTTCTTTCATTCCTGCTGGTCTTGGTTAGTACCACTCAATAAAATGTTAGGACCCGGGCTTTACTTCCAGCTCTGTTTAATAAGAAAATAGGGCCAAAACCCTAGAAGGTAGGTAAAATGTACCTTCTTTGTATTCTTAAAATACCCAAACATCTCCTCTACAATAGCACACATTCTGGAGTTGGACAGGTAATAGTTTTGTGTCCTTAGGCAGAGTTATTTCATCTCTCTGAGCCTTGTTTTCTTCATCTGTAAAATGAGGATTATAACAGAACATACCTGGATAACAGAAGCTACTAAGATAATCAATGCAATGTAAATTATGCCAGGTACATGAGAAATACTCAATAAGACAGCCATTATTATGATTATGTGTTATCTATCCTTGTATTTCTAGTGCTTAACATAACATCTACAATACAGTAAGCAGATATGTCTAATGCCGAAAATATTTACATACTACATTTCCCTATATTTTAAGAATGCCTACTAGGTAGCAAAGTTTGAGAGATCTGTATGGTTTCAATACGAAAGACTAAGGAGTCTGTAAAAACAAATTAAATATATACATGAATGCTTTCTGAAAAATGTTTCTTTACTGCAAGTTAAAATTAAGTTCATTTTACATGTGTGTTTTCCCTAACTTATCAGGAAAAACAATCAAGTCAAAAGTACAGATGTAGCCAGCTTTAGGCACAGTTATATTCCCAAGAGGATGTGTACAAATCAAAGTTCTGCAAATCAAACCGTATTTCGTATGCATTAAGGAAAAATCACACTTAAAATCACTTCAACAGAGAATGCTTTTGTAAATTGTTTTTGTAAGTGAATACTTCTTCACATCCATTAAATAGGTTGACTCATAAATTTTATCTTAGATTTTTATACAGAAGAAAATATAACCATTGATAATATTAAGTAACAGTGTTGATCATTATAGCTATGATATTTATTTCCTCTAGTAAAGCAAACTAAATAGAAATGTTTCCTTCATAAAGTGTTAAAAAGGAAGATCCCAAGAAATAAAATTATTAGTATTATGAAATTAGAAAGAAAATAAAAACATTTATATATATTTATGCAGCCTTTTGTGGATATGTATGCATACATGTACTATGCACATGTAAAGCCCACACATAAAAAAAGAGAAAGAAAATGAATCAGAATGCTCATATCTGTACGGTAATTTAACAGGTGACTTTTACTGTTCTTATTATGCTTTTCTTTATTTTCAAAATTTCTGCAGTGCACATGTATTACTGTTTAGGGTCTCAAAAAATAGTCTTTTCAAAAAAAAAATGAATCACTCATTTCTGATAGTTTGAATTTTACTAAAAAGTTGGACGAATCACCAGGCTTCACTCTCAGAAAGTCCTTTCACGGAAAATATTTCTTGGTTCATCTGGAACTAATGGCTTCAAGAAAGCAATATTGATATTTCTGACAATCACTTTTATGATCTCCAGTATTCCTGATGGTCAAGCCACATTCCTACCTCTCTGACTCTACTGACAGTATAAAGGCATTGCTCTACTTCCTGTAAGTATAAAAGGTAAACTCTGTGTCCTCAAGAGTAGTTATGCAATGCTCTTAGACAGAATTCCAGAAGTGTGTATCTCTTACAGGAAGACGCACAATTTTCTAGGCAAGAGTTGGCAACCTCAAAGGATTCCTCTTCACAATGGGAGTCTGTGCCTTTGGCTTTCACTGCAAAATACTTACTCTCAATTAGAGGCTTATCATACAGGTAAGAAATGGTTTGTGCAGCTTACTAACTGGAAAGCCTGACTTTCTAGTAAATACTCCACTCTGCAGGTAATGTATTAAGATCTAGCTTCTTTTCTCTTCTCCCTTTGCCAGACTTTTTACTTTAAGCCACATTTCAAGCATCTATAATTATTCTCCTTACTCTAGAAGACATGATATAGGAAAACAAACTATAATGTTTCTCCCAGAAATCATAAGAAAACACACGAAAAATTACTTTCTTAAATCCAACAATTGTACTGGGTATTGCCCATTATCTTTAAAGTTTTGAATCAAAATGCTTCTGGACAGTGAACATATTACAAAAGAAAATGCGACTCAGTATTTAACCTCTTCCATTTCAATGTTTTGCGAGTGTCTCGTTTTTTCAAACTTTTGATAGAGTTTATTTGTAGCACTAACTTAACATACTAACAGCAGAGTCCACAGCATCCAAAATACAGACACATTTATACGCTCAGAGTTGTTTTGTTTCCAGATCAACATAATTAATCATTAGGGAAATGCAAATCAAAATCAGAATGAGATGCCACTTCACACCCATTAAGATGGCTATTATCAAAAAAAAAAAGATAACGAGTATTGGTAAAGATCTAAACAAACTGGAACTTGTGCATGGCTGATGGGAGTATAAAATGGTGCTGCTGCTGGGGAAGAAGTTTGTTCATTCCTCAAAAAGTTAAACATGGAATTACCATATGATATACCCAAAAGAACTAAAATGACTCAGATAATTTATACATTATAATTCATTGCAGCATTATTCATAATAGCCAAAAAGTGGAAACAACCTAAACGTCCATCAACAGATGAATTTGGATAAAGAAAATGTGGTAGTTCAACATCACTGATGATTAGAGAAATACAAATCAAAACCACAATGAGATACCATCTCACGCCAGTCAGAATGGTGATTACTAAAAAGTCAAGAAACAACAGATGCTGGTAAGGCTGTGGAGAAATAGGAAAACTTTTACACTGTTGGTGGAAATGTAAATTAGTTCAACCACTGTGGAAGACAGTGTGGTGATTCCTCAAGGATCTAGAACCAGAAATACCATTTGACCCAACAATGCCATTACTGGATATATACCCAAAGGAATATAAATCATTCGACTATAAAGATATATGAAACATATGTTTATTGCAGCACTATTTACAATAGCAAAGACATGGACCCAAACCAAATGCCCATCAATGATAGACTGGATAAAGAAAATGTAGTACATATACACCATGGAATACTATTCAGCCATAAAAAGGAATGAGATCATGTCCTTTGCAGGGACATGGATGAGGCTAGAAGCCATCATCCTCAGCAAACTAACACAGGAACAGAAAACCAAACACTGCATGTCCTCACTCATAATTGGGAGCTGAACAGTGAGAACACATAGACACAGAAAGGGGAACAACACACACCAGGGCCTGTTGGAGTCAGGAAGGGAGGGAGAACATCAGGACAAATAGCTAATGCATGCCGGGCTTAAAACCTAGATGACAGGCTGAGCGTTATGGCTCATGCCTGTAATCCCAACACTTTGGGAGGCCAAGGTGGGCAGATCACGAGGTCAGGAGTTCGAGACCAGCCTGGCTAACATAGTGAAACCCTCTCTCTACCAAAAATACAAAAATTAGCTGGGTGTGGTGGCATCCACTTGTAGTCCCAGCTACTCGGGAGGCTGAGGCAAAAGAATCACTTGAACCCAGGAAGCAGAGGTTGCAGTGAGCTGAGATCACACCACTGCACTCCAGCCTGGGTGACAGAGCAAGACTCCAACTCAATTAAAAACAAACAAACAAACAAAAAACTAGATGACAGGTTGGTAGGTGCAGCAAACCACCATGGCACGCTTATATCTATGTAAAAAACCTGCACATTCTACACATGTATCCTGGAACTTAAATAAAAATTAAAAAAAGAAAATGTGGGATGTGTGTATACTGATAAACCAATATACACACACAGCCCCCCACCCCACACAGTATGGATCAACCCTTCATATACTACATGAAAGAAGCCAATAACATAAGGACAAATATTGTACGATTCCATTTATATGAGGTATTAGACCAGGCAAATCCACAGAGACAGAAAGGAGAATAGAGGTTACTAGGGGTGAGGGAGATGAGAGATGGGAGTTAGTGTTTAATGAGTACAGAGCTTCTGCTCGGGATGATGAAAATGTTCCAGAAATGCACAGTGCTGATAAATGTTGTTGTGAATGCACATAATGCCACTGCATTGTATATACTTAAAAAAACGGTTAAAGTGGTAAATTGAAAAGAAATATAACTGGCTATTTAAAGAAAAATAACAACAATGTAGTGTAAGTTTACAACACACATAAAAGTAAAATGTGTAACAATAACAGCACATAGATTGGGAGGAGAGAAACAGAAGTGCACTATTATTAAGTTCTTATACTTTAAGTGACATGGTGTAATATCACTTGAGAGTAGTCTGTGATCAGTCAAACATACATACTGTAAACCCTAAAGCAATCAATAAAATTAAAAAAAAAAGAAAGATGGCTAACAAGCCAACAAATGAGTGAAAATGGAACCATGAAATATCAAGAATCAAAAATGTAGCTTGATCCAAAGATTTCTAAGAAAATTCATGGTAAAGGGCAGGAAATATTTTTTATCACCCAGTGAAAGATTAGTTTATTAAAACCTACTCAGAAGCATAATTAAATCAATGAAAATAAATAGTGACAGCACTTACTGCCCAGACCGGTGATGTAAAACCCAGAATTGCAGCCTTAGCTCCATCAGCAACATAAGGAATAATATTTTCTCCCAGGCGCGTATCTCTGAACAATGCTCTAAGGATATTTAAAGCATGAACCTAAAACAAGAAGTTCAAAATTAGTTGTGGGTTGAAAACCATGGCTAATTCTAAATCTACACATATCCAATAGTACAGCTTCAAAACAAAAAATTTACTGAATTACAAGAAATGGATAATCCGCAAATGAAATAGCAGATTTAATAAAACACATCCAGTAGCTGATAAACCATTTTACAAAAAATTAGTAAGATTCAAACAATGCTATAAAAAAGTTTGATCCAATGGACATATGTAGAAGCCTGCACCTAAAATACAGAGACAACACATTCTTTTCGAGCACACATGAAACATTTATTTTCTAAAATCCCTCATACCTAGCCACAAATAAAGTCTCAACAAATACCAAGTAATTAATAACTTATAGATTATGCTCTGATCACCATGGAATTAAGAAACTTTAAAAAAAACTTTATTTTTTATTTTATTTTATTTTATTAGATGGAGTTTCACTCTTGTCGCCCAGGCTGGAACAGAATGGCACAGTCTCGGCTCACTACAACCTCCACCTCCCAGGTTCAAGCGATTCTCCTGCCTCAGCCTCCCGAGTAGCTGCGATTACAGATATGTGCCACCACGGCCGGCTAAGTTTTGTATAATTAGTAGAGACAGGGTTTCAACATGTTGGCCAGGCTGGTCTTGAACTCCTGATCTCAGGTGATCCACCTGCCTTGGCCTCCCAAAGTGATGGCATTATAGGTGTGAGCCAGCGCACCCGGCCTAAAAAAATGCTTAAAATCGGCACATTTTCAAGCACATTAAACACTGGTCAAATTTTTTTTTTTAAATATTTTGAAGACGCTACCTACATATCAATACTTGTAGGATGCAGCTTAAGTGAAATTCAAAAAAAAATGTACATCTCAAATGCTTCTATTTTTTTAAATGACTAGAATGATTGTGGTAAGTGACGAATTAAGTCAAGAGAAAATAAGTCAACAATAAACTTGAAACACAGAAAGAAAATAAAAATTTAGAGCAGAAACTTTTAAAATAGCAAAAACACAACTAAGAGCATTAACAAACCCAAAAGCTGATTCTCTGAAACAGAAATAAACCCCTGACATGACTAACCAAGAAGAGAGAAGAGAAATAAGGCACAAATAAAAAATATTATCAAAGAGTTTGAAGCTACAATGAGCTAAGACTGTACCACTCCACTCAAGCCTGAGTGACAGAACAAGATCCCGTCTCTAAAATAAAAAAATAATAATAATGTATGGTCTCATTTATGTAAAACTCAAAAAAAAGATAAAACTAAAACTAGAGTATTGGAAGTTAGGCTAGTGGTTACTCTTGGAGAGAAGGATGTGGACTGGAAGAGAGCAAGAGGGGGCTTTCAGTTGCTAGAAATGTTCTATTTCTTGATGGCTGCACAAATGTGTTCACTTTGTGAAACTGTACTGAGGTACACATATGGTTTGTACACTTGTCTGTATATGTACTATAATTCCATCAAAAGATGCATATTTAAAAAGACAGGACAGGCACAGCACAAAAAGGAAAACCACAGGCCAGTCTCACTCACAAAACCAGTGAGATATGCAAGAATGCAAAGATAAATTGAAAAATCAATACAATTCATGACATCTGCATTTTCTAGAAGAAAACATATTTATCTAAAAAGATGCAAAAAATATTCAATAAAATTCAATTTCCTTAATAAGATACTGGGTAGATTAAAAATTGCAGCAGATTGATCAGAAACAACATAAGGATGCCTGCTATCTCTCTTTCTATACCAAACTTTACTACAGGTTCCAGCAGCAAAGTACAATAAAAACTGTTTTGAAAAAACTAAAAAATAGAAAGTTAAAACAAACTTAGCATTATTTGTCAAAGGTATGATTATCCATAAAACAAATCCAAAAGAATTTACAGGTAAGTCATTTGCTGTGTTACAGCAATTCTGATAGGCTGCTGAATACAAGCACAATTATAACCCAAAAATTAACTGCATTCTTCTCAAACAGCAACAGATAATATAATCTTTTAAAAGTACCATTCATAATTGCAAAAAAAAAGACATTAGAAATAAATCTCAAAAATAATCTATAAGACGTTTATGGGCCAGGCATGGTGGCTCAAGCCTGTGATCCCAGCACTTTGGGAAGCTGAAGTAGGTGGATCACCTGAGGTCAGGAGTTCAAAACCAGCCCGGCCAACATGGTGAAATCCTGTCTCTACTAAAAATAAAAAAATTAGCTGGGCGTGGTGGTGCACGCCTGTAATCCCGGCTACTCAGGAGGCTGAGGCAGGAGGATTGCTTGAACCCAGGAGGCGGAGGTTGCAGTGAGCCAAGATTGCACCATTGCACTCGAACCTGGGCAACAAAAGCGAAACTCCAACTCCAAAAAAAAAAAAAAAAAAAAAAAAAAAAAAAAGAGAGACTTTTATGGGAATTAGTTTAAAAAATAATAAATGACATTAAATGATCTGAATAAATGGAGAAATAAGCCATGCTCATGGAAGATTCAATACTTAAAAAGATAATTTTTCCCAAATAAATCAATACATTTAAATTCTAACCAAAATTCCAAAAGGGCTTTTTATTGAGTTTAACAAGCTAATTCTAAAATTTTTATGGAACAGCAATAGGACAAACATACCCAAGGTCATTCTGAAGGGAAAACAAAAAAAGAGAGATTCACCTTGCCAGATATTCTAACTTTTTATAAAGACATAATAATTAAACTAGTGGTTTTAGGCCAGGTGTGGTGGCTCACGCCTGTAATCCCAGCACTTTGGGAGGCCTTAGCGGGCAGATCACTTGAGGTCAGGAGTTCAAGACCAGTCTGGCCAACGTGGTGAAACCCCATCTCTACTAAAAATACAAAAATTAGCTGGGAGTGGTGGCACATGCCTGTAATCCCAGCTACTCAGGAGGCTGAGGTGGGAGAATAGCTTGAACCCAGGTGGTGAAGGTTGCAGTGAGCCGAGATCACACCACTGCACTCCAGCCTGGGTGACAGAGAGAGACTCCATCTCAAAAAAGTTGAAACAAAAATAAAACTGTGGTTTTGCTCCAAAGATAGATTAATAGACAGCACAGAAACAGAACCACCTATCTATGAAAACACATAACAGACGCAGTATAAATCAAGAAGAAAAGGATGTGTTATAACAGAAATGTCTCTGTATTAGTTATCCAAATGGCAAACATTAAATTATTTTATTTTACACTAAACAAAGACAAATTACAGGTAATATAAAGACTTGCACGCACTCCAGCCTGGGTGACAGAGCAAGATCCTATCAGTAAAAAATAATAATATGGTTTCATTTACATAAAATTATGACAAGTAAAACTTGAAAACTTTTAAAAGAAAATATAAAATATCTTTCTCAGTCAGGTGTGGTGGCTCACGCCGGTAATCCCAGCACTTTGGGAGGCCAAGGCGGGAGAATCACCTGAGGTCAGGAGTTCGAGACTAGCCTGGTCAACATGGCAAAACCTCGTCTCTACTAAAAATATAAAAATTATCAGGGCATGGTGGCAGAAGTCTATAATGCCAGTTACTCAGGAGGCTGAGGCAGGAGAATCGCTTGAACCTGGAAGGCAGAGGTTGCAGTGAGCTGAGATCGTGCCACTGCCCTCCAGCCTAGGCCACAGAGTGAGACCTCGTCTCAAAAAAAAAAAAAAAAAAGAAAGAAAGAAAAAGAAAAAAGAAAGAAAATATAAAATGTCTTTCCCATCTTGGGGTATAATTTCTGAAATAAGATCCAAATGTACAACCATAAAGGAGAAAGCTGACCTATTCTATTTTATTAAAATTAAAAATATCTACATAATAATAGAGACCACAAAGTAAAAAGAGAAAACATAGTTTGGGAGAATATATATGTAATTCAAATAATCAAAAAGAAATCAATATCAAGAAAATATTTTTGAAACAACAATAAAAATCCAACTCCTACAAAACAAAAATGAAGGGACAAATAACCAATATTAAAGTAAGCAAAGTCTTTCAACAGACAACTTTCATATATAAACCAAAAGGCTAATAAACATATGAAAAGATGTTAAAGCTAACTAGTAATAAGAAAGATGCAAAATAAAACTAGAAAACACCATTTCACACTAAGCAGAAAGTCAAAAACTGTAAAAGTCTGATAATACAAAGGTGTTGATAAGCAATGGAAACTCTTATACTCTGCTGGCAGGAATATAAATTAGTTCAACCACTTTGGAGACAACATAACAGCATCAGATTGAATATGTGTGTACCCTACAACCCTGCAATTCTACTTCTAGGTATATAACCTGGAGAAACACTCACGTGTGTAAGGAGACACACAAGAATGTTTGTTTCAGCATTGTTTGTAATAGAAGAAAACGGGAAACAACCTAAATGTCCATTCACAGAAGGGATGAAATGAAATAGAATAAAATACTGTTCAGAAATGAAAGTGAACAGGGGCTGAACAGGAGCTTACTAATCTTAAAATATAATGTTGATTGACAAAAGCAAAGTATAAAAAGTGTCGAAAACAACATTCATGTAAAAGGAGATAAAAGTATGATGAAAATGCTTGGGAATGATAGTCACTAATTTGGGTTAGTGATTATAACTGAGGAGGAATAAACGGGAATGAGATGTGGAAGAATCCACAGCATAACTAACGGTCTCTGTAATGTTTAATTTTTTAAACTGGAACTGGTTTCAAATATGTTCATTATTCACTATACATTTCTGTATACTGAAATATTTCAAAGATACATAATAAAAATAATAAAGAAATGAACCCTGGGAGGGGAGAAGGAAAGCAAATTATCAACTAAAAAAGCTTAGAAGACTGGTCAGAGACAAAATTTTTAAATCTCACCAATTTCATAAAAATGATCACTAAAATGCCATTAATCACCTTGAAGTAGAGTAGGGCAATAATTATCCAGCACTCGTTAAAACCAAGCCCCATTATTTTTAGATGTTCTTATAAAAATAGCACAGGTAGAGCATCCCAAATCCAAAAATCTGAAATCAAAAAAGCTCCAAAATCTGAAACTTTTTAAAGCACGGACATGACATTCTAAGGAAATGCTAATTGGAGCATTTTAGATTTTCAGATTAGAGATGCTGACCTGTTCAGTATAATGCAAATATGCCAAAATAATAAAAAAAAAAACTGAACTCTGAAACACTTCTGGTCCCCAGCATTTCAGATAAAAGATACTCAACATGTACTTTTTAAAAGTGATAGTCTAGGAAAATAGAACCAATTACATTTTTTTCACATTTCACTGAAAAATGTCTTGAAGTGATCATTTTTGAATGGTGATTAACAACATTTCAGTCAATTTTTTAAAGAAATAAAGACATTTCATATCTATGGGTACTGGCCACTATGTGCCATATGACTATGTTCCATATGACTGTGGAAAAGAATGGGGATTCTTTCCCACAGTCCACATTCTGGCCCATGGGCTCCCTTTATCTAACACTTTGCCAATATCCAATAAACATAAAATCCCCTTTCTTTTCCACAGTCCTCATTCTGGCCTGTGGGCTCTCTTTAACACCTCCCACAGGTTCTGAAATAAAATCATATGTACTTATCGTACTTGATTGTAAACTTCAGCTCTCAATCTGTTCCCTGACCTAGCATGGCCCTTTACAGTTGGGTAGGAGTGTCCTACTATAGGCTGGGCATGGTGGCTCACACCTGTAATCCTAGCACTTTGGAAGGCCAAGGCAGGCAGATCCCTGAGGTCAGGAGTTCGAGACCAACCTGGCCAACAGGTGATTGGGCCTGGTCTCAAACTCCTGACCTCAGCTGATTTGCCAGGCATGGCGGCCCATGCCTGTAATTCCAGCTACTGAGGAGGCTGAGGCATGGGAATCGCTTGAACCCAGGAGGCGGAGGTTGCAGTGAGCCACGATCGCACCACTGCACTCCAGCATGAGCAACAGAGTGAGACTCTGTCTCAAAAAACAAACAAACCAAAAAGGAGTGTCCTACTATGAAGCATTAACTGAGGAAGTCCAGACTATAACGTACAAGCAGTACTTGATAGTTATTAATATTTACTCCCTAGTGGTGAAGTGGAGCTATGAGGAGTGCTTTAACTTCATATATGTAGGTAGTGACTAAAAGGAACTAAATGCTAGTAAAATATGAACACCCCAAAAGGTAGATACCATATTTAAAGGAAATTTTCAACTGCTGAGTTACAAAATGTACATCAACGCAAAGAAGCACACATGAAATTCTAAAGTGCTAGCATATGCACTTTCAAATTCATAGATGCAACAGTATTATAAAATATCTTATATAAGCTGGATGTTTTCACCAGAGTTTAAAAATTGTTTGCTTTGATTAATATATTCAACTAAAGCAACGGTTTATTTTGTGGATGGTAAAGACAAAAAAAAAAGAAGGAGAGAAAAACTATTCAAACAAGCTTCAAATGTCTGTCCAATGTTCAAGAGTTCTTTATCTCCAGCAGAAACTTTTTGTTAAAAAATAAAGCAAAGATTTAAAACAACTGCAGGCGGCTGAGGCAGAAGAATTGCTTGAACCTGGGAGGCGAAGGTTGCAGTGAGCTGAGATCGCGCCACTGTACTCCAGCCTGGGTAACAAGACGGTAACAGCCGTCTTGAAAAAAGTGAAAAACAAAACAAAACAAAAAACAACACTGGAGGGTTTGTGTATTTCCATGATTACCTGGGGGACTGTACTCTGTATGTCATCTGTAGGCCCAGCCAAAGAGATTAACTCTTTCATTGTTATTTTCAACAAATCCATTCTGCCTTTCTTTGGTTCAGATGCCAACAGTGCCTATGGAAAAAGAATGCAAAAATTAACAGGGTTCTTAGTTTACATATACTTGTTTGCTGCTTCCCTGGATCAATCCCAAAATGCAAAATCCCCTTAATAAAAACATGTGGTTATCAAAGAAAGTTAATTAAGCCATGTGGCCGTGGGCAAGTGGTTTAACCTCACAGTTGAACCTACAGATTCTTCATCGCTAAATTTAGGTGAAGGTGAAATCATGTCATCTCTAAGGTCACTTCCACTTTGCTCATTAAATTTTATAATTCTAAAAGGCCAAAAAATGGCTCTTATTGACAACTCCTTAAGAATCCTAAGTAGGTGGCAGCTCTGATAAAATAAACAAATCAGTTTCAGTAACAAATTTATCTAACAAGAAAATTCTCTTTACTTAAAAAGCAAAAAATCTCTGGATTAAAATTCTTGTAAGAATGTTAAGCCTCCCTGGAGATGAAGCAGTTAGTTAATTCTTCACAAAAGAATCATTACTTGGAGGACTAATCAAATCAAAGCATTTGAAACTCCATGGAACAAAAAGAAATACTGCAAACACCAAAGAGGTCCTATATTTGAAATTTTCAGTAGCTTCTTACTTACTTTGTATCTAACACTTTGCCGATGTCCAATAAACATAAAAATAGGGTATTAAGCCACTTGAGGCAATAAAAAGGAATGAGGTACTAATATATATTACAACATGGATGAACTCTGAAAACATTACGATAAGTGAAAGAAGCCACACACAAAAGATCGTATACTGTATGATTCCATATATATGAAATGTCCAGAAAGGGCAAATGTATAGATCTGGAAGGTAGATTAGTGATTGCCTAGGGCTGAGTGGCAGGGGTAGAGAGAAATGGGAAGTGACTGCTAATGAGTATGGGAGGTTTCATGGGTTGATGTTCTAAAACTAAATAATGGTTGTACACCTCTGTGAATATACTGAAAACCACTGAATTGTACACTTTAAAAGGGTGACTATATAGTATGTGAATTACATCTCAATAAAGCTGTTAAAAAATGTCACTTTAGTCACATTCCCAGACTCCCTTTCTCCATGTCTACTTTTCATGTTTGTAGCTACTGGCTCTCAAGAGTGAAAGTTACAAGTTAGTTAGCTTCTTCTGAAGCATTTGAAAACTACAGAAGAGGAAAATAAAGACATACAAAAAATAGTTTGATTTAGAAGAAATTTCTCATAGTTTATTTAGGCTCAGATAACATATATTTTTTAAATGACTATTCAAAAAAACTTTATGTCTATATTGAAAATATTTTTTAATCTGTCTACACAAAAGGTAAACTCACAAACTAAGTAGACAGTTCTTTTCCATAGCTAACACTAAGCAGATTTCCACCAAAACAGGAATATAACTTTATTAGTAAGTCACGCTAAGAGAAATGAAGACTCTCTTTAAGCAGATTTTTAAAAAAAAATTTAGACTTCATTCAACTAAAAAAAAGCTACATTCAATTACTAAAATGACTTCAGGGAACCACGGCTTTTTTCTCCCAAAGAGCTAGGTAAAGTTATGGCATTCTTGCCAAGGCTAGGGTAAGAAAGTACACCTACTGATTACTCATTATGACCAATACTTAGTATAAGTTGGGCACCAGAGCTGAAAGAAGCACACTGCACAAATATGCAGTGAGACCTTGATCCTGTCTTAACATTTGATCTCAGACAGACAAATGACACGTAAAAACACAAGGTCAGAGTGAATTAGAGGCAGGAGAATGAAACACACTGATACAGAATGGGTCAGATCAAATAAAAGTTGATTTCTGAAGGTCACCAAAATCCATTCAGCAGAACTACTTCAATGATCTCTGTCAACAACCTCTGCAACTGATGCCCACTGTCACCAAAAAATCATAAAGGGATTTTAGGAATTTGAGGGAGGAGTAAGAAAGATAAGGAAAAAATGTAGGGGCATGAAAAAAATCAGAGACTTCATTCCATTTATTTTCAGTGCTTTTATTATACCACCATATTCCCGGATTTAATCTTACTATATATTAACCAAAGGTCTTTCAGGATGGGGTCTGATTTAGTATTGTGAAGACACTGGTTTTTATTCTTTGGGTTCATGAAGGTAACAGTCTTAATTTCTAAATAAAATATTTTCCCATCAATAGCCATATCTAAATGTGCTGATATGAAGCAATCTTTAAGGTATAATACTAAGTGAAATCAAAGAGCAAGCAGTGTGTATGTTTTCATATGTGTTCAAAAGGAAAACGGACTCGCACACACATATTCTCATATGCAGAGAGGTTCGGGAGTCAGGCTGCCTGGGCTCAAGTCTTAACTCAGTTCTTACTGTCTCTGTGGCCTTTGGTAAGTCACTTAACGTACCTAAACCCCAGTCTCTTCATCTAGAATATATGGATGATAATAGGGTACAGGGAAGGAGTTAATGAGGTGAAATAACCACTAATAAATGTCAGCTACTATTATGATCATGATTATTTTATGGATGGACGTTTTATAGGAGAATTGAAAAGAAAATGTTAACACTGGTTGCCTACAGAGAGTATTGAAGGTCTTGAGATGAAAGGAAGACTATTTTTAAAAAAAAATACAGTGGGGTGGTGGGGTAACATGTGCACTTCCTGGAAGTGAGCAATGACTGTGCCACAGTGATGTCTGCCTACTTAATACACAGACAGAAATTTATACCACCCTCTGTTTATATTACAAGATTGACCTTTTAGAGGGTTTGTTCCAAGAACAGATCTTGTCACAGGAACACACCATCCCCACATTAAAACAAAGCCACAAATGCTATGGTGCTGAAAAGACAGAAATGTCCTTTATGTGTAATACGCTCACTCACACGTCAAACAGGTTAGGATACACTATCATCAAAAGACAAATATAAACAAACAGCTAGGGTCCTACAGATAAATACCTGTATGTAGAAAGGAATTCCAGCACTGCGCCTTGTAGCACAGAGTTTAGATGAAGGATCACTGCATTTAATTTCCTCTAAAACACTCCATAGCCACTGTTCTGGCAGCTTTTGCAGACTCACATTTGGGCACCTAAAAGGCATATATAATCAAATATTCGGAATTAGGTATCAAAGTTAAAAGTACAAACTATTGATGCACATTTACACTGTTAGTAAATAATAAATATCCTTATATTGAGTGGGGGTGAAACTAAAACATGTCTCATACTTTTCACCTACTTTCCTCTTTATTATGGGTCTTAAGATCTAAAGATTTCATTTCTAACAACTGCAGTGTTTAAAGCATGTGTCTTGTCTGCAAAATAAATTTTGATACATGGGTTTGCATCCACACTCAAAATATTCAGGAAAAGGTTGATCATGGTCTCACAGATATTTCATACTATACAACTCAAGATTTCCAACAAAGAGAATATAAGTTTATAGTTTACTATAATTTATGTTCTATGTTTATAGGGATTACACATATTCAAAGAAAACACATTTTAAACTGTATTTTAGTAATCATTTTCATCTCTCTCAAAATGAGGCCTACCACAAAATTTTCAACCAGATCCTCTGGAGAATTAAAGCAATTTATCTGGGAAGAGGCATAAACATTTTGAGGCGATTTGAACATTACATCAGTGAGCTTCTGCATTATTACATTAAGCGCTATCTTAGAGTGCTCAAGTACATTTAATTTTTATAAAATTTTTAAATGTATGCCCTACTAGACTGTATAACATTGCCCAAGGAATACCAAATTCAGTGGTAGGTAGACACAATTATCTTAGCAAGGTAGTACCTGGTTTTAACTGAAATTAATATATGAAAATTTACAGATAAAGTCCAAAGGAAAAACACTCTTTTTTAAGTTGAGGAAGAAAAGTTGCAGAAAGATAACTGATTTCCAATTTACAGTGAGAATTAGATCTCTTAGGAACATTGGGATTTTTTTTTCTTTATTCTAGTTTGGTGTAAAACAGATAACTTCAGTTACTGACTAAACATTCTAAATAGCAACTCAGATTCAGCTATATGTTTCACATAGAACAAAATATATAAATAAGACTACTTTAAAGGAGGCATTTTTTAAAGTTTGACATGGGCCTAAAAATATTATTTCAGTCATAAAAGTTACAATTACATCTCCCTACTACTAGCAGGCTCTGTGATTCTAAAGATTTCCTTTTAGCATATCTTAAAATCCATCACCTCACCCTTGCTTCTTCGACACTCCTGTCCTCAGCCACCAAAACCAGCTATCAAAACTCCCAACCACTAGATTAAAAAAGATTCAGAGACATAACAACCAAATGTAGTGTGTGAACCTTGCTTAGATCTTGATTTGAACAATGAAATGTAAAACAGACACTGTCAAGTAACAGAGGAAATTTATATACGTACTAGATAATAGATAACATCAAGAAATTCTTTATAAAATGTGCCACTGCACTGTGAACATGGAACAAAGTTTCCATATTTTTAGAGATGCATACTGAGTACATAGGAATAAAAATCACAAATCGGGGATGTGTTTTAGAATACTTCAGCAAACAACAATAAAAAGGGATAGATGAAGCAGTTGTGACTCAACTTTGATCACTATTGAATTTGGATGATGGGTAAAGGTCGCTTATTATTCTCTCTACTTTTAAATATATGTGATATACATATACACAAATACACACGTTTATGTGTTTGGAATTTTTCATAATGAAAATAATTGCCCCACACTTTTGTATTTTTAAGGATTGAGGTTACTTCCCAAGCACTAGATTTTATATCTTTTTAAATTAAGATAAATGTCTTGTGTTTTGTGAAATAATTTCTCTATTAATAATATTGCCAGCTTGATATAATCCTCACACAGTTGACCAATCAAAAACTGAAATCCAAATTCCTAAGAGTAATTACTTAAGTGCTAATGATATAGATTACTGCCTTCTTTTGTTCCTTCTTCACTGTAAAAAAAAAAAAAAAAAAAAATTGGGCCGGGTGAGCACAGTGGCTCACACCTGTAATCCCAGCATTTTGGGAGGCTGAGGCGGGAGGATCACCTGAGGTCAGGAGTTCAAGACCACCTTGGCCAACATGATGAAACCCTATCTCTACTAAAAATACAAAAATTAGCCAGGTGTGGTGGCGGGCACCTGTAATCCCAGCTACTCGGGAGGCTGAAGCAGGAGAATCGCTTGAACTCAGGAAGCAGAGACTGCAGCGAGCCAAGATGGCGCCACTGCACTCTAGCCTGGGTGACACAGCAAGACTCCATCTCAAAAAAAACTAAAAAAATTTAAAAAAAAAAAAGCAAAAATTTTTTTTTGGTGATTTAGCTACCTAAGAAGAAAAGAAGCTGGAATTATAGAGGTGAATAAGGTAAAGAGTACTTGATCTAATATCTGTGGGCTTAATTTATACTTGCATTTTCTTCCTAGAACCATGGGAAAGTTAAAACCAGCTTATAGATAATGCTACAGTCTAAGGTCGTCTCCTGTAGGGGATTTGCTACGTAGGAAAAACTAAGGGGAAGAACGAACTGCAGGACATGAGAGGTACTTTCCTATTTCCTTAATTTCCTAAGTGTGCTGAAATACAAATACACTAAATACTAGTTCAATAATGCTCCTCAACTGTCAGTGGGCCTCCCCTGGGCCTCCCTGAGTGAGCCCGCAGAGGCTGTGGCAAAACCAACCACTCCAAGAAGGCAGGTCTGGAATGAGAGTAGAACATCTCACTATGCATCACCCTTCCCTGCATGAACTTTCAGTGGCTCTTGACTATTAACCAAATCATCTAACTCCTCTTCTAACTTTGTCAAACTCTCCTAGCTTGAAAGGTTGCCTATGACCTGGACCCAACCCTCCTACTTAAATCTAACCTTAACTTTTCCAAGTTCCTACACAAACTCCTCTGGTCTAGTAAGACTGTTTTTTGCTGGTTCTCATACTAACATACAACACACACACCTCATATTCCCAACTAAGCATTCGTTTATGGTCTCCACACATATCCCTATTCATCCAAACTGATGAAACTTCCTCCAAATACTGCATCTCACGAGGACTTTTCCTTTCTCTAAACTTCCAATTAACTTGAAGCAACTACTAGGTATTAGGCGTACATGGGATCAGTACAGTGTCATGGAAGGGCTGGAATCTGAACTAGACTTTGAAGGACATGTAGGTCGAATGGTGGAAGGTCCATATATGAGAGCTGAGGAAGTAAAAGATGAGATGACTGGGGAAAGAGCTAGGTCAAGGCCCCAGAGGCAATTCCCTAATTTAAACACTTGGCTAGTATAACTGTAAACAGTGAACTGGGCCTATTTATTCCCTTGAGTATTGCATACTAAGAACCAAATGCTCCTTGTTAATTTGCAGAATTTGAAAACAGAGGCCAGAAGAATGCTCTACAAGGTCAAGGCTGGCAAAATGCCATCGATAGAGCCATCTCTGCCCACTGCACCATGGACCCAGGAACCTCATGAGCTCTGGGAAATGCTCAAGGCACCAGCTCCTACCATCTAGTCCAAACCTTCTTATTCTGCTCTGGAATTCCCCAGCATCAAACCAGCTTTTACGCAGAATTCTTTACTTATCTGGTTTCCAGTGTGAACTCTACCACCGGTTCCCATTCCTCTGATTCCCTTGCTTCTCAGCTCTGCACCTCTCCCAGGCAAGTCCTGACCTCAAAGCCATACAAGGGAATTTGGTCCAATAATGGAACTTCCACCCTCCCTTTTTACTAAAATTAAACATACTACATTTTAAACAAAATCTACTTACAAGTTTTTTGTTTGTTTGTTTTTGTTTTGTTTTGTTTTTGAGACGAAATTTCACTCTTCTTGCCCAGGTTGGAGTGCAATGGCGCGATCTTGCCTCACTGCAACCTCCGCCTCCCAGATTCAAGTGATTCTCCTGCCTCAGCCTCCTGAGTAGCTGGGATTACAGGCATGGGCCACCACGCCCAGCTAACTTTGTATTTTTAGTAGAGATGGGGTTTCCCCATGTTGGTCGGGCTGATCTCGAACTCCCAACCTCAGGTGATCCGCCTGCCTCGGCCTCCCAAAGTGCTGGGATTACAGGCGTGAGCCACCGCACCCGGCCACAAGTTTTATTTAAACTATCATACTGGAAATATATTTGCCTGCCACAAAGGAAAGAAAAACAAATATTCGTTGGATGTCTATTACACGTCTGGTACGACACCAGGCTTTTCACAGCTGCTCTTACTTCATTCTTGGAACAAACTATGAGAAAGTTATTTTTCCCAACTAACAGATGAGAGGGAATATATCACAGTGGTTAGGAACACAGATTATGGACCCGTGTTATCTGGTTTAGAATCCTTTCTCTGCTACCTAGTAGCTGTACAATCCAAGGCAATTTACTAAATTTCTCCATTTTCTCACTTTGCTCTTCTATAAAATGACAGTTTTTGGAAGGATTGAGTTTGTTCTTATGTCTAATAAGTTCTTAATGGTCATTTTCTAAAATCATCGGTTATTATGAGAAAAGCAAGTATTAAAAGTTTCAATTGAAATGATAGAGATGAAACAGCTGAGTTTCCATTTTGACAGGACATCCCCCTACAATGCAAGTTAATGTTAACAATATGCAAAATATACAAATAGAAACCCCAAAACCAGCTGAGTCCAAAAGCAAGATAATCATCTGGGTAAAAATGAACAGAAATGCAAAGTAGTGAGTGTGCTGATACCAGAGACCCAAGAGTTACAGATTTAGAAGCAGTAGTGGCAGCCAAAGAATTTCAGCAGCCTCATCTCTTTTGAGAAGAACCTGAAAAAGGGCTACTGCCAGAGCTGCCTGAGGCTGTAGCAGTAGGAAAAGCCAAGGGCACAGGGGGCCTCTGAATCAGGCTGACTACTAACTCAGTGACTAGATCTATGATATCCCCAATTTCACTGTGAAGGGGGACACCCAAAATACCACTACCTAATCTAGTTCCTCTGATAGAGAGGAAAGAGCCTAGAAAGAGATCAGTAAACAAAAGGCTCCCATCATAGCCAGTGAGCCAAAATTCAAAATATAGAAATAAATTTTATATTAAGAAAGACAACCTAAAAAAATCAGTAATAACACACATTCACTCTATATGAAACTAATTTTATGGAGCAGTCTGACAAAAACCTTAAAATAACTATGTTTAGGATACTGAAGTGATAAATAAGGGAATAACTTCTATTTAAGAAGAGTTAACTGGGCATGGTGGCTCACATCTGTAGTCTCAGCAACTCAGGAGGCTAAAGCAGGAAGATCACTTGAGCCCAGGAATTCAGGGCTACAGTGAGTTATGATGACACCACTAGACTCCAGTGTGGATGACACAGTGAGACACTGTCCCTTAAAAAAAAAAAAAATAAAGAACAAGAAATCATGAAAAACAAGCCGTAGTGAAATAAGAACAGGCATGTATAAAAATAAAAAAGACTAGAAATAAAAGTGTACTTTCAGCCAAGCACGGTGGCTCACGCCTGTAATCCCAGCACTTTGGAAGGACGAGGCAGGCAGATCACGTGAGCTCTGGAGTTTGAGACCAGCCTGGGCAACATGGTGAAACACTATCTCTACAAAAAAATACAAAAATTAGCTGGGCATGGTGGCACTTGCCTGTAGTCTCAGCTACTTGGGAGGCTGAGGTGGGAGGATCGCTTGAGCCCAAGAGGCAGAGGTTGCAGTGAGCTGAGATCATGCCAAGGCACTCCAGCCTGGGTGACAGAGTGAGACCCTGTCTTAAAAAATATATATATAATATATAATATATATAATATACATAATATATACGTATATTTTATATATAATATATAATATACATAATATGTATATTTTATACACAATATAAATAATATACATAACATATATGTATATTTTATATATGTATATTTTATATATATTTTATATATTTTATATATATGTATATTTTATATATAATATATATATTGTATATAATAATATATAATATATTATATTATATATAATATATATAATATATATATAAATATATATTATATATAATATGTATAATATATAATATTTTATATATAATATGTATAATATATATTTTATATATAATAATATGTACAATATATATTTTATATATAATAATATGTACAATATATATTTTATATATAATAATATGTACAATATATATTTTATGTATAATATGTATAATATATATTTTATGTATAATATATATTTTATGTATAATATATATTTTACGTATATTTTATATATAATATATAATATTTTATATATAATATATAACATTTTATATATAATATATAATATTATATATATTATATATTTTATATATAATATATATAAATATATATATTTTATATATAATATATTTTATATATAATATATATAAATATATATATTATATATAATATATTTTATATATAATATATTTTATATATAATATATAATATATTTTATATATTATATATAATATATTATATATTATATATAATATATTATATATAATATATAATATATAATATATTATATATAATATATAATATATAATATATTATATATAATATATAATATATAATATATAATATATTATATATAATATATAATATGTAATATATAATATTTTATATATAATATATAATATAATATATAATATTTTATATATAATATATAATATATAATATATAATATTTTATATATAATATATATAAACTATATATACACACACACATATAAAACAGATAAGATGAATTCTAACGAATTCGTGACTTAGAAGATAGTTTTCTGGGAAATTTACCCAAAACAGTATACAGAATGAAAAAACCATAAAGTATGTGTGTGTATATACATAACGATAGTTCCATACCTGGAAAAAGCATAGCAAAATTGTGATTAATAAAAAAACTTACAAGCCACAGGAGATTTAAAGGAAAAAAAACTGGAGATCTACAAAGGAACATCAATTATACCAAACACAAGTTTCTCACTGGCAATAACAAAAGCAGTGAAGGAAAACAACTGTCCACCAGAATTGTATACCCCGTTAAAGTACATTCAAAAGCATAGGTAAGAAAAAGACAATCTGAAATATACAAAGATTAAGTCTGCCTTCCAGAGACTCTCACCAAAAGAAATTCTAAAGGATGTACTTCAACAAAGTACACCTAAAGTAGTTTCAATGGGGTGTCTACTAGACATGCCAAACTTAACATGCCCCAAACTAAACTCCTGATCTTCCTCCAAAAACCTACTCTACCCACAGTCTTGCCCATCCTAATAAAAGAATAACAAATCGATCTCTTCAGGGGCTCAAGCCAAAAACTTTGTAGTTATGCTCTCTCTCTCAAATAGCAAATCTAATCTGTCAACAAACCTTGCCTGCTCTATCTTCACGTTACATCCAGATTCAGATCACGTTTTACTTCCTCCACCACTTTCCAAGTCATCACTATCTCTTTTCTGTAGTATAGCAATATTGTAACTAATCGGTCTTTCTGTTTTCACTATTATAGTCTATTATCAACACAGAAGTAAGAGTAATCCTTTTAAAAGATGAGATCATGTCACTCCTCTGTTCACAAACACTCCAATGGCTCCCCATTTTACTCAGAGTAAAAGCCAAAGTTCTTACACAATGTCTTAGGCTGTCTAGTCCTCACAACTTCTCTGATCTCATCTACAACTCTTTCCTATGCTCACACTACTCCAGTCATAATTGGTTTACCTGATGTTCCTTAAATACCTACCCTAAGCCCAAGCCTCTCAGGACTTTTTCACCTGACATTCTCTCTGCCGTGAATACTCTTCCTCCAGGTATTTACATCGTGGTTGTACAACTGCTAATTTTAGTATTCACTATACCTTCTAGTACATGCAAATATTTCACACTAATGTTTAAAAATTGGGTAAAATAAGGGGGTAGAAGAGACGGAAGCTAAATAATTTGCTCAAGGTTACATAGCAAGTACGTGGCAGAGGGAGAATTAAAATGTATATTGACACCAAAGCCCTTGCCTAATAAAAAGGCATTATTTCAATGTGCCTGCCCTAAATGCTCAGATCTGGCTCATGATGAAAATACTATCAACTCTCTAATATTTGTTTTAGTGAATTTCACTATTTTATTTTTTAAAGAGATCTATCAGGTAGCTAGTGGTTGCTTTGCACTATGCTATGTCCTAAAAATAGAACCGCAGAATAAAAATTCCAAAGGGCACGTGATTTACAAAATGTTTTCATGTGGCTTTGGAATGTATTACCAGAGAATACAATTTTTAAGATATTAACTTCCTGATCATGTTTTATTCAGGTTACTTTTCAGATTGATTTCATTCCCTGAACATCTACCATTGGGGTGGGGGTTAAAGTATTAATAGTTCTAAATGAACTGGGTGACATGAATAGAGAGCTAGCTAGAAAATTAAAATACTCTACAGAAAAGCCACTCAGTAGATAACCTTTTTGTGACTGACTTGAATTGAATTGTGTCTCATTTGTTTTCGAGGTACCCCCACTCCCTTAGGGAACTGGGGAAGTTTATTACTATTAATAAACTGCTTTCTTATATTAACTGAATGATTCATGGTAGCCTGAAGAAATTACTTCACCTGCAAACACAAAGCAATTAATTTCACATTTAAATATGAAGTACATTTAAAGCCAACGTATTGAAGCAAAATTCCCAGAAAAGACTCAAACTGCCAGGAAGGTAATTTGTATAACCTCAACTGAGTAAGGGTAAGCCTCTGCCAATATCTTTATTTACCAAACAATAGTTTACTTACAAAGCACAAGAAGGAAGAAAATCCTTTCCCTTTCCCATAAACACAGACTTTCACTTTGTTAGGTTAAAGAACAAAGTGGCAGCTTAGAAAGGAATAGTATACTTTCTGGGAACAGAAACTTTATGTCCATTTATTTTACACATCCATGAAGTTTCTCATTTTTTCATCCAGTCCCCTCCCCGCTTCCATGCAACTCTATCAAACGCACGTGCACTTCATTTGCTCGTAATCTTGAAGTTACCTACTAGGGTCCATAAATATTAATGTGTGTACCATTTCCAAGATACCTTCTATTTTTATATACATGTGGTTGGAGACTCTCAGAAAACACAAAGATTTCCCAGGGAGCAAAAAATCCAAACTCATCCTGGCTCACAAAGCCCTACGTATCTGGACAATCTCATTAAACTTTATCTTACACCATTCTGTTCTTTAATACACCATAGATTTTGGCGTTAGTGGTTCTCATTGCTTGGAAAGCTCTTCTCCAGAAAAGGTGCTGCTTCTTGCCATTCAGGCCCTGGCTGAAATATTACTTTAGTCTAGTAGGAAAGAATCTTCCTTACCACCAAACTTTATCACATAAAAACACACACTGCTAGCAGATAGTTTATTATTTTCTACATCTCCATGTATCAAGGACACATTCCTTCCTGTTATTTCTCTATTCCCAGCACCTATAACACGGCCTGATACCCTATAGGGAGCTCAATAAATATTTGTTGAATAAATGAATGACATATAATTTACTAACTTCATTGAATATGGCAGTCTAACAAACCAGGTTGACAAAGAAAGAGGGTATAATAACTAGAAAAGAAAGTACAAACAAAAATGTTTTCCAATGAGAAGTGCCACTGTTAAGAGCCAGCAGTTGATGCAGCTGCTTAGCTTCCTGTAACACGTACAAACACATTCAGCAAATCTCCACATACCAGGGTTATAGTATTCATACAAGAATATTTCCTACTGAAATCCCCAAACAGCTTACCAAAATCAACTCTATTAACCTAACTGCTACCCCAAGAGATCATTTTTTCTCTAAGACCCAAGAACAAAACCAAGTACAGGGTTCAAAAGCAAGTATAGTTCAGGTTCATGTAAAAGTGTTATTTAACCGAGGTTTGTACACTTATGAACACAGAGTAGAAACTATGTTTCATATGAGCAATGTCTCTGAGTTTTAACAATAGTTATAAAATTTAATTCAAGATGATAACTTTTTCCTTTCTTTCTTAAGCCTCTTTAGGAGATCTCCTCTAGGCCCATAGCTTCATCTATTTCCTCTGTTTGGCTGACTTTCAAACATATACCTCCAGCTGGAGTGAACAACTGTCCCTATTTGCCTGGGACTAAAGGATTTCCCAGAATGCTGGACATTTACTGCTAAAATATTGGGGGAGTCCCAGGTCACACTATCTCCAACCTGGACCCCTCTGCTAATCTCCTGACCTGTATTTCCAACTGTCTGCTATCCCGCTAGGCAGCCTCCCAAAACTACCTTTAACTCAGCATGTTTAAAGCATTATTCTCCCTCCCATCATGCCCTCCTGCTTGCCTTGCTTTTTGCCAATGTTATTGGCATTAATTATTCTTCTCATCACCTAGGATAGACAGTTCAGTGAGCGGATCTTTGTCTTGGTCTTTAACGTCTGTCTTGTAAATTATGTGACTTACTTATCTAATCCCAAAGATTAAAATGCTAGGTTGAAAGTTCCTCTAAAAACAAGGCCCATGTTTTATCAATATTTTTATCCTAGCTATCACAATTCCTTATAGAAAGCAATAATCAATAAACTTTTGTTAAACTGCTAACCTCTGAAATGCTATGAAATTCCAGAAAAACATTTAGATTCTAGTGCTGGCTCAATCACCAACTACATGTGTAGCTATAGATAAATCACTTGATTCTCAGTGCTTTAGAATGAAAATAAAATAAAAATGCTTTGAAAATTCAATGAACATTCCCTGGGTTATATAGAGAAGATAATGACTCTAAAATACATAAGTAGTTCCTGATGAGAATGTCCCCAAAACTCCTCATCATGGTCCCATACAATCCTTAGTCCCTTATTCAAGTCCTCACATCCCTCTCTTACTTCCACAGTTATATGTTTCCTATTTAGACTCTGGTAATTATGTCTAGGTTCACAGTAACTGTGGCCTACCATATCATATTCTCAATGGTCAAAGAGAGCTCAGTCAAACACAGCATCTGGCACACAGTAGATGTTTAAGAAATCTTTTGTTGAATAATTAAGGAGCAACTAGTGCTGGTGCCAGCTGGCGCACATTAGCTGTGCCTGCAGGTAGGCATAAAATTGACAAACCAGGTATAAAAAGCAGGGAGCTGGAACCCTAAGTCTTCTCAATAGTGAGGTCACTGTGCCTATAAAAAGCAGAATAGAGTTCTGACTATTCAATGAACCTTCTGTCTGCTCCCCAGCAAGGAAAGATTTCTTTATAAGGAAGTGATTTCAAAACTCCAGGGTTGCTGGTGTTTATGATAATGAAGGAATTGAGAGGTAAAAATGAAACCATGCAAGGTTCCCAAGAACAATACAGCAAACCCTAGTTGTTTGTTTTGGTTCTTCATCACACAATCCAGGGCCTAGCAAGGATATAAAAAGAAAGGTTCTCGAGTGAAACAGTCCTTGGTTCTTTGAGCCAACTCTATGTAGTCACCAACCACAGCTATGGGGAATTCCAAAATCCTGCTTTTGTTAGTGAATGCCTTTCCACTAAATAAGCAGACAGCCTCTTGTCTGAAGGTATTTTGTTTTTATTTGGCTATCTTGTCGAATTAATACAAAATATACAGTGTCTTTAGCCTCTGAGTACATTGTAAAATTGCAACCTTCTTAAAAGGGGTTCAAGGTTCATCATAAACAACTCAGTAACACAAAATGTTATTAATCTACAAAATATGGCCAGGCGCGGTGGCTCATGCTTGTAATCCCAACACTTTGGGAAGCCAAGGCCGGAGGATCTCTTGATCTCAGGAGTTGGAGACCAGCCTGGGCAACACGGCACAAGCCCATCTCTACAAAAAATACAAAGAAATTAGCCAGGCATGGTGGTGCACACCTGTAGTCCCAGCTACTCAGGAAGCTGAGGTGAGAGGACTGCTTGAGCCCAGGAGGTTGAGGCTGCAATGAGCCAATATCACACCACTGTGCTCCAGCCTAGGCAAAAGAGTAAGACCCTATCTCAAATATTTATACGTATATATATATACACACACACACACACACACACACACACACATATATATCAACAACAACAACAACAAACGGTTTACCAGTTCTCAAGGAAGCTTACTAAAAATGTATCCAGCTTCCCTCAGTCTTTTATATCCAAAATCCTGACTTTCCCAATCAGAACCTAGAAAGCAGCACGGTATGAAGAGTAGAAATTCTTAAAGAAGGAGGGAGGGAGGGAAGAAAAAAGAAAGGGAAGGAGGGAGGGAGGGAGGGAAGAAGGAAGGGAGGAAGGGAGGGAGGAAGGGAGGAAAGGGAGGAAAGGGAGGGAAGGGAGGGAAGGGAGGGAAGGAATGAAGGGAAGGAAGGGAAGGAAGAGAAGGAAGGGAAGGATAGGAAGGGAAGGAAGGGAAGGGAGGAAAGAGAGGGAAGGGAGGGAAGGTAGGGAAGGGAGGGAAGGTAGGGAAGGGAGGGAAGGAAGGGAAGGAAAGGAGGGAGGGAGGGAAGAAGGAAGGAAAGAGGGAAGGAAAGAGGGCAGGAGGGCAGGCAGACAAGAAGGCAGGCAGGCAGGCAGATGCACAAAAAGAGGTAGGGAGGGCCGGGCGTGGTGGCTCACTCCTGTAATCCAGCACTTTGGGAGGCCGAGGCAGGTGGATCACCTGAGGTCAGGAGTTCAAGACTGGCCTGGCCAACATGGCGAAACCCAGTCTCTATAAAAATACAAAAAAATTAGCCTGGCATATTGGTTTGCTCTTGTAATCCCAGCTACTCGGGAGGCTGAGGTGGGAGATTCACTTGAACCCGGGAGACAGAGGTTGCAGTGAGCCGAGATTGCACCACTGCACTCCAGCCTGGGCGACAGAGCAAGACTCCAGCTCAAAAAAAAGGTAAGGGGTTTGTTGTTGCTGTTTTCCTATGCTAAGTGCTATGGCCTAAGCCCCTACTAAAAGTAACAGAAGTGAACAGGCCAGGCTATAGCTGCTATTCAGGCCTTTGTATTGTCTTGAGCAGATCACTGAAGCAAATTATTGTTCCATAAACAGATTACTCCAACTCCTATCCACAGAGCTATCTCACTCCCACTGGATAAGTATTCTAAGATAAGAATAAAACCCGCAGACTAAAATCAAATTACATAAGCTGTATACCCAACTAACTGGTCATTAGACAATTATTTTGTACCAATAAATCCGATTCCCTGACTACAAAGTGGCTTTTAAATGGCTTCATCCATCCAACTACATGTAGTAGCACAGAGCTATTTTTAACTTATATTACTATTGCTAACTGAGAAATGTCACCTTCATTTCCTCAAACTCTTTCAGTATGATTTATTTTTTCTAACTTAGAGATTTTCCCAATCTCTAATTATTTCATAAGCTAAATTCCCATTCAACTCCATTCAATCTTTGGTCAAGTATTATATTTATTATTTCAAAGTTCATGTTTATTATTTCAATGAAACTAAACACTAATAGATGTGTGCAGGAAGGTTGTTTGCATGTATATTTTAAATAGGAACACAACCCTGAAGCACCAGGAAACTTTAAGCCTGAAAAATGATTTGCCCAAATGAAATCCTGTTAGAAAGCTACATATCAAGAGAAGCCATCTTAACCTCCCTCACCACTATCATACATTATTGAGGCTTACTGCAGGCTAAAACATTAGGGGGCTATTTTGAAGACTTAGCTGCAGGCACAGGCAATAATACAATGACCAAATCTAAATTGAATTACCAATCAGAGGGCCATGGGGAGAAGGACAAGATACAGTGGATTAAAAGAAGTCATTGGAAGATGTACCAGATAGCTGGTTCTCTCAATTATTTAATATAATCATTCCCTAAGATCAAGGAGAAAAATTAATATTAAAAAAATTCTAAAACTTTACTTAAAAAGCTGGCATAGAGGTTACTCACTGAGAACAAAGTCCCTCTGCTATTGTCTAAATGACAAAGTGTTATTATGAAAACTTTTTAAATGAGTGTTCAAATATCGAGGAAAAACAGTAATATCTGACTCAACTATTACAGTAGGCTTAAAAATGAAAATAAAAATGCAGGAATCATTAACAAACACTTAGAATGTATACATCAAGACATTCTAGTTTTCTCCAAATTCTTTTAATCCACAATAGAAAAGGGAAATTAAAAGGATTTTTCTCTCTATAAAGAATATGGCTCCCCAGGCAAGATCGCGCCACTGCAGTCCAGCCTGGGCAACACAGCGAGACTCCATCTCAACAAAACAAAACAAAAAAAAGAATATGGCTCCCCAAGGTGGCTCATCTCTTAGTTATTCTTTATTTAATTATTCATATTTCAAATAAAATTAATAGGACACTCAGTGAGAAATAGTGTCTTATTTAGACACATTTCCCAAATGAAATGTAAATAAAAGTTTAGGCTGGGCGCGGTGGCTCATGTCCGTAATCCCAGCACTTTGGAAGGCTGAGGTGGGATACTGCTTGAGCCCAGGAGTTCGAGACCAGCCTAAGCAACATGGCGAAACCCCATCTCTACAAAAAATACAAAAATTAGCTGGGCATGGTGGCAGACACCCGTAAGTCCTAGCTACTTGGGAGGCTGAGACAGATTCTGATCACTTAAGCCAGGAGGCAGAAGTTGCAATGAGCCAAGATCATGCCACTGCACTCCAGCCTTGGCAACAGAGAGATTCTGTCTCAAATAAATAAATTAAATTAAAAATAAAGTTTACACAAGATTGTATATTCTTTCATTCAAAGCTGAATGACTCTTCCCCAAATCTTATATATTACATTCTGCATTTATTTATTTCTCAACTGCATATTCTTTAGAGACTTGGTCTTTCATTCTCCAGAAAGGTAGAAGAAATTATTTTTTCAGTATTATATTTAAATTGCTCATCAAAAGTTTTCTGTTGAATTTGAATCATGGTAGCTATAATTAACTGATGAAAGTTTAAATACATATTTAAATGATTTCTGTCCACAGAATTGTTGATGTCTATGAGTCAGTACTAGTA